>NC_000018.10:49425243-49725910 GCF_000001405.40 Homo sapiens | reverse complement strand
TTGGAAACTTCCTGGGGGCACTCAGCCCGTCAGGCCCCCAGGAACTTGTACCAGGTCACAAATTCCCAACCCCTGGGGATGGAGACTGAGCCAGGAAAGGTGGGCTAAGTGAGAAGGTAGAATGAACCCTCTTACCCCTGCTCCAAGATATACTTTTTAAATATTTTCAAATTATTTTTAAATGTTCTTTAATTATTTTTAAATGTTCTTACTAGGTATATTCAGTGGGTGTTTATTCCTCTCCTTCCACCCCTAAAGCTATTATTAAATCTATGAGGTATCTGATAACTGGTTATGGATGAAAAGGTTGACATAAATGAATAAGGAAGAAACAGATATTCCCTGTATGTTACCATTCAATATCCTTTTTTTTTTTTTTTTTTTTTTTTTTTTGCCATTTTCTTCCCATCAGCCTTGGGTTTTAATGGTTTTTATCTACTAATTTTTAAAATAATCTTTTTTAAATAATTAAAAATAGCAACTTGTACACCAATGTTTATAGCAGCATTATTCACAATAGCCACAAGGTGGAAGGAACCTGAATGTCTATTGACAGATGAATGGATAGATTAACTGTAGTCTATCCATATGATGGAATGCTATTCAGCATTAAAAAAGAATAAGGCTGGGTGCGGTGGCTCACGCCTGTAATCCCAGCACTTTGGGAGGCCGAGGCGGGAGGACCACGAGGTCAGGAGATTGAGACCATCCTGGCTAGCACAGCGAAACCCGAAACCCTGTCTTTACTAAAAACACAAAAAATTAGCCGGGCTTGGTGGTGGGTGCCTGTAGTTCCAGCTACTCAGGAGGCTGAGGCAGGAGAATGGCATGAACCTGGGAGGCGGAGCTTGCAGTGAGCTGAGGTCGTGCCACTGCACTCCAGCTTGGGCTACAGAGCGAGACTCCGTCTCAAAAAAACAAACAAACAAAAAACAAAAAAGAATGATAAATTCTGATTCATGCACCACCATGGATGAACCTTAAGGACATTATGCTAAGTGAAATGAGCCAGACACAAAGGCTAATACTGTACGATTCTGCTTATATGAGGCTCCTAGAGTAGTCAAAGTTGCAGAGATAGAGGTAAAATAGAAGTTACCAGGGGTCGGGGAAAGGGGGGATGGGGGAGTTTTTGGTTGATAAGTACAGCATTTCTGTTTGGGGTGATGAAAAAGTTCTGGAGATGCATGGCAGTGATGGCTGTGGAACATTGTGAATGTCCCTCGGTGCCACTGAACTGTACACTTAAACATGATTAAAATGGTAAATTTTATGTTATATACATTTTACCACAGTAAAAAAAAATTTTACAGATAAAATTATTCAGGATTCCAAGCTGGTGACAGCAGAGCATTAAACCAAGCACAGGGTTTTCTGCTTGTGCGGCCCACCACGGCACAGGTCGCATGCTTGTGAAGACACCTGCCTGTACCTGGCATTGGGGACAGCAGCAAATCAGACCTGGCCCTGCCAGCAAGGAGCTGGAAATGGAACCAAACCCCGAGACTCTTCCTGACACTGGCCGGGCAGGAAGAGCTCCTGACCAGTGTTTCCTGACCTGGGTTCTAAGCACAGAAAATGCTGGAATTTTCGCATGTAGCCTAACTTTTGTGAAACACTCTTTCCTGACACATGACATTTCATATAGGTGAGGCAACTTTTGGTATTCTTTTAAAATAGAATTGCAGAATCCTGGGTAAATCAAGGGTTCCATCTCGGAGCTAGGTCTCATCATCACTTTCACCTTTCTGATGTTCCCTCCCGTTAAGATGAGAATCAAACAAGAAAATGCCACATCATGGTTCCTAGATGAGCATCAGGTCAATACAAATAGAAGCCACTGAGATCAGAGTGCAAATGGCACTGAGAGGTGGTCCTGGGGTGCCACAACTTTGACAGGGTGACAACTACTGTTGACTGAGAATGTGGGAGGAGGTGAGTCAGACGGAGAAATCACCGATAAAGAACAATGCTCAATTGTCCGCTGACGCCTCCCTTCTGATAACATCTCACTCTCGAAAAGGCTCAGAGTTTCTCTTTGCAAATTACTAAGGAAAAGGAAGAACCTCTCCACTTCTGGGCAATTTTCCCATCTCTCCTTATAAACAAAAATGTGGTCACTGCCAGCCCGCCCTTCTCCTGCATCCCACACTGTGCTGTGCCCTCACGAAGCCTAGAGTGACCGCAAGACGGGGCAACCCCCGGGGGCTGCCTTTGAGCCACGGCTGTGAGAGAGGGTAGAGCCACATTTCAAGTTCTCGCTCCTCTGTTGTGTTTCCCAGACCTTCTTTTTTAATGTGTGAAAGCTTCCCTTAAATCCTTTAGGAAAACTGGCAGTACATAAAAAACAAAAACAAAAAGTCAAGAGTAGAACAATGATAGCTCTTGTCTCAAATAACTAAATGCAGAAATAAACAAGTTCTTCCCATAGCCTAGCCACTGATGGTGTGTCAGAATAAAAATGAGGACCTGGGAGTTCTTCAGTCAAATTGCTTTCGTCAAATTATGTGCCCTTTGAGATCCTTCTTGTCTCAAAAAGGGATAATCCTATTTCCCAGAGGTGTTTGGACACCAAATGAAATTTGCCGTAGAAAGTCTAAAAACCCCATTGGACCCACCTTTACCTAACATTGGGATCCGAGAACACCTGATGACAGCTCATCCCACACCACAGAACTGAAGGTCAGCGGCTGGTTGTGTACAGGGAGCCAGGAAGGCTTTCCTGCAAAGCTATATTTTACTCAGAATATATCTATGCCTGTTTCCCTTCCAGGTCTCCCAGCAAGGTAAGTTTATCCTGTGATGTCCAGTTCCGGCCCCATGGTTTGGCAAGTGCTACCTTAAAGAAAGGCCAGGGCTGAGCACCATGGCCTTATTGTCTTTGCTGCAATTTACTTTAAAATGCTTTGGTATAAACAGTATGATGTACCTGTGTGAAATTAGCTTATACATTTACTTGCTCAGAATAGGTGATACATTCACATGGTAAAACCATCAAAACAATATGAACTGTATTACAGTGAAAAGTCTTGTTTCTACTCCTACCCCTATTGGCCCTATTTCGAATCCTCTTTCCTACCCTGATCCCCAGAGGTAACTTACTAGTTTCCTGCGTATCTGTCCAGCAAATACAAATGCAAATACAAATGCAAACCCTTATTTCCCTCCAGCTCCATAGAATGCAAATTATTTCCTCAGATGTCTGCACCTTGATCTTTCCCTGAACCCTATATCTTGGGGTGGGGGCAGGTGTTTCTCCACCAGTTCCTGGAAAGCTTCCTTATTTGCTTACTTCAGTAGCACACTGTTCCATTGTGTGATTGCACCAAATTTTCCTTATGGAGTCTCACGAAGGTGGGCATTTTGGTTGTTTCTAGTTGTAAGATGACTTAAATCAACATCCCGAGAGTGGCTAGTTAGCATTTAAAGCACTAACCACTTGATTTCAAAATTTAAGTCACAGGGCTCCAGAATTATCATACAAGATGATAGAAGTAATTTCTAAATTTTCACTGGTGAAATGAATGCTGATCAACGTGGTTAGCTAGAAAGATGTTACAATACCCACCACCCATGAAAACAAGGTCTAAGAAGCTAGCCAGCCCAGCAACCCAGCCCCTCTGGAGTGCAGCCTAGAGTGTGAAATCCATCTGGTTTGGGTCTGCCACTTCATGGCGGTGGGGCAGGGGCGGTCTGCCCCTGACTCACCATCATGATATTATTCCACCCCCTCTGAGTGTACATCTGATGCAAGGGACTTGATGCATGTTTGTGAGTGGGAACATCCCTGACTTTGGAAGAACAGGTCACTTGATTGCTTTCATGTAGAATTTGGTCTAATACTTGTGTAGGGAATGAAAATAATAACTTTTTTTCTCACCCATTGCTAGGTTCATGACCAAAGACCCTATAACAAAACACAGATTAACAAAAGAAAAGCATACAGATTTTCTAAATAAATGTTTTATGTGACATAGGAGCTTTCAGAAAGGAGAACTGAAAGACACAGGTAGACGTGTATATTTATGCTTAGGTTAGATAAAGAGTGGATAGTCGTGGGGCAGTATCATTAGCGGGCAAAAGGGTATGATCTAATGGTAATAAACTGGGGGAACTTAGCAGGGCCTATCTGTTCAGATTCTTCTGGGTGTCTCTGTCTTTGGCTCTTTTATAGAGAGGGTACCTCTTGAATGAGGATCTTAGATCTGCTTCAAGGGAAAAGGGTAAGAGAAGGTGAGAGTGACCGTTCTGCTCCTGTAGCATTCCCAAATGTCAAGTGGCTATATTTTGGGGTAACATATCCTAAACCCCATCACTTGCTTTTGTTGTAACATGCCACTTCAGGGAGAAATTGGGGGAAGGGGACAAAGTGCCTTTATTACTTCCCACTTCTGGAAGCTTCTGAGAGCTCATAGCAAATGCTGAAAGACCAACCTGATTGGCTTAGGTCACTCCCGAAAATGATGGAGTTGCATCTTGTCCTGAAGTCAGAATGGAAATAGAAAATCAAACTAATAAAAATCACCCTTGAAAATCCCTTAAATTTCCCAAAAAGTATACCACACATGGTTTTGTATATGCAGCTTTGGATTAGTTCCTGTAATTGTTAGTTAAGACTTCTCTACAACCCTTAATTCAGTTCTTTCATTTCTTCTTCGAGAAATGAAAAACCATCACTCACCTGCCTGGCCACTTGCAGATGAGCTGTACTCTCTCTGCCATGGGTCAGGACCCATTTTATTTTATTTATTTATTTTATTTTATTTTTTTGGTGGTGGGTGATTTTTATTTTATTTTTTTATTTTTTTAAATTTTATTATTATACTTTAAGTTTTAGGGTACATGTGCACAATGTGCAGGTTTGTTACATATGTATACATGTGCCATGTTGGTGTGCTGCACCCATTAACTCGTCATTTAGCATTAGGTATATCTCCTAATGCTATCCCTCCCCCCGCCTCCCACCCCACAACAGTTCCTGGTGTGTGATGTTCCCCTTCCTGTGTCCATGTGTTCTCATTGTTCAATTCCCACCTATGAGTGAGAACATGCGGTGTTTGGTTTTTTTGTCCTTGCGATAGTTTGCTGAGAATGATGGTTTCCAGTTTCATCCATGTCCCTACAAAGGACATGAACTCATCATTTTTTATGGCTGCATAGTATCCCATGGTGTATATGTGCCACATTTTCTTCATCCAGTCTATCGTTGTTGGACATTTAGGTTGGTTCCAGGTCTTTGCTATTGTGAATAGTGCCGCTATAAACATATGTGTGCATGTGTCTTTATAGCAGCATGATTTATAATCCTTTGGGTATATACCCAGTAATGGGATGGCTGGGTCAAATGGTATTTCTAGTTCTAGATCCCTGAGGAATCGCCACACTGACTTCCACAATGGTTGAACTAGTTTACAGTCCCACCAACAGTGTAAAAGTGTTCCTATTTCTCCACATCCTCTCCAGCACCTGTTGTTTCCTGACTTTTTAATGATTGCCATTCTAACTGGTGTGAGATGGTATCTCATTGTGGTTTTGATTTGCATTTCTCTGATGGCCAGTGATGATGAGCATTTTTTCATGTGTTTTTTGGCTGCATAAATGTCTTCTTTTGAGAAGTGTCTGTTCATATCCTGCACCCACTTGTTGATGGGGTTGTTTGTTTTTTTCTTGTAAATTTGTTTGAGTTCATTGTAGATTCTGGATATTAGCCCTTTGTCAGATGAGTAGATTGCAAAAATTTTCTCCCATTCTGTAGGTTGCCTGTTCACTCTGATGGTAGTTTTTGTTTTTGCTATACAGAAGCTCTTTAGTTTAATTAGACCCCATTTGTCAATTAGATCCCATTTTTGCTTTTGTTGCCATTGCTTTTGGTGTTTTAGACATGAAGTCCTTGCCCATGCCTATGTCCTGAATGGTATTGCCTAGGTTTTCTTCTAGGGTTTTTATGGTTTTAGGTCTAACATGTAAGTCTTTAATCCATCTTGAATGAATTTTTGTATAAGGTGTAAGGAAGGGATCCAGTTTCAGCTTTCTACATATGGCTAGCCAGTTTTCCCAGCACCATTTATTAAATAGGAAATCCTTTCCCCATTGCTTGTTTTTGTCAGGTTTGTCAAAGATCAGATGGTTGTAGATATGCAGCATTATTTCTGAGGGCTCTGTTCTGTTCCATTGGTCTATATCTCTGTTTTGGTACCAGTACCATGCTGTTTTGGTTACTGTAGCCTTGTAGTATAGTTTGAAGTCAGGTAGTGTAATGCCTCCAGCTTCGTTCTTTTGGCTTAGGATTGACTTGGCGATGCAGGCTCTTTTTCGGTTCCATATGAACTTTAAAGTAGTTTTTTCCAATTTTGTGAAGAAAGTCATTGGTAGCTTGATGGGGATGGCATTGAATCTCTAAATTACCTTGGGCAGTATGGCCATTTTCACGATATTGATTATTCCTACCCATGAGCATGGAATGTTCTTCCATTTGTTTGTATCCTCTTTTATTTCATTGAGCAGTGGTTTGCAGTTCTCCTTGAAGAGGTCCTTCACATCCCTTGTAAGTTGGATTCCTAGGTAATTTATTCTCTTTGAAGCAATTGTGAATGGGAGTTCACTCATGATTTGGCTCTCTGTTTGTCTGTTATTGGTGTATAAGAATGCTTGTGATTTTTGTACATTGATTTTGTATCCTAAGACTTTGCTGAAGTTGCCTATCAGCTTGAGGAGATTTTGGGCTGAGACGATGGGGTTTTCTAGATATACAATCATTTCATCTGCAAACAGGGACAATTTGACTTCCTCTTTTCCTAATTGAATACCCTTTCTTTCCTTCTCCTGCCTGATTGCCCTGGCCAGAACTTCCAACACTATGTTGAATAGGAGTGGTGAGAGGGGGCATCCCTGTCTTGTGCCAGTTTTCAAAGGGAATGCTTCCAGTTTTTGCCCATTCAGTATGATATTGGCTGTGGGTTTGTCATAGATAGCTCTTATTATTTTGAGATATGTCCCATCAATACCTATTTTATTGAGAGTTTTTAGCATGAAGTGTTGTTGAATTTTGTCAAAGGCCTTTTCTGCATCTATCGAGATAATCATGTGGTTTTTGTCTTTGGTTCTGTTTATATGCTGGATTACATTTATTGATTTGCATGTGTTGAACCAGCCTTGCATCCCAGGGATGAAGCCCACTTAATCATGGTGGATAAGCTTTTTGATGCGCAGCTGGATTCGGTTTGCTAGTATTTTATTGAGGATTTTTGCATCGATGTTCGTCAAGGATATTGGTCTAAAATTCTCTTTTTTGGTTGTGTCTCTGCCAGGCTTTGGTATCAGGATGATGCTGGCCTCATAAAATGAGTTAGGGAGGATTCCCTCTTTTTCTATTGATTGGAATAGTTTCAGAAGAAATGGTACCAGCTCCTCTTTGTACCTCTGGTAGAATTCGGCTGTGAATCCATCTGGTCCTGGACTTTTTTTGGTTGGTAAGCTATTGATTATTGCCTCAATTTCAGAGCCTGTTATTGGTCTATCAAGAGATTCAGCTTCTTCCTGGTTTAGTCTTGGGAGGATGTATGTATCGAGGAATTTATCCATTTCTTCTAGATTTTCTAGTTTATTTGCGTAGAGGTGTTTATAGTATTCTTTGATGATAGTTTGTATTTCTGTGGGATTGGTGGTGATATCCCCTTTATCATTTTTTATTGCGTCTATTTGATGCTTCTCTCTTTTCTTCTTTATTAGTCTTGCTAGTGGTCTATCAATTTTGTTGATCTTTTCAAGAAACCAGCTCCTGGATTCATTGATTTTTTGAAGGGTTTTTTCGTGTCTCTATTTCCTTCAGTTCTGCTCTGATCTTAGTTATTTCTTGCCTTCTGCTGGCTTTTGAATGTGTTTGCTCTTGCTTTTCTAGTTCTTTTAATTGTGATGTTAGGGTGTCAATTTTAGATCTTTGTCAGGACCCATTTTAAATGACCCATATGTTCATTCCACAGATCTTGCTTGCACTGATCCAGGCCTTGCTGCCTCCGGTGCTGTCTACCATGATGATGCAAAAGGCCTGATCCCAGAAGTTGGATATGAATCCCCATAAGTTACATGTGCCTAGGAAGCAACTGTTGTGCCTTCCACGTGGGGCAGCTACAGGAGAGCCCTGAAGAAGTGGGGACTCTCCAGGGACCTACGTACCAAAATCCAGGACAAAAACAGCTACATGGGAGATATGAAGTTGAGAGTGGGGAGAGAAAGGCAAACATTATTTTTTAAAGGAATAGCTCTGCTAAAAGTAAAGTTTAAAGTAAAAAAAAAAAACACATACATACACACAAAAACATAAAAGGACAGTTCTAAAGAAATTCCATTCTTCAATATTCAACAGACACTATAATGATCCATGGGTACCACAGAATTTCATGGGAAAAAATGTTCATGACACAATGTTAAAGAGAAAAAGCAAAACAAAAAATGGAACCCATATTTCACACTCACTCCAACTTTAGCTAAGGAGAGACACTAAACTAGGAGAGAATGCACCAAAATGGATGTTATAATCATGACATTATGAGTGAATGTTTTCTTTTTCTTTTCTCAGTTTTCTAACTTTCTGTGATATGGTTATGCTGTTTTGATAATTTTTAAAAATTATAAATGTAGGAAAGATATACAAAGAAATGAGACAGATTTAAGGCCAGGTGCAGTGGCTCATGCCTGTAATCCCAGCACTTTAGAAGGCCAAGGCGGGCGGATCACCTGAGGTCGGGAGTTCGAGACCAGCCTGACAAACATGGAGAAACCCCATCTCTACTAAAAATACAAAATTAGCCAGGTGTGGTGGCACATGCCTGTAATCCCAGCTACTCAGGAGGCTGAGGCAGGAGAATCACTTGAACCCAGGAGGTGGAGGTTGCTGTGAGCCAAGATTGTGCCATTGCACTCCAGCCTGGGCAACAAGAGTGAAATTCCATCGCAGAAAAAGAAAAAAGAGACAGATTTAAAGAATAATAATTATTCGATTGCTGGCAAGATGGTTGAATAGGAACAGCTCCCGTCTGCAGCTCCCAGCAAGATTGGCGCAGAAGGTGGGTGGTTTCTGCATTTCCAACTGAGGTAACCGGCTCATCTTACTGGGACTGGTTGGACAGTTGGTGCAGCCCACAGAGGGTGAGCCAAAGCAGGGTGGATTATCGCCTCACCGGGGAAGTGCAAGGGGTCAGGGAATTTTCTCCCCTTCCCAAGGGAAGCTGTGAGGGACTGAGCCTGAGGAACCGATAACTCCGGCCCAAATAATATGCTTTACCCATGGTCTTCGCAACCCGCAGACCAGGAGATTCTCCCTGGTGCCTACTCCACCAGGGCCCTGGGTTTCAAGCACAAAACTGGGCAGCCATTTGGGCAGACACCAAACTAGCTGCAGGAGTTTTTTTCCATACCTCAGTGGTGCCTGGAACGCCAGTGAGACAGAACAGTTCACTCCCCTGGAAAAGGGGCTAAAGCCAGGTAGTCTGTCTCAGTGGGTCCTACCCCCACAGAGCCGAGCAAACTAAGATCCACTGGCTTGAAATTCACACTGGCAGCACAGCAGTGGTCTGAGATCGACCTGGAACACTTGAGCTTGGTGTGGGGAGGGGTGTCCGCCATTGCTGAGGCTTGAGTAGGTGGTTTTATCCTCACAGTGTAAACAAAGCCACCAGGAAGTTCGAACTGGGCAGAGCCCACAGCAGCTCACCAAGGCCGCTGTGGCCAGACTGCCAGATTTCTCCTTTCTGGGAAGCACATCTCTGAAAAAAAGGCAGCAGCCCCAGTCAGGGACTTATAGATAAAACTCCCAACTCACTGGGACAGAGCACCTGGGGGAAGGGGCGGCTGCAGGCTCAGCTTCAGCAGATTTAAATGTCCCTGCCTGATGGCTCTGAAGAGAGCAGTGGACCTCCTAGCACAGTGTTCGAGCTCTGCTAAGGGTCAGACTACCTCCTCAAGTCAGTCCCTGACCCCCGTGTATCCTGACTGGGAGACACCTCCCAGTGGGGGCCAACAGACACCTCACACAGGAGAGCTCTGGCTGGCATCTAGCAGGTGCCCCTCTGGGATGAAGCTTCCAGAGGAAAGAACAGTCAGCAGTCTTTGCTGTTCTGCAGCCTCCACTGGTGATAACCAGGCAAACAGGGTCTGGAGTGGACCTCCAGCAAACTCCAGCAGACCTGCAGCAAAGAGGCCTGACTGTTAGAAGGAAAACTAACAACAGAAAGGAAGAGCACATCCACTCGGAGACCCCATCCAAAGGTCACCAATATCAAAGACCAAAGGTAGATAAATCCACAAAGATGAGGAGAAACCAGTGCAAAAAGCTGAAAATTCCAAAAACCAGAATGCCTCTTTTCCTCCAAAGGATAACAACTCCTTGCCAGCAAGGGATCAAAACTGGATGGAGAATGAGTTTGACGAACTGACAAAAGTAGGCTTCAGAAGTTGAGTAATAATAAACTCCTCTGAGCTAAAGGAACATATTCTAACCCAACGCAAGGAAGCTAAGAACCTTGAAAAAAGGTTGAATTGCTAACTAGAATAACCAGTTTAGAGAAGAACATAAATGACCTGATGGAGCTGAAAACCATGGCGCGAAAACTATGTGTAGCATACAAAAGTATCAATAGCTGAATCAATCTAGTGGAAGAAAGGATATCAGAGATTGAAGATCCACTTAATGAAATAAAGCGAGAAGACAAGATTAGAGAAAAAAGAATAAAAAGGAACAAACAAAGCCTCCAAGAAATATGGGACTATGTGAAAAGACCAAATCTACGTTTGACTAGTGTACCTGAAAGTGATGGGGAGAATGGAACCAAGTTGGAAAACACTCTTCAGGATATTACCCAGGAGAACTTCCCCAACCTAGCAAGACAGGCCAATATTCAAATTCAGGAAATACAGATAACACCACAAAGATACTCCTTGAGAAGAGCAAACCCAAGACACATAATAGTCAGATTCACCAAGGTTGAAATGAAGGGAAAAACGTTAAGGGCAGCCAGAGAGAAAGGTCAGGTTACCCACAAAGGGAAGCCCATCAGACTAACAGCAGATCTTTCTGCAGAAACTCTAGAAGCCAGAAAAGAGTGGGGGCCAATATTCAACCATCTTAAAGAAAAGAATTTTCAACCCAGAATTTCATATCCAGCCAAACTAAGCTTCATAAGTGAATGAGAAATAAAATCCTTTACAGACAAACAAATGCTGAGAGATTTTGTCACCACCAGGCCTGCCTTTCAAGAGCTCCTGAAGGAAGCACTAAACATGGAGAGGAAAAACTGATACCAGCCACTGCAAAAACATACCAAATTGTAAAGACCATTGACACTATGAAGAAACTGCATCAACTAACGGGCAAAATAACCAGCTAGCATCATAATGACAGATCGAATTGACACATAACAATATTAACCTTAAATGGAAATGGGCTAAATGCCCCAATTAAAAGACACAGACTGGCAAATTGGATAAAGAGTCAAGACCCATCAGTGTGCTGTATTCAGGAGACCCATCTTACATGCAAAGACACACAGAGGCTGAAAATAAAGGGATGGAGGAATATTTACCAAGCAAATGGAAAGCAAAAAAAAAGCAGGAATTGCAATCATAATATCTGATACAAAAGACTTTTAACCAACAAAGATCAAAAAAGACAAAGAAGGCCATTACGTAATGTTAAAGGGATCAATGCAACAAGAAGAGCTAACTATCCTAAGTATATATTCACCCAATATAGGAGCACCCAGATTCATAAAGCAAGTTCTTAGAGACCTACAAAGACACTTAGACTCCCATACAATAATAGTGGGAGACTTTAACACCCCACTGTCAATATTAGACAGATCAACCAGACAGAAAATTAACAAGGATATTCAGGACTTGAACTCAGCTCTGGACCAAGCGGACCTAGTAGAAATCTACAGAACTCTCCACCCCAAATCAACAGAATATACATTCTTCTCAGGACCTCATTGCACTTATTCTAAAATTGACCACATAATTAGAAGTAAAACACTCCTTAGCAAATGCAAAAGAACAGAAATCATAGCAAACAGTCTCTGAGACCACAGGGCAATCAAGTTAGAACTCAGGATTAAGAAACTCACTCAGAACCGCACAACTACATGGAAACTGAACAACCTGCTTCTGAATGACTATTCAGTAAATAATGAAATGAAGGCAGTAATAAAGATGTTCTTTGAAATCAATGAGAACAAAGACACAACATATCAATCTCTGGGACACATTTAAAGCAGTATATAGAGGGAAATATATAGCACTAAATGCCCACAAGAGAAAACAGGAAAGATCTAAAATCAACACCCTAACATCACAATTAAAAGAAATAGAGAAGCAAGAGCAAACAAATTCAAAAGCTAGCAGAAGACAAGAAATAACTAAGATCAGAGCAGAACAGAAGGAGATAGAGACACGAAAAATCTTTCAAAAAATCAATGAATCCAGGAGCAGGTTTTTTGAAAAAAATCCACAAAATTGATAGACCACTAGCCAGACTAACAAAGAAGAAAAGACAGAAGAACAAAATACATGCAATAAACAATGATGAAGGGGATATCACTACTGATCCCACAAAAATACAAACTACCATCAGAGAATAATATAAACACCTCTATGCAAATAAACTAGAAAATCTAGAAGAAATGGATAAATTCCTGGACACATACACCTTCCCAAGTCTAAACCAGGAAGAAGTTGAATCCCTGAATAGACCAACAAGAAGTTCTGAAATTGAGGCAGTAATTAATAACCTACCAACCAAAAAATGTCCAGGACCAGACAGATTTACAGCCGAATTCTACCAGAGGTATAAAGAGGAGCTGGTACCATTCCTTCTAAAACGATTCCAATCAATAGAAAAAGAAAGAATCCTCCCTAACTCATTTTATGAGGCCAGCATCATCCTGATAACAAAACCTGGCAGAGACACAACAAAAAAAGAAAATTTCAGGCCAATATCCCTGATGAACATCGATGCGAAAATCCTCAATAAAATACTGGCAAACCGAATCCACCAGCACATCAAAAAGCTTATCCACCATGATCAAGTCAGCTTCATCCCTGAGATGCAAGGCTGGTTCAACATATGCAAATCAATAAATGTAATCCATCATATAAACAGAACCAATGACAAAAACCACATGATTATCTCAATAGATGCAGAAAAGGCCTTCAACAAAATTCAACATCCCATCATGCTAAAAACTCTAAATAAACTGGATATCAATGGAATATATCTCAAAATAATAACAGCTATTTATGACAAACCCACAGCCAATATCATACTGAATGGGCAAAAACTGGAAGCAATCCCTCTGAAAACCGGCACAAGACAAGGATGCCCTCTCTCATCACTCCTATTCAACATAGTATTGGAAGTTCTGGCCAGGGCAATCAGGAAAGAGAAAGAAATAAAAGGTGTTCAAATAGGAAAAGAGGAAGTCAAATTGTCTCTGTTTGCAGATGACATGATCGTATATTTAGAAAACCCCATCATCTCAGCCCTAAATCTCCTTAAGCTGAGAAGCAACTTCAGCAAAGTCTCAGGATACAAAATCAATCTGCAAAAATCACAAGCATTCCTATACACAAATAACAGACAAACAGAGAGCCAAATCATGAGTGAACTCTCATTCACAATTGCTACTAAGAGAATAAAATACCTAGGAATATAATTTACAAGGGATGTGAAGGACCTCTTCAAGGAGAACTACAAACCACTGCTCAAGGAAATAAGAGAGGACACAAACAAATGGAAAAACATTCCATGCTCATGGATAGGAAGAATCAATATTGGAAAATGGCTATCCTGCCCAAAGTAATTTATACATTCAATGCTATCCCCATCAAGCTACCACTGACTTTCTTCACAGAATTGGAAAAAACTACATTAAACTTCATATGGAACCAAAAAAGAGACCACCGCATAGCCAAGACAATCCTAAGCAAAAAGAACAAAGCTGGAGGCAACACACTACCTGACTTCAACGTACTACAAGGTACAGTAACCAAAACAGCATGGTATTGGTACCAAAACAGATATATAGACCAATGGAACAGAATAGAGGCCTCAGAAATAACACCACACATCTACAACCATCTGATCTTTGACAAACCTGACAAAAACGAGCAATGGGGAAAGGATTCCCTATTTAATAAATGGTGTTGGGAAAACTGGCTAGCCATATGCAGAAAACTGAAACTGGACCCCTTCCTTTTGCGTTATACAAAAATTAACTCAAGATGGATTAAAGCCTTAAATGTTAAGACCTAACACCATAAAAATCCTAGAAGAAAACCTAGACAATACCATTCAGGACATATGCATGGGCAAAGACTTCGTGACTAAAACACCAAAAGCAATGGCAACAAAAGCCAAAATTGACAAATGGGATCTAATTAAACTAAAGAAGCTTCTGCACAGCAAAAGAAACTCTCATCAGAGTAAACGGGCAACCTGCAGAATGGGAGAAATTTTTTGCAATCTATCCATCTGACAAAGGGCTAATATCCAGATCTACAAAGAACTTAAACAAATTTACAAGAAAAAACAACCCCATCAAAAAGTGGGCGAAGTATATGAACAGACACTTCTCAAAAGAAGACATTTATGCAGCCAACAAACATATGAAAAAATGCTCATCATCACTGGTCATTAGAGAAATGCAAATCAAAACCACAATGAGATACCATCTCATGCCAGTTAGAATGGCAATCATTTAAAAAGTCAGGAAACAACAGATGCTGGAGAGGATGTGGAGAAATAAGAATGCTTTTACACTGTTGCTAGGAGTATAAATTAGTTCAACTATTGTTGAAGACAGTGTGGCAGGATCTAGATCTAGAACTAGAAATACCATTTGACCCAGCAATCCCATTACTGGGTATATACCCAAAGGATTATAAGTCATTCTGCTATAAAGACACATGCACACGCATGTTTATGGCGGCCCTATTCACAATAGGAAAGACTTGGAACCAACCCAAATGTCCATCAATGATAGATTGGATAAAGAAAACATGGCACATATATACCATGGAACAATATGCAGCCATAAAAAAGAATGAGTTTATGTCCTTTGCAGGGACATGGATGAAGCATCATTCTCAGCAAACTGACACAAGAATGGAAAACCAAACACCACATGTTCTCACTCATAAGTGGGAGTTGAACAATGAGAACACATGGACACAGGGAAGGGAACATCACATACCGGTGCCTGTAGGGGGTTGGAGGCTAGGGGAGGGATAGCATTAAGAGAAATACCTAATGTAGGTTACAGGTTGATGGGTGTAGCAAACCACCATGGCATGTGCACACCTATGTAACAAACCTACACGTTCTGCTCATGTACCCCTGAACTTAAAGTATAATTTAAAAAAATTTAAAAAGAATAATCATTAACACCAATAACTTAAAGCCACCACTGGATTATGTTAAAAGGTTTTTGATGAATCTGTGTTCCAAATGCAGAGAGAGGAGGGAGTGAGAGAGATTTTGTTCTTTAAATTAAAGCACATCTATTAGAAGAAACCTGAAAAAGGCTCAAGGCTGCCACATCTTCATGGCTCAGCCTTGCCAGTGGCTCTTGGTAGGCAAAGGCACAGAAAACTGGGCTAGAGCTCTGGGCAGGTGCCCAGCAGACATTCCACAAATGGTGGCTTTCTTAACTCTTGACTTTTCTTTTGGATTCTAGGGGTACATGTACAGGTTTGTTACATGGGTATATTGGATGGTGTTCAGGTTTGGAGCATGAATGATCCTGTCCCAAGGTAAGTGAGCAAAGTACCCAGTGGGGAGTTTTTCAGCCCATGCCCCTTTCCCCCAACCCTGCTCTAGCAGTCCCCAGTATCTGTTATTCCCATCTTTATGTTTTTGTGTACTCAATGTTTAGCTCCTACTTATACGTGAGAACATGTAGCATTATTGTTCCTTGACCAAACCAAGGGTTGGGCTGCTTATTCTCGTGTGCCAATAATGAGATGTAGATGAACTGGGAAAGAAGAGAGGTTTTTATTTCTGTAACCAATTACAGGGAGAAGGCCTGGAAATTATCGCCAGACCAACTCAAAGTTACAAAGTTTATATATCTTCTAAGTTACATGTCCATGTGTAAGTGTGCATTCATCTAAAGACCTAAGTGATTAACTTCTTTTAATCTATAACTAAGGTCTGAGTCTTGAAGACCTTCCTCTGGAGCCTCAGTAAATTTACTTAATCTAGATGGGTGCAGGTGCCAGGGGTAATTACCCTTATCTTGTCTCCTGCTAAACCGTGGAGGTTTGGGGAGTTCCTTCAGACCCCTAATAAACTTGTTTGTGGAGGTCTGGGGAGTTTCTTCAGACCCTCAATAAAAACGTGTTTAATCCTAAATGGGTCCTGTTAAAGATTCCTTCTTTATCTTGTTATGCTTCAAGGTCCAGGAAAGGCCTAGGCAAAACTCTTGGTGAGCTTTTGTTACATTCCAGCCTTTGTAGAAAGACACTGGCTCTTTCAGCTTTTAATATTTAACTTAACCACTCAGTCAGTGCTGAAACAGTTGTTATGGAGGACTGTGTTAGTGAGACCTGGCCTGCCACATTAGGTTTTCTATTCCTGCATTAATTTGCTTAGGATAATGGCCTCCAGCTGCACCCATGTTGCTGCAAAGGACATGATTTCATCCTTTTCGTGGCTGCATAGTATTCCACGGTGCATGTACCACATTTTCTTTTATCCAGTCCACCACTGATGGGCACCTGGTTTGATTCCATGTCTTTGCTATTGTGAATAGTGCTCCAGTGAACATACACATGCATTTGTAAATGGCTGTTTTCTTGACTTTCATTCCCCTATAAAACCTGCACAGAGAAGGAATTGGCACATCAGTGGCTCCTCAGCTCCTTAGCTGTCCCCTTGGCAGTCCCTAACCCATTTTTTGCCCTCGCATCAGGAAGCCCATGTTTCCCCAGAGTCAGGAAGCCCTCCTGGAAATGCAGAGGCTGGCTGTGACCCAGCAGAGCTCGGCAGGGTGCAGTCCTGGGGTCAGGCTCAAGTTTCTGGGAAAGTGCCTGCAATTATAGGTGTGTGGCTTTTCTCGGTATGAAACCCATACTTCCCCCTTCAACTCCAAACTCCAGCAAAAGGAGCTGTCCTTGGGAGCATCTTCCTATGAAGACGGGAACAGGAATAGCATGCATCCCCCTCAGTGGCACTAATGGTATCCTCTCTCCAGCCTCATATCCTCCAAAGAAAACCAGGGTGCAAACTAGGGGAGCCTGGTTCCCCCTCGTCAGAAACCACAGCAAGAAGTGAGAAGCATTCACAGACTGATGAAGGCCTGTGATGTGCCAGACACTTTGCAGGGTTCTAGGTTAATGGGAGAGAGAAAATATCAACACTGGACCCCACTTGGATGGACTAAGTGCTCTCGAGGTGCTGAAGAGGCCCAGAGGAGGGAGTTTCTAGCTGCCCAGGGGAGCCAAGAAAGACTGTACAAGGAGACAGGGCCTCAGCAGGGTCTTGAAGAGCAGATAAAACATTAGCCAGGGGCCACGTGCAATGGCTCATGTCTTTAATCCCAGCACTTTGGGAGCCCAAGGCAGGCAGATCACTTGAGGTTAGGAGTTCGAGACTCTCCTGACCTATGGTAGAACCCTATCTCTACTAAAAATACAATAATTAGCCAGGTGTGGTGGTGCACACCTGTAATCCCAGCTACTGGGGAGGCTGAAGGAGGAGAATCGCTTGAACCGGGGAGGCGGAGGCTGTGGTGAGCCGAGCTCGCGCCACTGCACTCCAGCCTGGGTGACCACTTGCCAGACAGAAAAGATGGCAGTTCACTAGGCCACTTACCTCAACATTATACCAAGTGCTGGGTGACTTGATTCTGGGCTACAGACATCATAGGAGCTGGGGGCATCAGATTTTCCCATAAAGACCTCACCTTTTGCCTTTCTGGTGGGTAGTAAACGCTAGAGCTTGCAGTGCCCACCAGCTTAGCAAAGGGCCATTCATTCAGCCTCTCCTCAATCCCACTGTGAAACAGGCCTGTGTATATGCAGCTCAGTGAAGCTCTAGCAGTAACTGCAGGGCAGAAGCTGGCTGGCTCCCAACTGACAACTTGATTTCTCTGCTAATGCCTTACCTCCCGCTACATAAAAATTTCCCTCCTAGACACAAGTTGAAAATAATATACTGATAGCTACTTAGTAACCTCAGTAAGAATTAAAACTGAGGTCATTTACTAATTTTGGAGAAAGAACTTACCTGTAAATCTTTTATCCTCTTTCGGTGAAGGTTTCCATTTAGGAAAAAAGTGTCAAACAATCCCTGATTTTTTTTTTGTATCATTTTCATTATTACACCAAATAAATGTTGGGAGTTGCCAGAAAAAAAAAAGATGACAGAAGAAATAGCAGGGTAAAAGCCCACAAAGGTGGGCCCTGGAAGCTTCTTTAATTGAATTACAACCATAGTAAGATTGTGAGTAAGTTGCTCTCTGAGGGCACTTTCCCCAGCCAGGAACCCCCCACCATAATGATCTGTGCCTTCTGGGAACCCAAAGGGGAACTTAAATGTTTATCTTTAATAAACACCACTTTACCCCAGGAGGCTGAGCTAGGCTTTGAAAACAGTAAAATAGGAAAGGGTGTTACAGGTGAGCAATATTCAGCTTGAATTCCAGTTTGATCAAAATATGTAAAAATGTGTTATTTCAAGAATGAGTCATAGCACCAAAATGGCTTGAGCTTTTTAGTCTGAGAGATTGCAAATTTTAGCTGAGAAGTCTCAATGTTCACTCTGAATTGGGCTGCATCTTACAAATGTCTCCTCTCTGGATCAGAAAGCAGCTACTAGAGCTGACTAGAGATGGGGACGAGTGGGCATTGAGAAAAAACTATGGGCTCACTCTGTAAACAAGGAACCCAATAAAGTAAAGACAGCCAGACCACCCACCCACCTTTAGCAAGTCTCTTTAAACCATGTGGATTCATCAACAGCTGTTCAGGGGCATTTCCAGAAACTGCTTCAAGGTCAAGCAGTCTGAGATGAGCGGGTGGCTATTGATGACACCACCATCTAGAGCCACTCCACACAGTGGAAGGCACAAAACATCATGTTTGTTGAAAACCAGAAACATTTCAAGAGGTAAGATGGATGTATAAAGGTTTTCCAGATATTCCATTACATTTTTCTCTATTGCTGAAATCTTTTTTTTTTTTTTTTTTGAAATGAAGCCTCGCTCTGTCACCCAGACTGGAGTGCAGCGGCACGATCTCGGCTCACTGCAACCTTTACCTCCCGGGTTCAAGCAATTCTCCTGCCTCAGCCTCCCAAGTAGCTGGGACTACAAGTGCACACCACCACACCTGGCTAAATTATTTTTTGTATTTTTAGTAGAGATGGGGTTTCATCGTGTTAGCCAGGATGGTATCGATCTCCTGACCTCGTGATCCACCTGCCTCGGCCTCCCAAAGTGCTGGAATTACAGGCGTGAGCCACCGTGCCTGGCCTGCTGAAATCTTTTAAATATTACTAAAAATTTACGGATCCACATGAAATATGCTCACCATCATTAATTGCTAGGGAAATGCAAATCGAAGCCACAATAAGGTACCACCTCACATCCATTAGGATGGCTGTAACCAAAGAAACAGAAAATAACAAGTGTTGACGAAGATGTGGGAAAATTGGGGCCCTAGTGTATTGCTGGTGGGTATGCAAAATGGAGCAGCTACTGTGGGAGCTAGTATTCTGGCTCCTCAAAAAAATTTAACATAGATTACCATATGATCAGCAATCCCACTTCTGGGTATGTTCCTCCAAAAAATCGGAAACGGGACTCAAACAGCTATTTGCACACCGTGGTTCATAGCAGCATTATTCACAATAGCCAAAGGTGGAAACAACCCAAATGCCCATCAATAGAGGTGGGTATAAACAAAGTGTGGAATATCCACACAGTGGAATATTATTCAGCCTTCAAAAAGAAGGAAATTCTGGCACATGCTACGACATGGATGAACCTTGAAAACACTTTATTAAGTGAAGTAAGCGAGACACAAAAGGACAAATACTATGATTCCACTTACATGAGATACCTAGAGCAGTCACATTCCTAGAGGCAGAAAACAGAACGGTGGTTGCCAGGGGGCTGGTGGGAGAAAGGGGAATGAGGAGTTAGTGTTTAATGGATACAGAACTTCAGTTTGGGAAGATGAAAATGCTCTAGAGATGGGTAGTGGTGATAATAGCACAACATTGTGAATGTACTTAATGCCACTGAACTGTTCACTTAGAAATGGTTCAGATGGGCTGGGCGCGGTGGTTCATGCCTGTGATCCCACTTTGGGAGGCTGAGGTGGGCAGATCATCTGAGGTCAGGAGTTCGAGACCAGCCTAGCCAACATGGTGAAACCCCCTCTCTACTAAAAATACAAAAATTAGCCAGGCGTGGTGGCGGGCACCTATAATCCCAGCTACTTGGGAGGCTGAGGCAGGAGAATCACTTGAACCTGGGAGATGGAGGTTGCAGCGAGCCAATATCGTGCCACTGCACTCCAGCCTGGGTGGCAGAGTCAGACTCCGTTTCAGAAAAAAAAAAAAAAAAGAAAAGAAATGGTTCAGATGGTAAATTTTTATGTTATATATGTTTTACTATAATTGGCCAGATGTGGTGGCTCATGCCTGTAATCCCAGCACTTTGCAGGGCTGAGGCAGGTGGATCACTTAAGGCCAGGAGTTTGAGACCAGCCTGGCCAACATGGTGAAACTCCATCTCCACCAAAAATAAAAAATTACAAAGATTTTTTAAAAAAATACAAGAAAACTGAAAAATATGGCGTATTTGTCATTCAGAAGCAAAAAAAAAATTGAAAAAGTACATAAAAGAAAAATTCACAGATATCTTGGAAAGTTAATTATAAAATATTCAAACAATATAGATAAAGCAAAAGTCCTTCTTGATTACGCCATGCCCTCAACGTAACCATTATCTTCAGTTTGAGGCATACCCCATAGATAGCTCATATGCATTTCCAATAGTGGATATATCTGTGCGGAATTCACATATTTCTGTTTTGTATTCAACTTTTACATAATTGTTGTCATATTGAGCACTGTGGCCAATCAGATTAAACTCTATTTCTCATACTAGATTGATTTCTGGCTTTCCCTCTGGGCTGACCATTTCTTCCTCTCCTTCGTGGTTTCCCACGTCCTCCCTGCCTGATGATTCTGGGCCAAGAGAACCTCCCCTTGCTTTAATTCCTAACATTTTGGAAGAATGCAGGAATTTAGAAAGTGTCTGGCGTGGCCTCAAAGTAGCACATGACCGCCTTCACCCACATGATGCCCCACAGCCCCCGGGCTTATCTCTCATTGGACCATGCCCACTCAATCATGAGCTTACTGCACAGTTCCCAGCACCCAGCACAGCACTCAGCACATACAGGTACTAGGAAAGGACTTTTTAAAACAAAGCAATCAAACCAAAGCACTTGATTAGTGCTTTCCTGGTAAATCTCTGAGTCTCTGCCAAGCACTTAAAGGCTCCTGGCAGAGACGGATGCCTGCCTGGCTTCTCTCTTTTATACCTGGCAGCACAAGTCTGTTTTTTTTTTCATTTCAGTCAAATGTTTGGAAAATCTGCAACCTAGCGCCCCTACCCAGTCTGCTGCCCATACTACTGTGGCCCCTTTCCCGGAGAAGCAGCTCCCAGGGGACAGGTCCTCAGGGTGCTTGTCTTCAGCGAGCCCCAGGTGGGAGCCAGCCCCGCAAAAAGACAATCTGAAGATTAAAGAACAAAACTGGGAGTGGAGAGGAGAGTGTTGGGCTTTGTGAAGGCTCATTAATTGGAGCACAACCAGCCCTGCTGGGTGAGGATATAGCAAACGTGAAACTAAGGAACTCTTGCTTTGCAGCCACTGGAAAATAGAAGACGGAGTTCTCATGCTATTTGACAGCAAAAGGGTAAAGGGGTTTTCACCTGTACCTTTCCAGAAACCTCCAGTGCCTCTCCCCAGCTGGGTGACTGAACACTAGCAAGACAGGAATTGGGCTCAATATTGGTCACAGGTCTCTGGAGAGACCCTCACAGGACTAGATTTGGTGAGAATTTTTTTTTTTTTTTTTTTTTGAGACAGGGTCTCACTCTGTTACCCAGGCTGGAGTGTAATGGCACCATCATGGTTCACTGCAGACTTGACCTCCTGGGCTCAAGCAATCCTCCCACCTCAGCTTCCAGAGTAGCTGGGACTACAGACAAGTGTCACCATGCCTGACTGATTTTTGTATTTTTTGTAGAGACGGGGTTTCACCATGTTACCTAGGCTGGTCTCAGACTCCTGGGCTCAAGCGATCCACCCTCCTCGGCCCCACAAATTGCTGGGACTGGGCCAGGCACAGTGGCTCACGCCTGTAATCCCAGCATTTTGGTAGGCCAAGGTGGGCAGATCACTTGAGGTCAGGAGTTCAAGACCAGCCTGACCAATATGGTGAAACCCTGTCTCTACTAAAAATACAAAAATTAGCCAGGAGCGGTAGTGGGCACTTGTAATCCCAGCCACTCGGGAGGCTGAGGCAGGAGAATCGCTTGAACGCTAGAGGTGGAGGTTGCAGTGAGCAGAGATCGCGCCATTGCACTCCAGCCTGGGCGACAGAGTGAGACTCCCTCTCAAAAAAAAAAAAAAAAAGTGCTGGGACTGAAAGAGTGAGCCACTGTGCCCAGCCTGGTGAGAATTTTTGTGCTTTTTAAGCTAGTTCTCTAAGATGAAAAAATCTGTTGGCATTTTCTTTCTTTTACAACTTTACTGAGGTATAATTAACTTACAATAAACTGCACATATTTAAAAATACAATTTGATATGTTTTGATATTTGTATGCACCCATGAAACCACATCTTAATCAAGGTGTAAAACAGTTTCCATCACTCCTAAAATTTCTTAATACCCCTTTGTAATTTTTCCCTTCCTCCCCACCCCATCCCTAGGCAATCAATGGTCTGGTTTTTGTCGCTGTAGGTTAGTTGGAATTTTCTAGAATTTTATATAAATAAAATAAAAAATGTTTTGCCTTTTTTTTTGATAGAGTCTTATTCTGTCGCCCAGGCTAGAGTGCAGTGGTGTGATCTCAGCTCACTGCAACCTCTGCCTCCCACGTTTAAGCAATTTTCTTGCCTCAGCCTCCCGAGTAGCTGGGATTACAGGCGTGTGCCACCACGCCAAGCTAATTTTTGTATTTTTAGTAAAGATGAGGTTTCAACATGTTGGCCAAGCTGATCTTGAACTCCTGACCTCAAGCAATCTGCCCACCTTGGCCTCCCAAAGTGCTGGGATTATAGGCATGAGCCACCACACCCAGCTAATTTTTATTTCTTATTTTTTGTAGAGATGTATGTTGCTCAGGCTGGTCTTGAACTCCTGGTCTTAACTCCTGTCTTGGCCTCCCAAAGCGCTGGGATTACAGGCGTGAGCCACCACGCCTGGCCTGGTCTGACTTGTTTCACTTCAGCATCATGATTCTGAGGTTCATCCATGTTGCTGCACACATCCATAGTTCATCCATCCCCTTTCATTTCATTGGTTCTTTTTCATTCCATTGTACAAACATACCACAATTTGTCTATCCATTTATCTGTGATGGACATTCGGGTTGCTTCCAGTTTGGAGCTATTACCAAAATGGCTGCAACGAACATTTGTGTACAAGTGTTTGTGTGGACATATGTTTTAATTTCTCTTGGGTAAACACGTAGGAGTAGGATGGCTGGGCCACGTTCACGGGTTTTTAAATAGGCCCTGGGCTAGGCATGGTGGCTCATGCCTGTAATCTCAAAACTTTGGGAGGCCAAGACAGGAGGACCACTTGAGGCCAGGAGTTCAAGACCAGCCTGGCCAACATATGTCTCTACAAAAAATAAAAATAAATAAAAATAAACAGGGTGTGGTGGTATGCACCTGTAGTCCTAGCTATTTGAGAGGCTGAGGCAGAAGGATCCCTTGAGCCCAGGAGTTTGAGGCTTCAGTGAGCTATGATTGTGCCCCTGCACCCCTCTAGCCTGGGCGAAACAGCAAGACCCTGTCTCATACAAAACACAACAGGCCCAAAAGAGCCCTGGGCTTTCTGCCTAGACTGAGGAAGGAGCGTGGAGCCTGATGTTCCAGTTCCCATTTCAAACACAGCAGCAGCTCCAAGAGGATCCTCAGATATTTGCTTCCTCTGTCAGCTTTTCTTGAAGAAAGGTTTCCACAGTCAAGAAAAGAAAAGTTTGAAAGTCGAATTCTCCTTCTTACTCTCCCCAGCCCCATCATTTTATAGATGATGAAAACCAAGGTTGCCATAGCCCATGGCCAAGGTTAGTGGACTAGATGCTAAGCCTGCACTTCCCAGGCCTGGGTTCAGGCCCGTGACCATGGCCTCTTCAAGTCATCATTTTCAGCTTCTGGGGAGTGAAGAAGCTGCTGGAAGTATCAGGCTGGCATCAGATAGAATCATGTCTCAAATATGTAGACATTTCCTTTAGAAGCCCATGAAGCCGGACAGAGCAGACAATTGAGGCCAAGGGGTCAGGAAGGCACTGCCAGGGGACGTTCCAGAGCTGCAAAGTGGTCTTCCAGGAGTCCCAGTGGACCCACTCCCCGCTCCGCTAGCATACATCTGAGCCAAACAGTGCTGGAGGGGACAGGTAATCAGGCCTGTCTTTTGCCCTCCAGGAGAGGGAGAGAGTGAAGGATTCTCAGGGCCCAGCCTCATCTCACTGCTCCTACAAGGAAAATGAAAGGCTCTTCCTCCAGGCCCTCCAGCCTGGCAGGCTCCTAGGCACTACATCCTGAGGACAGGGGATGAGCTAGTTTGCCTCAGTTTACCCAGCTGTTTGAGGTGAGTTGCAGCATGGTGGCCTCCAGGTTTGGCCCCTCTGAGCTCCCCTTTCCTGGGTCCACGCTGTCACTCCCCTAACT
The DNA here is from genome assembly GCF_000001405.40 of Homo sapiens. Taxonomy (NCBI): domain Eukaryota; kingdom Metazoa; phylum Chordata; class Mammalia; order Primates; family Hominidae; genus Homo; species Homo sapiens. The sequence goes on along the minus strand of NC_000018.10, from coordinate 49,700,941 downwards.
CCTCCGGCCTAAGCCCAGGAGGAAGCCCTGACTTGTCTTTGCGGAAGTCACTCCATCCATCCCGGCTTCGTACCCCTAATCCTGGCTGCGCATCTCTTTGCTGGAGCTCCATTTCCCCTCCGAGGGCCCCTTTCTTGATCCAGACATAAGGCTCCTCCACAGCGGCCTGCTCTCTGGCTCCCTAGCAAATTGAGCAGCTGCTAACTACACACATCCCTTGGTCCCACCTCAACAGCTGACCCACCATGAACCTCTGAGTTAGGGACCCCAGAGCCTGCCTTTTTAATAAGATCCCCAGGTGATCCTGATGCCTTTAAGAGTTAGGGGACCCTGGTTGCTTCTGTCTTTGGCCAGCATTGGCATTTTCATGAGAGAACGAGAAAGACAAAATGGCTCGAGCAGACAGAAGTCTGTCAGGGCAGAGCTTCAGTCAGCTCGCTGGGTGAGCGGAGGTGTGGTGAACTGGCTGCATGCGTGACCTGAAACCCAGCACGTGTGGCCAGGGCTGAGAGGCCAGCCCCGGGTTCCAACACCCTGGGTTCAGGCAGCAGCTCAGCGTGGTGAAAACTGAGCCATGTCCTTACCTGGGAAGCTGTGTCTCCAACCTGGGAGTCAACTCCACTTTGTATTTTTCTCTAAGTCTGGTGACAAGGATTTCCTAATTTTGTATAGCACGTGTACTTTTTACCAGCAGTGCTTCATTGTATCTCCCCAGAATGAGGTATTATATCTCCACTTGACAGGCATGGAAACTGAGATGCAGGGAGGCAAAAGTCACAGATGACGATGAGGCCATGGGGTGGGTGGCGATGCCTGGGGACAGGCCCCGGTCTGTGGGTTGAAGGCTGGAGTTTTGGCTCTGCTATTACCAGGAAAAGGCGGTCTCTTTCACTCCCCAAAATCATCTTCGGCTCCAAGGACCCTTCTTCCCAAGACACCTGAAAAACAACAAAGGGACTTTTTACTTGCTTTCTTAACAGACTGTCCATGACAAAGGCTGGCAGAAAATTTTGTTGTTATTCCAAAAAAGACGGGAAACAACCAGCAGCGGTTCCATTGCCGATGTCGAGAATTTGCTGGTTATAGAACTCATGACTGATGCTCATCTGAATATTTTGCCAAATAATTATAACTCAAAACTTATTTCCTGAATGACACTAAAGAAATATGGAGTGAGGAAGGGGGAGCATCAGGCCAGTCTGTTTTTTCCCTATGTGGAAGCAGGCTTATCCTTGGCTTGTAGAAATCAATTATTCAACTAGAATTTCATTTCATTTTGACATATATTTATTGAGTACATATATTTACTATGTGCCAGGAAATGTATTAGAAACTCTCAGGAATAAAACATGTTATGCCCTAGTCCCTGCTCTCAAGAGGTTACAGATGAGGCAGAAGAGAGAGGTGAGGTCACACGAGATATGCAGGTTCGAACTTGATCTTGAGAGCAATAGGAAGACCCGGAAAGGCTTATACCGGAGATGGCCTGGCCACAGTTCTGTTGCTGAGTACAACCCGGGAGTCAGGCTCTAGCAAGACAGGACCAAATGAGGCACATGTGTGAGAGAGGTACAAGCCATCTGATGTGACAGTCAAGATGTTAGCCTGGGCCGGGTGCAGTGGCTCACACCCATAATCCCAGCACTTTGGGAGGCTGAGGTGGGTGGATCACCTGAGGTCAGGAGTTCGAGACCAGCCTGGACAACATGGCAAAACCCTGTCTCTACTAAAAATACAAAAATTAGCTGGGCATGCTGGCGCATGCCTGTAATCCCAGCTATTTGGGAGGCTGAGGCAGGAGAATCATTTGAACCCAGGATGTGGAGGTTGCAGTGAGCTGAGATCACGCCACTGCACTCCATCCTAGGTGACAGAGCCAGACTCCATTTCAAAAAAAAAAGAAAAAGAAAAAAATGTTAGCCTGATTAATTCTCATTGGAGGATTCAGAGAAGGCTTCCTGGAGAGGGTGGCATTGAAGCTGAGCCTTGAAGGGCATGGCGGTTTGGATGCACAGAGGGGAAGAAGGCAAGCTTAGAGGCCTGAAGTGGAAGACCAGCCTTGCAAACAAGCGGTCCAGCAGACTGGTCTGCTGGGGGTGGGGAGAGAGGAGGAGGAGGAAGAGGAGGAGGAGGAGGAGGAGGTTAGGACAGGACTGCACAGTGCTAATAGCATGCTGAGGATCTGTGGTTTTTTGTGTAGGGAGAGGTGTGCTTGAAGCTGAAGCTTGTGCATGCCCCCAGCAGGGTTCTGGCACCTGGCAAGCCACCCAGGTAACACCTGTGCATTACTTACTTGAAGGGGTTCGGGAAAACTGATCCTTGCTCCTTCCCACACTCAGGCCCTTCCTCGGGTCATCTCTGAGGGGAGCAGAGCACCAAGGGCCACTAAGCTGCAAGCTTTCCACATCCCTACCCCCTTCACTCAGGAAGATCAGGTTACCCAGGGTGCAGAACTTGGCAGTAATGAATATTTATTGAATGAATAAAGGAATATATAAATGAATGAATAAATACATAATTGAAAACCTCAAAGGGAAGTCACAAAAGGATTATGTGTGTGTGTGTGTGTGTGTGTGTCTGTGAGTAAGGAAGGAGGTACAGTCCTATCCTTTGTCTTGGCATGTGGGCCTGGGAATGCTTCAGAGGGAGGGAGAGCAGGCTCTGACTGAGCAGAAGCTTCGGGGTCATTCCCCAGCAGCTCCATCTCCATTTGTGCTTTTCCCATACACAGTTCCCCACCGCCAATCTCCACACACAAGGCCAAGTCTGGATTCCCTGACACTGGCAAACACTCCATCCCGGCCCTGGGACTGAGCCACATTCCAAGGCTGTGAGGACTCTGATGTCTCTCACATGGGCAGCAAGGGACTCGCTGGAAAGCCATCCAGGTCTCTCCAGCCATTAGTGCTATTTTTCCCTACAATCTACTTCCTGCTGAGTCCCTGTGTGAGTCCCAGCCAGAATCTCAGCCCACCCAAGCCATGCCAGTTCCTCCCTCATTTCCCTAAACTCACCAAGCCCAGTCCATGCAAGCTGGCTTTACTGCAGGCTGAGGACAGAGGGCCACGCCGCCCCCTTCCACAGGTTCCTTTCTAATCTCACACTCGCACTTCACAGCCTCAGAAGGCAGCAGAGGGCAGCTGTTCCCATGCAATCAGGCAGGACCAGAGAGGAACCCCAGATCCTTTCTCATCCTCTCAGAACCTCATCTGTAAATGGGAATGGTGATTACTTACCTCACAGGATTAGAAGGACCTAATGGCAATATCCTACAAGAGAAGTGGTTACCAATTTAGTCCACAAACACTGATTTTTCCCTATCTTTTCCTTTAAGTTAACTCAATTCTGACTCCCAGTTTCTGCTCTAGATGCAGCAATCTGGAAAGAACATTGCCCACACCTTTACAACAACAAAAAAGCTGGAAAACCTGCAAGTTTAGAGCTCTCATTGAAGCCATCAGAGAGCTCAGGTTCAATCAACTATCCTGAAATCTAAGAAGAGACAGGTGCCCACAAGAAGAGATGGGACGTGAACACTGGTGCACCTGGGGCCCCGCAGATGCACAGCAGTAAGGATTCAACTGGAATACTTAATGAACTGGTAGGGATAGAGTGTGGGATTCAGCTGGAATACTTAATGAACTGGTAGGGATGGAGTGTGGGATTCAGCTGGAATACTTAATGAACTGGTAGGGATGGAGTGTGGGTGGGCAAGAAAGTGGGAAGTCTGAAGCAAGAGTTTGCACCCTTTTCCAGGCTTTCCCCCATGACCCCAGGCGGGTGGGGGAGGGTACGAGAATGCATCCCTCATGATACAGGCCTGAGGGACTGGGACAGCAGCCACAGCAGGAGGGACACAAAACCCCACCCAGATGTCTCTCTCCCAACTCCCCTATGGATAAAAGCTTTGATCTCTAGAGGAAAGGGCAACACCATTGCCATGAAGGCACCAGTGGAAACCCTTTAGACCTGGAGTAAGGGATGAGAAAGAACCTGTACCCTGGGGGAGGAGCAGGAATATGTTCCAGGCCCAGAACTACACACTAGCTCCACACCACAGCCATCAACAGAACAGAAGAGCTTCTACAGAACCAGATACAACACAGACACTGAAACTACCTGACAGGGAACTTAAAACAATCATGATGAATATATTAAAGGCTCTGATGGAAAAGAAGGACAATATGCAAGATTAGAAAGGTCCTTTCAGCAAAAATATAGAAACTATATGAAAGAATCTATGGAAATGCTGGAAATGAAAACACAGTAACAGAAATAATGTCTGCAATGAGCTCATTAATAGAATTGACACAGCTGAGGAAAGAATCAGTTAAAGATAGTGCTATAGAAATTACCCAAACTGAAACACAAAGAAAAGACTGAGGGAAAAACAGAGAACAGAACATCCGAAAGCTTCAGGACAATATTAAAGATCCTAATATACATGTAATTACAGTCCAAGAAATACATGAAAAAAGAGAATAAGATAGGAGAAATATTTGAAGAAATGATGGCTGAGAATTTTCCAATAATCATGACAGACACTAAGCCACAGATCCGTAAAGCTCAGTGAATACCAGGTTAAATAACACCAGAAAATACACATACATATACACATCTAGGCATACCATATTATGACTGCTGAAAATAAAAAAGAGAATATCTTGAAAATAAAAAAAAATGTAGAATGAAAAAACACATTATATACAGAGGAACAAAGAATTATAGCAGATCTCTTGTCAGGAGCCATGCAAGTCAGAAGATGATAGAGTGACAGCTTTAAAACACTGAAAGAAAAAAGAAACAAACTGTCAACCCAGTAATCTATACCCAGTGAAAATCACTTCCAAAATAAAGGAAAGATAAAGACTTTCTCAGACAAAAACAGAGAATTCATTGTCAGCAGACCTCACAACACAAGAAATTTTAAAAGAAGTTATTCAGGTACAGGAACGTGATACGGAAATAAAACTTGAATTTGCATAAAGAAATGTAGGTTAGGCGTGGTGGCTCACGCCTGTAATCCCAAGAGTTTGGGAAGCTGAGGCAGGAGAATCAATTGAGGCCAGGAGTTTGAGGCTGCAGTGAGCCATGATTACACCACTGTACTCCAACCTGGACAACAGAGCAAGGCCCTGTCTCCAAAAAGAAAAGAAAAGAAAGAAAGAAAGAAAAAAGCAAAGTAATGGAAACAAAATAATTAATGGTAAAATAAAATTCTTTCTAAAAATGCTTACTCTGCTCACCCCTATAATCCCAGCACTTTGGGAGGCCAAGGCTGGAAGGTTGCTTGAGTCCAGAAGTTCAAGACCAGCCTGGATAACAAAGTGAGACCTCCATCTCTACAAAAATAAAAAAGTTAGCTGGGCACAGTGGCACGCACCTGTGGTCCCAGCTACTTGGGAGACTGAGACAGAGGGATCGCTGTGTCCCAGAGGTCAAGGCTGCAGTGAGCTGCTTTCAGACCACTGCACTCCAGCCTGGGTGACAGAGTGAGACCCTGTCTTAAAAAAAATTCTCATTAAAACTAAATCAGAAATTTTAAATAATAAAAGCCAACTTCTGCTGTCTATATCAAATATCTCCTTAAAAACTCTTGTGTTTCTTTGTCCACTTTTCTTTGGGGTCTGCTGATGGGTTGGCCTGGCATGGCAGGGTCCCATGCCTTCTTCCCCAGAGCTTACTTTCCTCAGACAGTCCTTACAGTAACCTGGCAGCCTAGGAGAAGCCCAAAGCAAGCATGTGCCCCTCCACTGGAATCCATACAGTAATTGTTTAAATTAATATCTTCCAAAAGATTTCAAACTCCTAACAGCCAGATCGCGGGCCACCCCACACCCATCTCTGCAGCTTTATTCATTCATTTCTTTTTCACCAAGCCTGGACTAACTACCAAAATTGGTGCTTGGGATCCAACTGGGCACGCATATGATCTCTGCCCTCATGGACCTGACAGTACAGGACGAGATGCACATTAATCAAATAATCACACAAACACACAAACACATAATCAATAACTATGGTGATAAGTCCTGTGAAGGAGAAGACCAGCTCAGCATGAGAATATGTAGCAGGGAACTGGCTCTAGCCAGGATGATCTAACACAAACATCCCCCACCATGTCCCATGTGTCTCTGGCCTGGATGGCCTTCTCTGCTTCTTTCCACCCATCCTAATCCTATTTGTCCAAGTCAGGTCATTTCCCCTCCATAAATCCTGATAGTTTGGCCTTGGGAATCTCTTCCCCCTCTTTCCCCTTTGAGCAGGACCACTCCTTTGGATCTTAAGGACTGTGGGAACTTCCTGACAAAAGGGTGCCATGCATTCACTCTTTGATCACTAAGTGTTGACAGACACAATATTTTTAAAAGATAACCAAAGACTTCTCCAGACTCATAAATGAGATTAACATCTTTGTGGACAAGCAATAGGAGCACAGAGGGGTGAACAGAGCTGAAGCTGCAGCCTGCTGGGCTTCAGGTCTGGAGACAGGCGGTGGAAGCTGGGGAAAGGAGGACAAAAGGAGCTCTATTCAAGATAGTAGAAGGGACCAGAGACACCCTCAGTACCTGAAGGCAGGCAGCGGAGTAGGGCTCCCTTCTTACCCATGAAATTAGGCTGACCAACCTCTGCCAAGAGCCAGGAATTTCTAAAAGCTGTAGATGTAAGAGACTGGAGAACAAGACATTGCTTTGCGACCAGAAGCTGAGACCAGCTACCCTTTGCCTCTGCATCCAGATCCACAGAACCCTCAAATCCCCACAGGGCAGGACACTCTCAACTGCCATTCAAGGATCCAGTTCTGTACTGGGGACCCAGACGGTTGAGTGGTGACCGTTACAAAACTGCTTGTTAAGGGAGAATGTGTACAGAGAAAAAAGACAGAATAAATGAAAAAGCAAGTACTCCAAGCCTCAAAATAAGCCTGTACATCAGAATTCCAAAACACATGGAGAAGCCCAGTGCTTACAAAGACAGTTCACAGATTTAATATTCAAAATACTAATTTACTCCAGATGAAATTAATTTTATAGAACCGTCTGACAAAGACTTCGATCAATATGCTTAGGGTGTTAAAGATATAAATGAAGGCATAACTTACGCAATCTAGAGGTTGTACAAGCAAAGTGTGTGACCTGAAACAAATCTCTAGTTTTGTACTCCCACTGTAAACTTTACTTGACTCCCAAATAAACTTTGAATTGAACGACTTTATTTGGTCCCTTCTTAGTTCCTGCCTCTCCCTGCTGCCTGGAATGCAGCTGTGCCATTAACCAAGAGGATGGGGACACTCCCTAGAGATGGTGGAGGGCTTAGAGGAAGGAGCCCAAGTCCCAGAGGGCTCCGTGGGAGAGAGAGGCCCCATCAGCCCTGGACTTTTTGGCTTGTCTTGAGGGTTTTAGTCACAACTGAACTTAATCCCAATTATATACACAGAGCAGTGCTATCTTTTTACGTGCATATATCTGTTTTCTTAGCTGGATTATATGGCCCTTGAGGGAGAAAGTGGTGTCTTAGAACTTTTTGGTATCTGCTTAATATCTGGCTTTGTAATACTTGGTTTTCACAATGGCATAGTCTAGGACCAAAATCTAGTGAGTGTATCTTACATGTTGGCTTTGTAAAAGTTGTAGAAACTTCGTGTCTATATCCTAAATCCCCAGCGACTGCCATAGGTTGGATTCATCTTTGTCAATCACAGACTCCAGGTCTAAATTTAGAACGAGTGTGCAATGTCTGGAAGCCTAATTCATTTTGGACACAGCTCAGCGCTGTCAGAAACTCTTCACGAGTCTGCTCTCCTCCACCCTAATTCACACCTTTTTTTGTTAATCCTCTGCTTCCTGCCTGGGACCCTGGGGACCCCCAGAAATAAACAGCTTAACTTGCACTGAAAACCCGTCTGCAATGTGTTGTTGTTGTTAACCAAGTGTGTCATCTAGCAGAGAAAACGCATCTATTTCATGATTTAAAATGTATACACATACTGGCGGTTTCACAGAATTCTCACCATTCAAGCTCATTCCTTTTATTCCTGGCTACTCACTCATTTCTTGGGCCTCATCCCCAGAGTGGCCTAAGAGGTGGCTGTTTCTGGTCTTGCTATGATAGATGAAGGGAGCAGTGCTTGCAGAAGTGCTGTGACTTCCTTAGGTGCTGGAGGGGGATGTGGAGGCTTGGACGCTGGAATTTTTGGTAGAACAGTTGAGGTAGGATTTGGGGAACATCATAATAGAATTTAGTTTTTTGAGAGGGAGTTTATCTTTTTAGAAAGCACAGATAGAACCCAATATGCCCTAGACCAGGGGTCAGGTAACTTTTTCCATTAAAGGCCAGATAATAAATATTGTAGGTTTTGTGGGCCGTATGGTTTCATTACAACTACTCAACCCTGCCATTGCAGCATGAAAGCACAATGAGTGTGGCTGTGTTCCAATAAAACTTTATTTGCAAAAAAGAGGCCAGAATAGGCCCACAGGCTGTAGTTAGCAGGCCCCTGCCATGTATCTCTGCCACGTATCACCTTGAGGACTCTTCTACAGGGGAATGGCAGTTTCTCCTTCCTTTGCCCAAGCCAGTACTCTGGGTCTGCCGTGCCACTCCATAGTCCCCACGGAGGCCTCACAGCTGGAAGAGGCTGCTGACAGGCAAAAGCCTCACCTGCCACAGCCCCAGGCCAAGTTTGTCCTTGCCAACATCTCCCTCTCTGTCCAGGGATGTCCAGTTATTTCTTGAAGGCCTCTTGGCTGCAGGCTCCCCAGCATGCCCTTCAGGGCCCAGCCAGGATGCCCACCAATTCCTGTGCTCTAGGACTGTGAGACCTCCTTGTCCCTTCCCCCACTGAAATCGACATGTTAGGAGGAAAGGTAACTCAGGCACCTAATCACCCTAAGGGGTGGTGCACCTGCCATACATCCATGCACTACTGATGCAATGGAACAAAGCTTCAGGCCTTCCAATGGCAAGAGAACCAGGTACATGGTGACCTAGAGTGTCTATGCACAAGGCTGGTTAACCTAACCCATCATAGGAGATGGTCTTGGGGCTGGGCTGCCCTGCCTTGCCTCCAAGTACATAACAGAGGCTCCCCTCAGGCTGGAACTCATTTAATGGTCCAGCTAGTGGTGACTTGGCCCAGGGGGGCTCCTGGTCAGTTTCCCATAAGGGCTCTTCCCAGAAAGGACATTGATATCTTCTGTTTGTCTGCCTATGGCGCCACTAGCAAAGGTATATGTACTACTGACCACGTGTCATAAGAACAGACTTGTTAGTTCTCTAAACTTTTGCATCCCTCAAAGAGCCGCTTGATCAGCTTGTAGCAGCTCTCCATCCCACACCCCTCCAGCCAACCCTCCAAAAGCCACATGGAACTTCTGCAGCAGGGGTTTGGGACCCTGCCAGTTACTGTGCATGGGTCAGCAGACACCACTACCTCCCAGCCAAGGTTCTTCCAGTTCTCTGCCCCCACACACTCTTCCTCTCGCCTGGTTTTTCCCTCACCTTACTCCCACCCAGCTAATGGCCAACTAATTCTGACAAAGCTACTTCCTGTTTGTTGTAGATGGCAATCACTGGGGAGCGGGTGGGGAGGAGTACTTATATAGCTAGAATATCAGGAATCATGGATCAGCTATGCAGAAAGTTTTGGGAAACCAAGTAGATTCAAATGACTCAGATGGGACTCATTTCTTCTCACTCCAGTTCTTTTGGTTTTCTAAGGCACTGTGGCCCTGGAATGCACAAGCAATTTCTCTTTCTATTCTGATCTTTAAAGAGGTTGAAATAGTTGTCACTTTCAGTTTTGCTTCAAATTTTTTATTCTAGCTTCCATTAGAGTTTTATTCATTGCTGGTGGATAAAAACTTTAAAAATATGATTATGTTTTAATTTCTGTCTTCTAGGATTGGGTGAATAGAGGTACAATACTGGACATATAATGAGACAATGAATGAAGTGCATCATTCTATCATTGTGAATTCACCACAGTGAGGCTGAGATGGGAGGAAGCTGAAGGGGAGCCATGGGCATCTGCTCATATTTGACTCTGGATCTCTGACCCAGCAAATACATAGGAGTCAATTTTAATACCTTTTTTTAAAAAAGTAATTTTAGACTATGGAAAATTATAAAGATAACATAGGTTTTCCATATATCCTTCACCCAGCTTTCCTTAATGTTAACATTTTACATGATACAAACGCTCCTGTTTCCAAAAGCAGAAAATTAACACTGATGCAATACTGTTAACTAAACTATAGATCTTAGTTGAATTTCAGCAGCTTCCCCACTAATGTCCTTTTTTTTCTGTCTGGGATCCAATGCAGAATCCTACACGGCATTTAGTCATCATGTCTGCTTGGTCTCCTCTGGTCTGTGAAAGTGTCTCAGTTTTGAGGTTTGTCTGATGTTTTCTTATGATTACATTGCGATTACTCAATCTTGGCAAGAACAACAGCAGGGACGCTGTATATTTCTGTGTGTGTCATATTGGTATACATGATGTCAGTAGGTCTTGTTACTTGTTAGCCTTGACCACATGGTTAAGGTGGTTTCTCCACTATAAAGTTACAATTTTTTGCTTTGTAAGTAATGAATATATTGTGGGGAGATACTTTGAAACTATGCAGATACCATGTTTCTCATCGTGCTTTTGCCTACTCATTTTAGCATCCCTCTCTGGTTCTTGCTAATTAGTGTGATATTTGCCAAATGTTGATTTTCTATTTTTCTCATTCCTTCTATATTTAATAATTGGAATTCTGTAAGAAGAAGCTGTCCCTTCTCTACCAATATTTTTTAAATTATTTACTTATAACAGTATGAATGAATGTTTATTTTATTCTACCTAGTAATCTATATTTATTTAGTTTAATCTTCTCATTTTTTATAGTATTACTTGAGTTCTCCCACCTTTGGCATTGGGAGCTCTTCCAGGCTGGGCCCTGTGTCCCTTGCCATGCCCCATCTCTTTTTGAGCACTTCCTTACTTTCTGGCATAAGATATTCCCAGCTTATGTCTTATTTTCCCTGCCCTAACCCTGGAATCAACCATTTCACCAATGAATGCTGCTTCCTTTTATTGGAGAATGGTATTTAGGAAACAAGATCTGAGCAGTAGGCATACTCATTGCTAATGGAATGTCATTCCTTCTAAGCCTCCTCAGCAGACAGACACAGAAAATACACACACACACACACACACACACACACACACACACATACACATTTATGCCTCTATTAATTTCTGTATTCATCTATCTGTATCCACATTATGTTTATTAATTTGTTCAATTCTAGTGTAGACATAAAATAACTTCAGAACTGAAGAAAAATTCCCTATGAGAAACAAATTTACGAACTAGAACACAATATTTGCATACAATTCTTTTTGCCCTTAGCCTTATAGTAGCCAGTGAAAATAGTAAATTTGAACTTTTTTAGTGTTTAAGGGTCATTTTAACATCTTTTTTGTGTGTGTGAAATGCCTGTTCATGACTTTCCCTCATTTTTCTATCAGGTTTTTGATGTTTTTGCCCTTCAGTTTTTGAGAGTTCTTTATATTGTAGGAATATTAGCTCATGGTTAGTGGTATATGTTGCAATTAACTTCTCCAATGATATCAGTTATCATTTGAATTTGTTTAGGGTGATATTTTTGTCATGAAGACTTGTGTTTTAAGACAGGGCCTCACTCTGTTGTCCAGGGTGGAGTGCAGTTGTGTGATCATGGCTCACTGAAACCTCAACCTCCCAGGCTCAAAACATCCTTCCATTTCAGCCTTCTGAGTAGCTTGGACCGCAGGAGCATACCACCACACCTGGATAATTTAAAATTTCTTCTGTGGAGATGGGGGTCTCCTTATATTATCTAGGCTGGCCTCAAACTCCTGCGCTCAAACAATCCTCCTGCCTCAGCCTCCCTAAGTGCTAGGATTACAGGCAGAGGTAACTGAGTTAACCTCTTACCTGAGGTTAACAGAAATTCGCCCACGTTTTTCTCTAGAACTTTAATGGTTTCATATTTTACATTTAGATCTCTAATCCATTTCAAGTTCATTCTTACATGTGATGCAATGTATGGTTCTAACTGTATCCTTTTCCAAGTGGAGATCCAGTTGTACCAGCATCATTTATTAAAAAACCCATCTTTGCTCTGGAATTTGAGATGCTGCTTCTATCATATGCTAAATTTCCATGTGAACTTAGGTCTATTGATGGACTTTCTATTATTTTCTACTAGTCTATATTTATATTCATGCACCAATATCATGCTTTTAATTTAAAGCAATTTATGTTATGTTTTAATGTCCAGTGGAGCCAGTGACCTCCATACTTTTTATTTTTCAGTGTTTTCCATCCACTCTTGCAGGCCTGTTTCTCTACATGAACTTTAGTATCAACTTACCTGAACACCCCAAGAAAAGACTTGTTGGAATTTTTATTGATAGTGCACCATGTTTCTCCCATAACCTACAGAGAACTGATATCTTTATGACATTGAGTCATCTTGTTCAACAATTGGAGCTATCTTTCCCACTTCTTAAAGCCTACTTTTGTGTCTTGCAAGAATGTTTTTAAAGTCCTTTTTGTAAAATTTGGATGTTTCTAACCAGAATAAGCTTAACAAAGTTTATACCAAAGTATTTAATATTTCTTATTGCTGTTATAAATGAAATTTTCTCTAACATTATGTCCTTTAACTGGTTATTATTTGTGTATATGATAGATATTGGGTTTTATATGTTAATTTTATTTTTATTTTTAGTATTTATGGGCACATAATAGTTGTACATATTTATGAGGTACATGTATTATTTTGATACAAGCATATAATATGTAATGATTAAGTCAGGGCAATTGGGTATCTATCACCTCAAACATTTATCCTTTGTGTTAAGAAAATTCCAAATCTACTTCTCCAGTTATTTTGAAATATATAAAAAATAGTTACGCTATTGTACTACCAAATACTAGATCTTATTCTTACTATCTAATTGTATTTTTGTACCCATTAATCAACCCTTCTTTCCCCCCTCAACCATATGTTAATTTTATACCCTGTTACTTTACTGAATTTTTTGTTGTTTGAGATAGTTTTATCATTGATTTCTAAGGCTTTCCAAGGACAGTAGCTGTCATGGACTGACTTGTGCTTCCCCAAATTTCACGTGTTGAAGCCCCAAGCCTCAGTACCTCAGAATGAGACTGTATTTGGAGATAGAGCCTTAGAGAAGTAAAGTTAAGGTGAGGCCTTTAGAGTGGGCCCTAATCCAATCTGATGTGTGTCCTTATAATTAGAGGAAATTTGAACACACAAAATAGAGAACAAGGATGGTCCTGCACAGAGGAAAGACCATGTGAGCAAGAAGAGAGCCATCTGCAAGCCAAGGAGAGAGGTCTCAGGAGTAACCAACCCTGCTGACACCTTCATCTTGGACTTCCAGCCTTCAGAACTTCAAGAAAATAAATTTCTATCATTTAAGCCACCCAGTCTGTGGTATTCTGTTATGGCAACCCTAGCAAACAAATACACTAACATATTGTCTGCAAATTGGGATAGCTTTTTTAAAAAACCCATTTTTATGCTTCTGAGTCAGGGGTCCCCAATCCCCGGGCCATGGAGCAGTACCGGTCTGTGGCCTGTTAGAAACTGGGCTGCACATCAAGAGGTGAGCCTGTGGCCTGTTAGGAATCGGGCTGCACATCAAGAGGTGAGCAGCAGGTGAGTGAGCATTAGTGCATGAGCTCTGCCTCCTGTCAGATCAGCAGCGGCATTAGATTCTCATAGGAGCGCGAACCCTATTGTAAACTGTGCATGCAAGGGATCTGGGTTGTATTCTCCTAATAAGAATCTAATGGCCAGTGAGACCATTCCCCACCCCCTTCACCCAGGGGAAAAATTGTCTTCCACAAAACCAGTCCCTGGTGCAAAAAAAGTTGGGGACTGCTGTTCCAAGTGATTTCTCTCATTTACTTTTATTAGGACACTAGCATAATATTGAATCATAGTGGAAATAGTCCTGATCTTTAAAAATGTACCTTTGGTGTTTTTGCAGGGGTTATGATTATGTGACCCAGAGCTGGAGGAATAAAATAAATATAGCTAATATTTATTGAACAATTGTAATTTCCTTCTCTGTCTTCACAGAGCATCCCAGCAAACACCCACCTCATTTCATCCCAAATGAGGGAAAAGCAGCTACATGTCTGACTTGAGTTTTGGACGGTGATAGTCCCAGTCATTTTAAATCAATCAAGATTGTCTTTGTACCCCATCACAAAACCGCACCCCAGTTTTTCTTCTTAGGCAAATCCATAGGAGATGGCCCACTAGGTAAAATCTCTGGGAACTCCAGACCATCTACCTTGGCAAAGTTTTATGGTACTGTCCAATAAAAATGCAACATGAGCCATATTTGTAATTTAAAGTTTTTAAATTGTCACTTTGAGAACATTAAAAGAAAGTGGGTTAAATTAATTTAACAATATATTTTATTTAACCTAATCCATTTGTAATATTATCACTTCAACATGTAATCAAATTTTACATTTTTTTCACACAAAATCTTCAAAATCTGCTGTGTGTGTAAAACATACAGCAGATCTCCATTTAGACTGCACACTTCAAGTGCTCAATAGCTACACGTGGCTGGTGGCTACTGTGTTGGGGAGCACAGGTTTAGGAGAATCAGTATTCCTATTTCTCCAAGGAAAAATGAAATTATATTTATTGAATACCAAGGCACCATAGTTGTTTTAATATACACGATCTCATTTAATCTTCATTATAATGCTATACAGCTGGTATGATCGCCCACATTTTACACATGACGCTGAAGATCAGAGATATTAACTAACTTCCCCAAGCTCACACAGTCATTTGATTTCAAAATTAATGCTAAGAACTATCTAACCACCTGGGAAAGACTGACTGAGCCTGCAGGCAGAGTAGGGAGAATGCAGCCAGAAATCACTCCATACTCACAGGAAAGAGAAGAAACAGCAATCATAACTGACTAGGAGCACAGTTTCCTCTGCTCAGAAGGAGGTTTACAAAGATGTCTAGTCCCTCCCCAGCACTTGCTGTCTGCACGCAAATTGCATACGTGACTATATCCTGTCTCACATTGCTTTCTCAATAAAAATGAGGTACCTCAACGAGACCTTCATTGTCTCAAAAGCGGGGATGTAAATTCCTATTTCTCTCCTTGTGTCCTCTACTCAGTAGAGATTGTGGGCATGATAGGTGCTCATGACTAATTGATAAAACAATAGGAAGTTTCTGTGTCTGACCCTGAATCTTATCCCATGGGTAATCTTTAGAAACAAAAAGGTATTTCCTATTTGCCTTTCTAAAGTTTTAGTCCCTGTTGCTCCAGTTCCAGGCAGTCAGTCTTGGTGTGGAGACAGCTTTCTTTGTCCCTAACATGAGCAAGACTTCCTGGTGGGAACTGGTGAATTGATTATATCTTGCACCCTGCACATGTATCTCTTCCTGGAGTTGAGCCAAAAGGCCAGAATGTAAACATTCAGAACCTCCCTTGTTTCACAATTTTTAAATTTTATACAGAGTCAGCTTTCTTGGTATCAAAGTTTACAGGAACCAGAGTCCACAGCCTGCTGGTAAATGGGCAATCGGGAGAGCCCATCAGCCACTTGGGAACAGCCAGGCATAAATTTTCTCCTGGCCACTGCCTCCACCGTGGCTATAGCTGTGTCCAGCACACACAGTAGTGCTTAAACAAATATCTGCTGGAGAGCAGATGGATGGAAGGATGGATGGATGGATGGATGGATGGATGGATGGATGGATGGATGTTTACATTAATGATAGGCCAACAAATGGTTGGAAGAATGGATGGAAAGATGGATGAAAAGATGGAAGAATGGGCCAGGTGCGGTGGCTCATACCTGTAATCCCAGAACTTTGGGAGGACAAGGCAGGCAGATCACGAGGTCAGGATTTCGAGACAAGCCTGACCAATAGTGAAACCCCGTCTCTACTAAAAATAGAAAAATTAACCAGGCATGGTGGCATGCGCCTGTAATCCCAGCTATTCGGGAGGCTGAGACAGGAGAGTCACTTGAACCTGGGAGGTGGAGGTTGTGGTGAGCTGAGATCGCACCACTGCACTCCAGCCTGGGTGACAGAGCAAGACTCCGTCTCAAAAAAAAAAAAAAGGAAAAAAGAAAAGATGGAAGGATGGATGGATAGATACATTAATGATAGGCCAACAAATGGATGGAAGAATGGATGCAAGGACAGATGAAAAGATGGAAGGATGGAAGGATGGATAGATGGATGGTTGGATGGACGGATGGATAAATAGATGCATGATTCCTGCTTAGTGTGTCTGAAGTGGGAATCTGTAATCTGACCATTTTTCCAACTCCTATGGTAATTCTGATGATTGGTCAAGGCTGGAGCAGCTCTCAGCCCTGTCCCCTGGCCCTGCAACTTCTGGACCTTTTACTTTGTGACTAGGACGGGAATCAAAATCTCCCTTCTTACTCATTATCTGAAGAACCACAGCCTGTTTACTGAGAGGAGCTTTCTAGATTCTCCCATTCAGAGATGATAAGGTGTCAACTCTCAGTTTGAGCTTGCTTGGCCTGCAACTTTTTTTAAATCTGAATTAGTTGGCAACAT
Source organism: Homo sapiens (assembly GCF_000001405.40). Lineage (NCBI taxonomy): Eukaryota > Metazoa > Chordata > Mammalia > Primates > Hominidae > Homo > Homo sapiens. The sequence continues at coordinate 49,684,291 of NC_000018.10, read as the reverse complement.
TTAAAATTAGATGATTTTTCTAAAATCTGGATTTCTGAATTTTCTTGGGAATAAAAAGACAGAGAGAGAGAGAGAGAGAGAGAAGTCTTGGTAGAATTGGGTCATTATTCTTGCAAGGCACTGGAATCAAGACCCAGAGAGAAGAAGTCATTTGGATGGGTTCAGGCTGTTAGCCAAGGGCAGACAATCCAGATCCCCCAGTGCCCAGAGATCCAGATTCCCACGTCTTTCCCTGCTGCATGTTAACTGTCAAAACAGGTCAAGAAGACTGAGATCTAAAATGTGTTCAAGGAAAATGAAGTAAGAAGTTGGCTAATTAAAGCATGGTCATCATCATGATTGTTACCACCATTGTCACCTTAAAAAATTATAGAGCGTGTATTATTTATAAAGCACCCTTTCATGCAACAGAACAAGAGACACAACAAACACCTGACAAGGATGTCAAGGAGAAAAAGCATTTAAGGATTATTTCAGAATGGGTGATAATATGAAGCAATATGCTACCACACCTCCTAAAATACCACACATGCACCAAGAAAACAGATCATTTAGTAGAAAGAAAGGAACTTGATGTTTTCTCAAAATGGATAAAAATATATCTTAGATATTATCTTGTTAGTTGATACATAGAAAAATAACAAACTCAATCAGCTCAAAACTCTTAGATCCAAAGGAAACAGGAGAGCTCGGCCATTTTCAAGTCATAGGCAATCTCCAAACTTTATTTTATGCCAGAAACTTATCAACCTTTTGTAATGCACAATCAAATCTTTGTTGTGAATTGCATCCCACTTCTCCCCACTGTCCCTTTCCTGTTCTTCCTTCCTCCCCAGTCCTCACTTCTGAATCAAACTCTTGATCCAGAAGGATCTGACAGACTCACTAATATGGTTAGGCTTTGTGCCCCCACCCAAATCTCATCTTGAATTGTAATCCCCATAATCCCCACATGTCAAGGGAGAGAACAGGTAGAGGTAATTGAATCATGGGGGTGGTTTCCCCCATTCTGTTCTCATGATAGTGAGTGAGTTCTCATGAGATCTGATGGTTTTATAAGGGGCTGTTCCCCCTTCTCCTTCCTGCCACCTTGTGAGGAAGGTACTTGTTTCCCCCTTGCCTTCCGCCATGACTGTAAGTTTCCTGAGGCCTCCCCAGCCATGCTGAACTGTGAGTCAATTAAACCTCTTTCCTTTATAAATTACCCAGTCTTGGGCAGTTCTTTATAGCAGTATGAAAATGAACTAATATACTCACTAATGTTGAAATGTATGTGACTCACACTAGCATTCGGGGTCACAACTTCCAAAGGGATTTAAGCTTTAATGGAGTTAAGAATTGCATTTGTAAGTGAACATTTCCAAAGCGTATCAAGGCTCACAGGACACCCATACTGGGGGGTATATTTTTCCCTATGTCCCTGAAATCACTCCCACCCAACCCACATCCTTCTCTGCAGTCATCAGTCTCCCAGCAGGAGCCATACCAGCCAGGACCTGAGATAAACCGTGTCCCAGTGTCCTGCCCTGTAGGCCAATTGGCCCTGATCAGAACTTTTAACCTACTTCCCCCAGTGCCCAGGGATTTCAATTCCAATGGGACAGCCCTGGTCCACGTTGTTAAGTTTGACAACAAACCTTTGACTTACAGGATGGCTCTTGGCCGGAGGTGACAGGCCTTATCTCTGCCTGTGGCTAAGTCACCTCATGAAAGCAAAACAGCAAAATGAGCAGAGGCTGCCAGCCCACCCAGTTTGCTGACACTTACTCTTTTCAAAGCATTTCTCCATCAGTTCCTCACTCCCACCGATAGCCCCTATGATAAGCATCATAAACCTGAGTTTCCAGAGAAAAACACATGGTCCAGAAAGTGATCAGTCTTGATCACGCAGCCCAGCTGCTGTGGACTCTGGCAGGCCATCTGAGTCAGCCTCAGGCTCCCTGCTTTGCAGCCTGTCTGTTCTGTGGGACAATTCCAAATGACAGCCACACACATCTGGAGAGTCTCGAGCCAGTCAGTAGCCCAAGAATTTGCCCAGCTGGTTCGTGGAGGTCACCTCCACCTCGGATGTGGTTGGTGAGCCTCTGCACAAAGGTACTCACTTCAGAAATGGACAGTTGGAGACTGGGTGTGGTGGCTCACACCTGTAATCCCAGCACTTTGGGAGGCTGAGGTGGGTGGATCGCCTGAAGTCAGGAGTTCGAGACTAGCCTGACCAATATGGCCTCCCAAAGTGCTGGGATTACAGGCATGAGCCACTGCATCCAGCCCTCTTCCACTCATTTCTTAGTGAGCATTTATCAATAAATAGGCAGCAACTGCAGCAGCTGAGAACTGAAAGAGGAATTGCATTCTGAATAACTGAGGCTTCATTTCAACAGACAGGGCTTGCATTCCGGTTAACTGAATAAACCCTTTTTAAAATATGATTTTAATTTAATAATTTTTAAAATTTATTTTTAAATGTTTTACCTGTCACTGACTTGAAGCTCATAATTTAACAAATTTTAATGCACGTTGTCCTAAAGTACAGTGATATTTCTCTGCAGATAGGATTTTATAGAAAGATGTGGGATCTTGCACGAGGAAATACAACTCCTGTTATCTCTGTGACCTCGTGCATCTCTGCCTCTGCAAACCAGCAATTGGATGATCTGAACCTCATAGGTTGTGAAGAGAAGGAAATGAGGCAATGTGTAGAGAAGCTCCTCAAACACTGTAAAGTACTATGTACATATTGTCATCCTATTGTTCTCTGGACCGGATCAACACAGAAAACAATCTTTTCCTAGTAATTCAAGGCCAAGCATCAGCCACCACAGTGTCCTTTAATTACAGCTGCAAAAGACATATGAATACTGTCCTGGGTAATAGCAGGAATGCCCTGACCCCCACCCCACCCACCCCCAGAGATGCAGTGGGTCCGTGGGTTGGGGTGCCACCCAAGGATCTGTCCCCCTAAAACATCCCTGGGTGATTCTGATGTTTCATAGCAACTGCACTTATGCATCAAACACTAGCTCTCCCCTTTCCCAGGTGAGGGACAGCATGGGTAACCGTTTATCCCCCTTCGCTCTGAATCTGTGGAATCATTATATTTTCTGTTCCATTTTCACCAAGTATCCCCTACTTGGCCTTGGGACTGTTTGCTGTTTGCCATATGAGCAGCTGCCTAACTGCTGCTTCTGAAGATGACCACAGCTGCTCTCACCCCTCGGTGCCCCACCCCTGCCCCACTCTCTTCTTTTCCAGGTCCTGCAGCTTCTCCTTTGCCCCATGGATTTTGTAAGAGAAGACTGGCCTTTGGTAGATCTCGTCAACACAACCCAAGACCCCAGTGCCCTGGGCTTCTATCTGCTGAGCAACCCCATCCCAGACTGGGTCAGTCTGCTTCAATAGCATCTCCTTCTAGTACCTGGGGAGGCGAGGGGTTGTTTGCTGGTTTGGTTGGCTTTTTTCTGGAAGGCTTTGACACAAACAGTTCATGTGACTGAATACCTGAGAGACCAAGAGGAAAGAACCGATTGGCATTTGTAGGGGGTCATTGAGGGGGAATTCTTGGAGCAGGGAGAATCAAAGTAGGTTTCCACAGACATTGCTAGAGTGTTTGGCCTAACAAAGCTGGTCCCGCTTCTCCAGGAAAAATGCAAAATGACTCGCAGATGATGTTGCCAATACTTCACTAATTCATGCAAAGAACAGAAGGGGGAGTATACCTACAAATCCAAATTTCATTTCTTCCATAACACCTATCTTCATCCTTTTGAGTTTTTGCAAACACTAACAGACCAAGGGGAATTGAGGCTCATTGTTAAGGGCAAAGCTGACCCCAGAGAGCAAATGAGCAAAGGATTCTGAGACCAGACAGAAGATTTCCTCAATGCTCTCTTGCCTACTCCATGTCTCTCTGGCCCCTCTCAGCATTGCAGCCCATGTTGCTGGTGGCTTCATTGTGACCGTCTCACAGCAAGACTGGCTTGGGATACTTTAGTCCTGCAGATTAGGTCAGGTATGGATTCATAGAACATGTGAACATATAGTCTCTTTGTTTTCATATGGACTAGTTTGCTAGGGTTTCAATAACAGAGAACCACAAAATGTGGGACTTAAACAGCAGAAATTGATTGTCTCACAGTTCTGGATGCCAGAAGTTCAAAACCAAGGTGTTGGCAGGGTTGTTTCCTTCTGCAACTGTGAGAGAGAATCTGTTCTGGGCCTCTCTCCTGGCTTCTGGTGGTCTGGCAATTTTTGGTGTTCCCTGGCTTGTAGAAGGATCACCCCCATCTCTGCTTTCATCTTCACATGCCTTCTCCCCATATACGGGTCTGTGTTTAAATTTCCCCTTTTTATAAGGCCACGAGTCATATTGGATGAAAGGTCCACCCTACTGCAATACGACCTCATCATAACATAATGACTTATGTCTTCAATGATCTCCAAACACAGTCACATTTTGAGGTACCAAGGGTTGGGACTTCCACATATGAATTTTGGGAGGACACAATTAAATACATAACACTATGTAACTGATCTGGTCCTCTTTCTGGACTCCCACTTGCTGAATAGCATGTGGTGGGGAGGGGCAGGGAGATACAAGGTATAGCCAGTGTAATGGTTAATTTTACGTGTTGACTTGGATGGGCCACGGGGTGCCCAGATTAAGCATTATTCTGGGTGGGCCAGTGAGAGTGATTCCAGGTGAGGTTAGCATTGAATCAGTGGACGCAGTAAAGTAGATAGATTATCCTCCCAATGCGGTTGAGTATATCATTCAAGCCACTGAGGTCTGAATAGAACAAATGGTATAAGGGGGAATTTTCCCCTTTTATTCCAGCCTCACTGGTTGGGCCAGGGCATCATCTCATCCTCTCCTGCCCTCAGTCTGGGATTTACATCAACTCCCCTGGTTCTAGGGGCTTCAGACTCATCCTGAATTACACCTCTGGCTTTTCTGGGTCTCCAGCTTGCAGATGGCATGTCCATTGTGGGACTTCTTAGCCTCTACAGTTGTGTGAGCTAGTTCTTCACGATATTTAAATCTAATAAATATTTCTAGATCTAGATAGTACACACACACACACACACACACACACACACACACACACACACAGATGCTCCTCAACTTAGGATAGGGTTACATTCCAATAAATCCATAATGAAGTTGAAAAATCATAAATCCAACCATTGTAAATCAGGGACTGTCTGTGTAAGTCTTTTATTGGTTCTGTTTCTTTGGAAAACCCTGACTAAAACACCCAGTCCAACAAAATAATTTCAACAGGCTCTCCAGAAAATGTTTACCTCTCCAGGAAAAAGAAAATGATCGTATCTCAGACCCCTCCCCTTCCTCTCCCACGTTTCTAAGATGACTGAAGGGTTTACAGCAGAGGAGGTGGCTTAATATGCCTGTGGTTGCCAGAAGAGTCGAATCTTCCAGCATGCTGTCCTAAGCCACTCTGCCTTCAAGGCAATGTCCCTCCTCTTGCGAGTTGCTGCTTGTCCTGCTGTCTTTTGAAGCTTAGGTCAACAGCTGGTGGAGTCAGGACCCATCTCCTGGGTGTCTAGGGCCCAGGCCGTCCACCCTAGCCTTGTCCTCTCAGGTCGCTCTTCCTGGAGCTAAGGTCAGGCTGCAGTGGGCATTTGGTCCTTGACCCAGGTGTTCCACCCAGTTGCCTAAAGCTACAGGATCACCTGTCCACTCTGTTCTCCACATGAACTGGTTTTCAAAAATGACCTCTTTTATTTTTAAAGGGCACTGAAAACCTTTGTCATCAAGGGCCTGCCCAGCCATATTCTAGCAGGGGCTACATCAGTCCCTGGAGGTTACCAAGGGCTGGAAATGGCTTGTGCTTTGTTAGGGGGAACTGAAGTGGCCTGTGTCTTCAATTTTCCTTTTTCTTTCAGTATTGAGATGCCTTTTGCCCTCTGCCACCTCCTTTTATCTTCTTTGACAGGCTCCAAGTTCCAAACCGAACTGAACTAAGAGAAAAGATAGACATCTTCCTTATTGCTCTTGTGGCTGAGCCAGAGGCCACTGTCAGTTGCCCTGGGGACAGCCAGTGAGGCGGAAGGGAGGCCAGATGGTTTCTGGTCCTCAGGGTTCCTCCCTCACTTGTGTCTGCTGTTGCCCCTGGTGGGGAACTAACTATGAAGGCCTGACATGTGCTAAACCAAAGATCTCACAGTATCAATAAGAAAACCGAAACATGATGTGTGCATGCGCCCTGAGGCACTAACGTAGCCCTCGTTCAACTTCAAAGGAAGATTGAGACATTAATTAATTAATTACTCAAGCGTCAAACAATATGAATGAAAACAGAAGCAGGAAGGAAAGAGGTGTGTTCATTCACTCTCGTCTCTCTCAACGTGGCTTTTTATCCCCATCCCATTACCAGCCCACCAAACTATTTCCTCAATTGAACTTTAATAGGACCAAATCGCATGTCCACATCTCATTCTTCCTTTTCCTTGAATTCTGTGCCATACAGAACACTCTTGATCACAATCATACCAGCTAACCTTTATCCTGTGCTTATGATGCCAGGCAGCCTTCTAAGGTCTTTACACTTTTTATCGCAATTCATCATTTTAAAAAACTCTATGAGAGAGGCACTATTATGAGCCATAATTTCTAAAGAAGGAAATGGAAGCACAGAGAGGCTGGGTAAGTTGCCCAAGGGCACACAGGATGTGGTGGAGCCAAGAATTGCACCCGGGCCTTCATTTACAGAGCTCGTGTTCTCCTTGACCAGGTCCTAGCAAGAGGGAAAGGTGTTTAGGTCTTTGATGTAGACCCAGCCTCCTGAGTAGCTGGGACTACAAGTGTGTGCCACGATGCCCAGATAATTTTTTTTTTTTTTTTTGAGTAGAGATGAGATCTCACTGTGTTGCCCAGGCTGGTCCCAAATTCCTGAGTTCAAGCGATCTTCCTGCCTCAAAGTGTTTGGATTACAGACTTGAGCCACCACACATGGCTCTGAGTCTTTTTTTAAAGAGGTTCGTGGTGGGTCTTGGCTCACTTCATGGTGGGATGAAACCATATGACTCACATGACCTTGTCCTCCCTCTGGTTAAAAAAAAATATCTTCATCCCATGGCCCTGGATGTCCTTTCCCTGTCTGTATAATTCACTGGGACTTTAGTTAGAGTTTCATTTGTCTAGCATGGAGTTGGTGCTTTGGAAGCCACTACAGGCAACGTCATGCCCTCTCCCCTGAGACCCATGCTCTCTGAAGTCCTAGCATACCTGACCCCTGACCCAGGATGTCAGCATCCCTTGCCTGGGTCAGGTGTCTCCTAGCCTCACCATGTCACCATGTTGCTGTGGGGACAACCCCTGGGGTGAGAGTGAGGTGAAGCAAAAATTTACTGTAAAGGACCTAGAAATTCATAGGTAGACCCAGTTCTACTATGAATGTACAAATCCTTGAACTACATCGCCTACAGATTGAATAAATAGTGTGTTCACACATATATTTTATTTTTAGGGTTTTTTAAAAAATGTTATTCTTTAATTGTGGTAAAATACACAAAACATGAAATTTACCATCTTAACCCTTCTGAATTTTATAGTTCAGTGGCATTAAGCATATTCACATTGTTGCACAACCATCACCAACACCAATCTCCAGAACTCTTTCATTTTGCAAACTTGAAACTGTCCCCATTAAACACTAACTTCCATTTCCCTTTCCTCCCAGCCCCTGGAAACCACCTTTCTCCTTCTTAACTCTATGAATCTTACTTATCTAGGGACCTCATATAAGTGGAATGATACAGTGTTTGTCTTGCCTTAGCATAGTGATGTCCTCAAGAGCCATCCGTGGTACAGCATAGCACACATGTAATTCAAACGTTTGTAGAGGTTATGCTCAAAAGTCAAATTCATTTAAAAGCATTAGTGACTTTTTGGTGATAACTAATATTTATATGGTGTTTACTCTTTCCTAGAAAAGTTAGGCTAGTTAGGCTCTATCCTAAGCACTGTACATGTATTAACTCATTTGATCTTCACAATAGCTTGGGAGAGGGGTATAATTATTATTGTCCCTATTTTACTGATCACGAAACTGAGACACAGAGAAGCTAAGCAACTTGCCTGAGGCCATACAGCTATTAAGTGGGAAACACAGGATTTGACCACAGTGCATGGGCTCTGAACCACTGCACTACACAAGTAGCTCTTTGCTGGTCCACATTTCCTCAGCCAGTAGATACCACGAACACAACGATCCCAACATCACATGGATGGGGAGAGGCCTGCAAACCAAGACAGTTCCAAAACCTTAGCTGTGTGGTAAATGCCACTTTTTTTTTTGAGATGGAGTCTCGCTCTGTTGCCTAGGCTGGAGTGCAACGGTATGTTCTCGGCTCACAGCAACCTCCACCTCCCAGTTTCAAGCGATTCTCCTGCCTCAGTCTCCTGAGTAGCTGGGATTACAGGCATGCACCACCATGCCCAGCTGATTTTTGTATTTTTAGTAGAGACAAGGTTTCATCTTCACCATGTTGGCCAGGCTGGTCTTGAACTCCTGACCTCAAGTGATCCGCCTCCCTCGGCCTCGTAAAGTGCTGTGATTACAGGCATGAGCCACCGCACCCGGCCCACATTTTTTCTTAAACTTTTTATTTTGGAATTTTATTTGATTTACAGAGAGTTTCTGCATACTCATTCAGTTTTAGCTTTTCCCAATGTTATCATCTTCCATTGATAAATTTGTGAAAACTAAGAAACCAACAGTGGTACATTACTATTAACTAAACTCCAGATTTTGCTTGCAATTCACCTGTTTTCCCATGAATGTTCTGTTTTCTATGCTCCAGGACCCAGTCCAGGTTCCACATTGCACTTAGTCACATGTCTTCTTAGTCTCCCCTGGTCTGTGACTTTTCTTACCCTTTCCTTGTTTTTCATGACCTTGACAGTTTTAAGGAGGCTTAGTAAGGTGTTTTGTGGAATGTCCCTCAGTTTGGGATTAATATTTTTTCTTGATTAGACTGGGGTTACAGGTTTTTTAGAAAAAATACCGTAAAGGTGAAATGCCTTCTTGTCATTTTTTATCTGGGGTACATAAATCCACATTACTAGTGGTGTCAACCTCAACCATTTGGCTAAGGTGCTGTTTGCCAGGTTTCTCTACCATGTGAAGCTCCTAGTTTTCCTTGTCCGTACTCTGTCCTTTGGAAGCAAGTCACTAGGTCTAACCCACTTACCCGGTAGAGACACAAGTAGATTAAAGTCTCCCTCTGGGAGATGGAAGTATCACACATTATTTGGAATTCTTCTATAAGGAAGAATTGTCTCCTCTCCTGTGTGAATTCATGTATTTGATCACCTATTTAGATCAATGTGGAGTCGTGTATAGATGCCACTTCTATTATAACAGTTGGTTGTGCTTTCTCTCCAGAGAGCCTTTGTTGCCGCTTTAGCTGCACTGGCCTGGGTCAGGTCCTGTCCTCCTTGTTGCCCACCCAGCACCCCCACTCCTCTCCACACTTCTTACACTGCTTGCTAAGCCTAGAGTGTCTTGCACATGCCTGTCCTCCATCCAAGTCCTGCTTGTTTTTCAATGACCAGCTCAAGATGCACCTCTTCAATGAAGCATTCTCAAAGCTTCTCTCTCTGTCTCTCTTAAAACAAAACAAACAAACAACTTCCACAATACCAACTGACTACAGTACCCAACCTGGCAGTTATGTTGCTGACTGGTTGTTTCACTCAGCTACTTCTTATAGTTCTTTTTTTTCTTCCCTCCTTCCCTCTTTCCTTCCATTCTTCCCTCTTTCTTTCTCTCCCTCCCTTCTTTCCTTCTGCCTGCCTCGCCTTCCCTCTCCTTCCCTCCCTCCCTCCCTCCCTTGTTCTCCCTCTTATAATTCTATTAACTCCTTCAGGAAAGAGGACATTCTCTTTTCTTTCTCTCTGATCCCTGCAAATAGCGGGTATTCAACAATTCAATTCATTGAACTGAACAGCATCAGAGGATCAAATCTATGCACACCAGAACAAATCTAGGTAGTACTGGATACCTTCTTTAAACCATGCTATTTCCCAGGAACAAAAGGGCAATTTTATTTCATGACTGATACATAATTTTCCTATAATTAAGCACACCTCCCTTAAACACTGTGACCTTTTCTGGACCAAATGCCAGGTCTGTTCTTATTGATGAGTTGTATCTAATCTTTTTCTTTTATTCTGCAGATTCCATTAGCCAATTTGTCTGACCAATGTTCATAATCAAGGGATTCGCTAATTGCAGATTGTGCTAATATTGAAAAATCATGTAGGAGACCCTTGTCCTAGGAGACGTAGGAAGCAGAATTGCTTCCCTAGTGCTTGATGTGAAAAAACCTTCAGAGTGCAATGGTACAGGATTGCAAATGCTGGTTTCAGGAGGGAAGCAACGGGAGATGAGCATGAGGGGTGTACAGCACTCCCTGGGACTCCACACAGTGTGTTGCTACAACACGCCCCTGGTCCTCTGGTCACCCTGTGATTTTTGAAGTACAATCCCTCCCTATATATGCCTGACCTAATGGGTTGCCCATCAATGCAGAAAGTAGACCTGCAACCTACACCAGCTTTGAGAGCAGAAGGGTTTGCCAGTGGTCAGACCAAGCCTGTTTGGTGTGCTTTGGTGGAGGAGGTTGGTGGAAAACAGGTATTCCTCTCATTACCTGGCAAACTGAAGACTTAAGGACCCAGCTCACAGCTGAGTCTCTGCTCACTGAAATGACCAGTTGGTAGAAACATCGGCTTGAATCTGCTCCCCTAGCTACATGACTGGCTTTTGAAGTGATTGGATGCGCATGACTTCTGTGCCTCTCACATGCAGCTTTCACTCTTCAGAGGTAATTTTGATTAGCTAGGAATGTACCCACTCGGAAATTGCCCCCTTGCTCTCCAAGGTTCTCAGGCAACACTGGGGGCCAAGCCATTATCAGAAGTTAAAAGGTCATGAGAACCTTGTGAGGAGCCGGTATGGTGTTGCCATCTGTCGACAACATTTCCACCCTCACCCCTGTGAGCAGAATTGCTAGGACTGTTCCCTTATGTCTGCCCCAGAGAAGGGCTCCTTTTCCCATGCCTGGAAGCTGGACAGTTATAGTGCCAGGGCATTCTATTCATGAATTCATAACACTGATTACATTGTTCACAGTTGGGCTGGACATAAGCACAAAATTATTGTACAATGGTTGCCAAGTGTTGCATTGGCAGAGAAAACCTACTCCAAATACCTTGAAGTCAAGTGGCCAAGTTACCTCATTAGAACTGTACCTTTCGAGCTCTCAAAAGGGACAGAAATTTTACAGACAACTTACTGAGTAACTACAGGGTTTTGGTTTTTTTTTTCCATCTTCAGTCAAGAGGAAAGAACATGAACTTGAACATGCAAGAGATAAGAAACTCAAGTCTTCCCCAGGAGCTCCCACACAGTAAGAGATGCTGACCATGAGGTCACCTGGAATCCCATCAGAGGCTACTCTCCTGTCCCCTCTCCAAGCCTTCCACAGCCACAGAGTCCTTCCATGAACCAGGGGTCTCAGCTTCTCACTTGTAGTTTGTGATGGTTAATTTTATGTGGCAGTTTGGCTGAGCCACAGTCCCCAGATATTTTGTCAAATGTTATTCTGGATATTTTCCTGAAGGGGTTATTTGAGATTAATATTTACACTGGTGGACTTTGAGTAAAGCAGATGACCCTCCATCATGTGCATGGGCCTCATCCACTCAGCTGAAGGCCTTGAGAGAAGAAACACTGACCTTCCCTGAGTAAGAAGAAATTCTGCCAGCAGACTGCCTTTTGCCTGCCCCATCAGATTTTGGGCTCACCAAACCTCCTCATTTGTGTGAGCCAATTTCTCAAAATAAATCTTTCTTCTCTCTCTCTCTTCTCTTTTTTCTGTGTGTGTGTGTGTGTGTCTGTCTGTCTGTCTGTCTCTATACATAAATACATAGATATACAACTCTGATTAATGCATAGTTAACTCTTGTTTTCATGGAGGGCTTACCAGAGTATTGGTCTGGTGGATTTCCTAAAATATCAGCTAAACTCATAAACCCCCAAAGACTCATGTTTTGCTCAGAGGCCTCTGATTCATGGCTTTAATTCAAAAGCACTGCTCTTGTTCCACATGAAGTTTCACTCACCCCAAATCCTAGTATTTCATATACTTTTTCTGTACTCTTCAGGCCTCTGATAATTACAAAAAGTAGAATCTCCTTCATTCTTGGATCTCAAGTCAAACCTAGGTTAATTGTAAAAAGTGCAAAAGGGAACAAGTATTCTACAAATTTCCCCTTGGATCTTCAAGCCTTTGGGTTCCCAACTATACCGTGTTCCCATGCCCACCCCCGCCCCCGCCCCAAGGAGGTAGATGGTATCATTCTGATTCTAGATTACAAGATGCAGCTGATATATTCAAGGGTATGGCATCTCTGGAGTAGGATAAGCATGAGAACATAAGCTTTGGTTTCCGGCCTTGAGCATCAAGCAATGCCAATGTCCGCTTCCCTAATTCTGATTTCAGCATATATTTCAGTTTATTACCACAATCTGTCTTATTTATCCAATCAGCTATTCCTGGGAGGAGCAAGTCCCCAGATGCCAAAGCATCAAAATAAAGAAAAGATGTAGTTAATACAGGAGGCTTCTGCCACAGCATCTCAACAGAAATCCTGCCCAGTAAAGAACAAATGTTCCAGAAATATCACTCCACCTTTATACAAACGCACTTTTTCTGAAATATGCACCTCTTTTGATGCCCTGATGGTTTGCTATCAGTCAGTTAGATTCCTTGGTTGACACTTCCTTGGCCCCAGGAAAAAAAATGACTTTGCATCAGAAGTAATATTTCAGAACAAGGTAGAAAGAGCACTGGGCAAGAAGTCCAGTGGGATCTACTCCTTCTTCCCTCACTCGCTGGGTGTGTGACCTTGGGCAAGTCACTTTCCTTCCCTTCAAGGGAGGACTGCTCCACTTATACCACTGTAAGTTTGGCCAAATGATCTCTAGGTCTGTCTTAGTCTATTGGGGCTGCACTATCAAAAATTCCATAGACCGGGTGGCTTATGAACAACTGAAATTTATTTCTCACACTTCTGAGGGTGGGAAGTCCAAGATCAAGGCACCGGCAGACTCAGTGTCTGGGGAGGGTCCACTTCCTCGTTCACAAACACCATCTTTTTGCTGCATCCTTACATAGATAGGTGGAAGGGGCAAATGAACTCTCTGGGGCCTGTTTCACAAGGGCGCTAATCCCACCTGTGAGGCCCCACCCTCTTGACTAATCACTTCCCAAGGGTCCCACTTTAAAATACCCTGCCACTGGGGGCTAGGGTTCAATATATGAATTTTGAGGGGACAACAACGTTCAGTCTATAGCAAGACTTTATTCAGTTCTGGCCTCCAGTGACCACTACTCCTGTGAAACTGGTACAGCCTAGTTACACAGGACTTTCTCCTATGGCATGTCCACATTGCTGATGACTTTAACTCACTCTACAGCTATCACATCTTCATAAAGCTCCTTAGTAAGCCAAAATTGTCTAATTTTGCCAAATGCAATTCATAGGTTTAGTTTAATAAAACAAAAGTGTTAACATATCTTAGAGCTCTTCACTTTCCTTTGAGGTAATATTTTCTAAAACAGTGTGTCTCAAAATTACGTTAACATTTGGAATTCTCTATTTTAGGAAGTTTTTAAAAAATTCATTAATACTTGCTACTAGACTAGAAGGACATGAAGTTTTGAGAAGGAAGCCACAGAAATTGGTTAATGCTCAGGTCATTGATTGAGTAGTCTGTTCTAAGGAGAGACGTCTTCTCATAGAACAGAGGCCATCATTTCTATTCTTATTAATAACATTTGATGTTAGAAGATGCTTCATCATATACAGAACACCACTGCTTACCTGTGTCATTTAATCACCATGACAACACTGTGAGGGAGGCGCTGTTACCTCTAGTGTACAAACGAGGAGACTGAGGCTTATGAAGCTTAAGAGACTTCTCCAGATTGCTCAAGAAGATCGCTGGCCAGGTGCGGTGGCTCACGCCTGTAATCCCAGCACTTTTGGAGGCCAAGGTGGGCAGATCACCTGAGGTCAGGAGTTCGAGACCAGCCTGGCCAACATGGTGAAACCCCATCTCTACTAAAAATACAAAAAATTAGCCAGATGTGATAGCAGGAGCCTGTAATCCCAGCTACTCGGGAGGCTCAGGCAGGAGAATTGCTTGAACCTGGGAGGTGGAGGTTGCAGTGAGCCAAGATCATGCCATTCCACTCCAACCTGGGCAAGAGCAAGACTCCGTCCCAAAAAAAAAAAAAGAATGCTTTGAGTTCTAGAAGACTGGAAGAAAAGCCGGACTCCAAATCCCTTGGTTATTTGATAAATACTGGCTGATGACAGTGAGGCAGTGGAGATCGTAAGATGACCTGTCTGACTCTTCAAATTATGAAGAATGGTGCATTGAAAAAGTTAGATGAAAATCAAATCCTTTTAAATGTTTGCCTAGGGAATTTACCTTTAAAAACCTTGCAGTGACTCATTTCTTACTAGTAAAGATTAAAATTGTGAGGTGCATAATTATCGCCTTATTCATCTATTTTTAAAATCCAGATTGTTCCATGCCCACATGACCCAAGTGCACAGTCCATTAGCATCATGAAGAGAAATGCCTGGGTTGTTGAAGCAAAAGCGGTGCCGTGAATCACAATGTCAGGTGACTTAGATACATACTCACACCACTTTTCTAGTCTACACCTGTCTTTATTCAGGCTTGACAACTAACAAATACTTTAGGTTAGATTTGGACTCACACTGGAGAGGGATCAGTCTTTCCGACCCATTCCTTAAGGCAGACGTGGAAAGAAAGAAGGAAGGGAAAGGGATCTGACAATGGTGGGTCCTTTGTTTCCACGACCTCCTGACCTGCCCTGGCTGACAGTGTTTGAATGGAGTTACTCTTCTTATTTTCCTCCCCATTCTTTTGTTTAAACCAAAAAATGGTCAGAAAACGTTGGGATGCATTGGCCTCCCTTCCCTTCTCACCACTGCTAATTCAGTCTAAATGAAGCTTCAGATTCTGTTTGGAAGAGGAACAGATTTCCTTGGTGAAGAGCCAAATTCTTAATGAGAGACTCTGAGAATTCAGTCTGTTCACGTCTCCTGAGGATCCTGAGGCTGAGCACAGCTTTGGCTGCAGAGCACAATAGGTTCATCCCACATCCCGGCAGTTGTGTAAATACTAGCTCCCCAGCACAGTAACCTTGGACGAGAGGCGGCTGGCTTCCCTGGCTCTGCCCAAGATAACAAGGACCAGAACCCCAGCAGGGAAGGGAGATGAACAAAGCCAGCATGGGACCAAGGCTACCCAGAAAGAGGGGTCCTACCACCTGCCCCTCACCTGGAATGTGCCTGGTGACCTTCCCCCTCCTCCCTCCACCCACCCACCCCTGCCACTTGCACATAGCTCACGAAGCCTAGAGGGAGAGTGGGATGGAACAGCTGCCTGTCTGGAGAGTTACTCAGACTCCCAGGGAAAGAGCAAAAGTCCCTGAAGTTTCCAGCATGGGAGAGAAGGAACAGGCTTTGTGGAGGGGAAAGGGAGTTTGTTGGGTTTTTTTGTTTTTTGTTTTAAAAAAAAAAGGGAGAGAGGATGGCCGGGTGTTGTGGTTCAGAACTTTGGGAGGCCGAGGCAGGAGAGTTGCTTGAGCTCAGGAGTTTGAGACCAGGCTGGGCAACATAGTGAGACCCTGTCTCAAGAAAAAAAAAAAAAGGAAAAGAGAAAGAAAAAAAGAGGAAAAGGGTTAGAAACAAAAGGGTTATCCAAAAAAGCTCAACGAAAAAGACCAGAGAGCTTCACACAGTGACCAGGAGGAACTTGGTGCTCACCTAAAATGCCTTTCCTCTCAGAGCAGGGACCAGCCCATGTCAAGGCAAGAAGGGATGCAGAACTCAGAATTCTTCTGTCCTAGACTGCCTGGAGAGTCTGGTATAAAGCTGGGGAGCTCTCCTGAGAAAAGTGCCTGTGAGCTCACTCACATGCATATCACGCACGCACATGTTCATGAATGAATTCGGGGCTTTCATAGACGTCTCAAAGCTCCTCTTTGGGATCCCCAAGATCTACAGCTCCCTAGCTTAAGAACTCTGCTTCCAGTCTAGGAGTTCTCAACTGAGGGCAATTTTGCCTCTCCCCATCTCCCATCCAAGGGGGACATTTGGCAGTGTCTGAAGACATTTTTGGTTGTCTCAACAGAGAAAGAGGGGACATGACAAGCATCTAGTGTGTAGAGGCCACAGGTGCCACTAATCATTTTATCATGCACAGGACAGGCCCCCAGAGCACAGTTATTGACCCCAAATATCAACAGTACAGACGTTAAGAACCCTGCTTCTCTCCCGACACATCATCAAAGCACAGAAATCTCAATAATCTGACCCAGATCACAGGTGTGGTTATTCGCAAGACCAGGACTCCCAGTCTTGATAGGAAATGATGATTGCTTATTTATTGAGAACTTATCATTTTCCAGACACTATTCCAAGTACTTCACATGAATGGATTCTCTTAATTCTCACAACTATCCTCTGAGATGAATGTGGTTATCCCCATTTCACAGATAAGAAGGTTGAGGCAAAGAGAAGCAAAGTCTCCCACCCAAGGTCACATGGTCACAGTGGCGAGGCAGAGTGTGAAACCAGGCAGGCCCGCTCAAGAGTCCGTCTGGCCAGCAACACTTACAGGGCTCTGCCGGGATTCTAGTTGCCACCCAGATTCCAAAAGGGCCAGCACAAACACAGCGTCCTCCTGGCTTTGCAATCTTAGTCCTCTAAAGCCTTTTTTCTCATGCAGACCCCAGCTTTAGCTTCTTAGTGTTTTAGGCTTGGCAGTTTTCCTTCTTCTGAGGATCTATTTCTCCCATTCCTAAGTGCATCTTACATTTCTGTTGTCACTTACAGTTTTCAAAATATCATCCACTATTTCATCTGAGTGTCTAAACAAGCCTATAAAGCAAACAGGACACTTCGCAGATGAGGAGAAGGAAGAACAAGGTCACTGGGAAATGAAATGTCCAGAGCCAGCACCGGCAGCCTCCGAGGGACGCATGTTCCAAAGCTTTTGTGTCCTTCCTCTGACCACTGCCACCAGTCCAGGTGGCTCTGCCTCAGTCTTGGAATGAGCTGGGAAGCCCAGACCCTCAGCCTGAGAGTGGAAGTGTCCTTCTAGCCTCTGCAACATGGGAGTTCCTAATCACATGAATATTGTATTAAGCATTTTATTGACCTTCAGTAGAAGCATACATTTGTGTTAACAATGGATGACTTTACGTGAAATGTGTGCATTTTATCTTTGCTAATGAGATGAAACAATCTAAAATTCCCACGTGTCATCCTAGCTCCTGAATTGCTTAATCTGTCTCCCTTCCAGCTCCTTGCTATATTTTTCTGTTCAAGATGATGCTATGTTGTTGGTGGTGTTGCTGTTTCATTTTGGTTTTTCAAAAAATGAGCTGTGCTGGGCTGCCTGCCAACTGGTGCCCCGACTCCATCCAGAAAACCAGGGGTGCTGAGCTGAGCAGCACCCCACTGTGAAGCCTCTGCATATCCCTAGACTCCCAAACCAACGGGTCCAATCTACAATTTGCATCTTGTCTTGGCAGAAATCTCTTCTGCAAGAAATGGTTGCCAGTGTCTGAATAAGACTCAGTCGTTTTAAGCAACATTCAGAACAAGATCCCAGAACAGAAAAAGAAGTTCCAATTTTCCTTGTCTTTTCCCTTGAGTCTTACAGGCTTTGCCTCTTGATTCTTTACAGCAAACAGAATTGCCTCTAGGTAAAGATAAAAGTGAATGGACTCTCAGTTTTCCTTAATCTAATTACAAATGTATGCGTTGGCTTATCTTCTATCTCATATACACATAGCATCTATTACATATTACTCCCATGCCTCAACATGCTCTGATTTAAGGCAGATGAAGGGGTTATTTGCAAAGATAACTAATTCTGTTTGGTTTAATCATATAACTATATCTTTACTGTCTGTTATTTTTTTTTCCTCTCAGGCTGGAGTGTAGTAGCTCACTGCAGCCTCAAACTCCTGGGCTTATGTCAGCTGACTATTCTAAATCAAGATGAGTCATTCCCAAGAGACATTTCAAATCATTTTGGAGAAGTAAGATATTCACACATGAAGCACTTGGATATTCATAAATAGGCACCTCTAACCCATGAGTGGGTTAATTCATACAGGTCAGGATTCTGTCATATATAAGGGACAAAAAGTCCACTGCGGCTGAAGGAAAGGAGTCAGGGAAGCACAAGGACAGTGCCTGTCTCAGGGACAGCTAGGACGGGGGGCTCCCAAGATAGACCGAGAGAGACTCACTCTCCTCTGGATTCTGCTTCCCAGTGCCAGCCCCCAGGTTTGCATTATTCTTCCTGCTGCAGAGGATTCCTCTAAATGGCAGTGGAAGGCAGGTCAAGGGCAAGACAAGACAAGACTGTTGAAGACCATGCAATGGACTGAATGTTATGTCCCCCCAAAATTCCTATGTAAAAATCCTAATCCCCAAGGTAAGGGTATCAGGAAGTGGGGACTTAGGGAGGTAATTAGGACCTGGCAGTGGAGCCTTCATGAATGGCATTAGTGTCCTCATAAATGAGGCCCAGGAGAGACCCTCTTGCCCCTTCCACCATGTGAGGACATAGCAAAAAGTCACCACCTATGTCTTAGTCTGTTTTCTGAACTGGGCAATTTATAAAGAAAAAGAATGTATTTCTTACAGTTATGGAGTCTGAGAAGTCCAAGGAGGAGGGGGCACATCTGGTGAGCATCTTCTTGCTGGTGGGAACTCTGAAGAATCTCAAGGCAGTATGGGCTATCACATGGCAAGGGGACCAAGCGTGCAAACCCACTTCCTCAGGTCTCTCTTCCTATTCTCATAAAGCCACCAGTTCCCCTCCTATGCTAACCCATTAATCCATTCATCCACAAATGGATTAATCCATTCATGCATAAATGGTTTAACCCATTCATGAGAGCAGAGCCCTTCACTTACCTCTTAAAAGCCCTGCCTCTCAATACTACCACATTAGGGATTAAGTTTCAACATGAGTTTTGGAGGGGACATCCAAACTGTAGCAAGCTGTGAGCCAGAAAGCAGGTGGTCACCAGATACCAAATCTGCTGCCACCTTGATCTTGAACTTCCCAGTCTGCAGAACTGGGAGAAATAACGTCTGTTGTTTTTAAGCCTCCCAGTCTCAGGCATTTTGTTATAGCAGCCTGAACAGACTGAGACGCTCATATCACCCCTGCTCAGCAACCTCCACCAGAAGGAAAGGGTCGTTCTCATTGCCTCCCTATGTCAAAATCTCAAGGTAGAATGACAGCTGACCAAACCCTGGTCATGGGTTGCAGGGACCAATCATCGTGTAGGTGGGGGGTGGGGCTACTGTGATTGGCCAAGCCCGGGTCACACGTCCATCCCTGGGACCCTGCAGTGGAGTCACGTCATGGCAGCCCCAGCAAGGTCACAAGTCTGGAGTTAAAGAGTTGCACTTCCCCAGAGGAAGGGGGGTGGGCGGTATTATTGCCAGAAGAAAGGGAAAGGGCCATTGGACAGGCCAAAAACAACAGATGTCCACTATAATTATGTTCCAAGAGTTCCTCTGAAAGTGGTTGTTTGGAACTAAATTACATTTCCCAATGAAAACAATTGTATAACAATGCCTTATGTTTGCATGGCGTTTTATGAGGCACTTCCTTACCCATTATGTTGTTTGACCCCTCGGTTGCCCTGCCAGGTAGAAAGGATAGGCAGTTCCCTTCTGCCACACTGAGCCAGCCCTTAAAGTGCTGCAGCTGAGGGGCCCTCTGTGCCGGCTCCCGGGAGCCCTGAGGTTCTGGGCAGGGAGGCAGTTTCGGTGGAAGAACTTCCAGGACAGGGGCAGGTGTTGTGGGGAGCTGGCTGCTTCTGCCAGGCCTGAATGCTTCTGCTCCCTTCTCCCCTGACTGAGGCCTGGGCCCCTTGGATGGAGTCCCCAGGCTGTCTCCAGGGCTGTGTAAAATGCTGGTTGGAGTAGAAGTAGAGCAGGTGGAATGAGAAAGGGGCAGCAGGGAGCCCACACTGCATCCGGGGCAAGGGGCGGAGCTGAGCTGAGCTGAGCAGCACTGTGAGTGGCTGGAAGTAGGAAATGGGAGGAAGCAGTGGGGCGGGGGCACTTTAAAGGCAGAAATATTTCATTTTAATTTATCCACTGCATGATACTGCAATACAACTCTCCTCATATAAATCCCTGACTCACCAGTTAAACTGTCCGGGACAAGACACGCAGCTTGTCTGAGGAGGTAGGGTGGGTGCTGAGGGATCACACGGAAGGGACAGAGGGAAGGAAGATTTGGAGAGCTCTGGAGAAGCAGGAAATTGGAACCAGAGATGCCTGAAGGACACATAAACTCCAGGGATGAGCAGGAATTGTGGGAAGACATTGGACACCCCAGGATGGGAGGAGAGGTGTTCTGGTCACAGGGCTGGGGACCTCTGTTCAGTAGGATGGCAGTCGCCACCCCAGCCTCAGTGCTCTGTGACCTGAGCCCCAGCACCAAGTGCAGACCCACACCCAGGCCCTAGAGGTGGTGGCCAGGGATAGAGAAGGCTAAAGAGGAAGACAAGTGGTAGGAATATGAAGGGAGAGGCCCTCTTCCTCAGGGATTATGGATGGACACTGATCATTCTCAGGGGAGGAGGGCAGACCAGGCAGAAGCCTCAGGGGTTGTCCTCCATAAAAAAGTTAAAAGTAATCAGCAAAAACGAGAAGAAAAGAAGACACTTCCCACATCACCTTTCTCAGAAACTTCCAGTCATTCCCTAGGACCTAGGGCACTAAAGGCCTTTGAAATCTGCAGAACCTTTGACCTAGTAATTCTGCTTCTATAAATTTATTAAGAAATAATCCGAGGTACATGTAACTATGTATATACAAGAATGCCATCGAGCCTTCACATACCCTGAAAAATTTAAAATAATCAGATAACCATTAATAAAGAATTGATTAAGTACATTACAGTCTTCCCTCAGTATTCACAGAGAGATTTGTTCCAGGATCCCTGAGGATACCAAAATCTGGGATGCTCAAGTCCCTAATATAAAATGGCATAGTATTTGCATATAACCTACAAACATCCTCCCCTAGACTCTAAACCATCTCTAGATTGCTTATAATATCTAATACAATGTAAATGCTATGAAAATAATTGCTATACTATATTTTTAAATTTATATTATTTTTATTGTTGTATTGTTATTTTTACTTTTTCAAATACTTTTGATCCAAGTTTAGTTTAATTCTCAGATGCAGAACCCACAGACATGAAGGGCTGGCTATAAAGATGAATTACTGTGCGTCCATTAAAAATCAGGTTTCAAAAGATGGCTTCATGAACAAATGCTCATAACATATTAATGATATTTTTAAAACAAGTTATAAGGCACGTGTAACATATGACTACGACGACTGTGACCAAAAGTTACTGGAGGGAAATACATCAAAGGCATTGCATTCTCTAGGTGATACGCTGACTCATGATTCCTTTTGGATTTATTCTTTTCTATATTTTCCAACATTTCTATAATTAGCATGTATTACCTTGTAGAAAAAAGTAAAGGTGTAGTTATTTGTTGATTATCCATTTTAAAAGAGTTCTCTACGGCCTACAGGAACAATTTCAGCTCTTTACCTTGGCATGCAAGACCCTTCACAATGTGTCACGTTCCCCATCTCCTGCCCTCTCCCCTCCTCAGGCCATGCCCTTCCTGGCCCCTACACAGGTTGTCCCACATCCCCTCCCCAGCCTCTCTCACCTTCTTTTCTGCCTATTCAAATCCCAACAGCGTTTGCAGTCACACCTCCCCAGAGCACCTCCAGGCCTTACGTATTTGAACTGGACCAGAAACAAGCACCTGGGCTTGACTGGCTGTGTGGCTTCTTCAGGTGCTCTCAGAACATCAAGGGCAAAGAAAACCTCACTTTTGCTAGAAGCCCTCCCCTTGGGAGCTTACGGCAGCCTCCCACGTGCCTGCGCACGCTTTCCTTCCTCCTTACTGTCATGCTTGCATAAAGGGGAGTGAGTGCTCACCAGTGCAGGGAGGCCACTCCTGTTGCCACCAGACTGTCGACCAACATTGAGAATCCAAGTCAGCTCAATTCAATGGTCAAAATTTCAACATTTGGAAACCACTTCTGACCCTAAGGGCAAAGGAGAAAGATACAACCACTTCATTCATCCATTCATTTACCCCTTATCGTATTTATTCATCTTTTAGTTTAGTTATTCAATTGGATGATAATTTAAGCTGCAAATACTTGAGTATCTGCAAGCACATTCCCAGGTGTTGGGACTATTCAGATGTACCGGCAGTGTCTGCTGCCTTCATGAGACACTTGCTGCATGGCGGGAGGCAGGCAAATGCAACCACAGGGCAGTAAAAGGCAAGACCAGCCGGGCCCACTCCCAGCACACACACGTGCACAGGGACATGCAGGCACACAGACAGACATGCATTTCTAGAGCAGAGCATGGAGTTTGGCCCACAGCAAGCTAGATGGATGGGGTGGCAGGGCAGCAGTGAATTGTTTTTTCTCTCAACACTTCCAATACCAAATATATGGGAGCTTTTTCCCATCTCAGCCAATTCTCCAACTCTCTGACACCAAATGGGTATCCTAGAACTCAATTCAATTCTGCCACTAACTACTAGAGTTAGCATAGACCTTCCATGGTAAAGGCTCAGTCCTATAAACTCCCCACTTCACATGGGGACTCTTGAAAGTCTCAGGTTGCCGCATGTTCTTTGGACCCACTGGCTATAAATCAGGGGTACCCATGACCCCCTCCTCAGGTCTGAGAACTTGCTAGAACAGTTCACAGAACTCATTAAAACACCTCATTACATTTACTATTTATTATAAAGGAAACAACTCAACAACAGCCAAATGGAAGAGATGCACAGGGCAAGGTATGGGGGAAGCGCCATGGGGCTTCCATGCCCTCTCCAGGTACACGGCCCTCCCAGCAGCTCCATGTATTCACCAACCTGAAAGCTCTCTGAACCCCATCCTTTAGGGGGTTTATGGAAGTTTCTTTCTGCAGACATGATGGCGAAATCATTTGGTCTTTGGTGATTAAGTTTATCTCCAGCTTCTCTCCCCTCCCTGGAGGTCGGGGGGTGGGGCTGAAAGTTCCACCCTTTAATCATGCCTTGGTCCTCTGTCAACTGCCCTTCTTGAACTCTCTAGCTATCAGGAGTGGCCTCATTAGAACAAAAGACATCCTATCACCCAAGAAATTCCAAGGGATTTAGGAGCTGTGTGCCAGGAACTGGGTGGTGGGGGAGACCAATATTTTATTTTCATATCACAGGGGGGCTTTTAAATAAATGATTGCCTCTTGTTCAACCCCACACAAGAAAGGAGAGAAGACGTTTTATTTTTTGAGATGGAATTTCGTTTTGTCACCCAGGCTGGAGTGCAGTTGCATGATCTTGGCTCACTGCAACCTCCACCTCCCGGGTTCAAGCGACTCTCCTGCCTCAGCCTCCTGAGTAGCTGGAATTACAGGTGCACACCACCACACCTGGCTAATTTTTGTATTTTTAGTAGAGGTGGGGTTTCACCATATTGTTCAGGCTGGTCTCCAACTCCTGACCTCGTGATCTGCCCCCCTCAACCTCCCAAAGTTCTGGGATTACAGGCGTGAGCTACCAAGCCTGGCGAGAAGATATTTTAACATGGTAACAGTCATTAGGCTCAGAGCTTGTTTCTCAGCAGTGGAAAGTTCTGTATGGACATTTGTAAAGACACAGAAATAAAGGAAAGTAGTTCAGTGCAGCTGGAGCTCAGCCTCCAGGCTGGGTTTATGGGACAGGTAAGGCTGGAGGGGTAGGCAGGCCCAGGTCAAGAAGAATGTTTTACACCATACACGGGAGAACTTCATCCTGAGAACAATGATGTCCACTGAAAGGCTGACATGAGCCGATTTATCACTAAGAATGATGCCTCTGCCTAAAAGAAGAAAGGATGGGGAGAAAGAAGTAGAGGAAACGTAGGGGCAGTATGTTTTGTGGATGGTTGGAAGGTTGCCACAAAGAGAGGTGACGGCCTAGACTAGGGCAGTGCCTGAGGAAATGGTGAGACATAGAATAATTGGAAGCATATTTGCATAACTTGGTTTCTAACACCATTCTCAATAAAAGGAACCAAGGCTCCTTAGAAACATTAGGGGCATTCCTGCCTCCTGGGGCAGGAAATGAAGGAAATATGCACCAAAATGAGTCTGGTGCATCTTGTAGTGCCATAAAGGAAGTGCTACAAATACACACACACACACACACACACACACACACACACACACACACACACACTGATGGGAATACGGCCAAGGAGCATGGAAGCCAACTGAAAGAGCTTCCAATGACCAAAGCTGGAACAATTTGAACAACAAAATAAAGTAGGATTGGATTATAATGCAAAGTATAAAATAAATATCCAGGAATCCATGCTAATATAAATAAATGATTGCCAAGTTAATAAATGAGGGAGAAGAGATAAATTTCCTGTGCAGAAGAATTCCAAATAAATTATGTAGATTTCCCAGTCCTCATAATTCCCACTCCTTAAGTGTGAGCTACACATAGTGACTTCCTTCCAAACAATACAGAATGGAAAAGTGGAAAAACCCAGTAACTTTACAGTGGAGAAACCTGACAAATTCCACCTCCGCCAGGTGATCAAGGTTAACATCAACAGTGATAAATTGTGTCGTTAGTATGTGCCCTTGATAGCATGTGATGAAGCCTGTTCAAAGAGGTAAGATTTCATTCATTCATAACATTTAATGCATATAAGCTATTCATTCGTGTGAAAAACATTGGCAGCCTTTGTACCAGGCACCGGTCTAAATGCTGAGGATTCATCTACTGGAGGGAGACAGACAAGAAACAAGGAAATAGCACTGCAGGTATAAGTGTTGTGAAGAAAAGAAAAGCAGGATAGGAATGTCAGGAGGGTAGGGAAGTTATTTAAAAGGGGTAGGCTGTGAGGCCTCTCTGATAAGGAACATTAGAGCAGGAATCTTAAGGATTCACGGGTCAGCCTTGCAGTTGCTGAGGGAAGGACATCACAGGCAGAAACCTGCATGATTGCAACCTCCAGGATGCCCCCAGCAATCCCCACCTCCCATTATTTGCACCCTCGTGTGGCACCTCCAACTATGAATCAGGGTGGCTTTGTGTGACCGACCAAATGGATCAGGAGTGATGGTGTGTGACCTTGGAGGCTAAGTCATAAAAGGCATTACAGCTTTCACCTGGCTTCCTGGACACTTTTGCTCTGAGGAAATCCAACCTTCATGCCCTCAAGACATCCTAATGCAAACCCATGGAGAGCTCCACGTGCCTAGGAACTGGGGCTCTGGCCAACAGCCAGCACTAACTTGCCAGCCACATGAGGGGGTCCCCTCAGAAGTAAAGCCCCCTACTAGCCAAGCCTCAGATGACTTGGCTACTGCCAACATCTGTCTGCAACCTCATGAAAGGCCATAAGCCAGGACCACCCTGCCTAGCTGATCCTGAATTCCCATCCCACAGAAACCATGAGAGATCATAGATGATTCTTACTGTTTAAAGCCACTAAGTTTTGGGATGATCTGTTATGCAGCCTTAGATAACAGAAACCTCCAGCAGTTACAAAGACCCTAGGCAGTAGTATGCTTGTGGTATTCAGAGATCCATGGAGCAGGGCTAGGGGCCAGTGTGACTGGAGCCCAATGAGGGTACAGAATGGAAGGGGCCACAGTGAGGATAAGGGAGTGACTCAAACTGCAGAGGGTTTGAGCTGATCGGAGGAGCATGGTCAGATAGATAGACAGATATATATTATATATCTATATATAATACAGATAGATACCACTTATTTATTTGAGAGAGTCTCACTCTGTTGCCCAGGCTAAAGTGTGGTGGTGCAATTGAGGCTCACTGTAGCCTCAACCTCCCAGTTTCAAGCAATTCTCCTGCCTCATCCCCCAGAACAGCTGAGACTACAGATGTGTGCCACCACACTCAGCTAATTTTTATTTTACTTTTTGTAGAAATGAGGTCCCACTATGTTGCCCAGGCTGTTCTTGAACTCCTGGTCTCAAGTGATCTTCCCACCTTGGTCTCCCAAAGTGCCAGGATTACAGGCATGAGCTACTTACCGCACCAGTCTCGCTCGCTCTTGCTCTCATTCTCTCTCTCTCTATATATATATATATATATAAATATATATACAAATATATAATATATATAATATAAATTATATATATGTGTGTGTGTGTGTGTGTGTATTTAAATATATACTGGGCTCATGCTGGGATTACAGGCATGAGCCACTGCACCAGGCCATATATGTGTGTGTGTGTATTTAAATATATACTGAGCTCATGCTGGGATTACAGGCATGAGCCACTGCATCAGGCCGTGTGTGCGTGTGTGTGTGTGTGTGTGTGTGTATTTAGAGACAGGGTCTTGCTCTGTTGCCCAGACTGGAATGCAGTGGTGCAATCACAGCTCACTATAACCTCGAGCTCCTGGGCTCAAGTGATCCTCCCACCTCAGCCTACAGGTGTGCACCAGCTAATTTTTTTTTTAATTGTATAGACAGGGTCTTGCTATGCTGTCCTGGCCAGAGTACAGTAACTATTCACAGGCACGATTATGGGGCACTGCAGTCTTGAACTGCTGGGCTCAAGCGATCCTCCCTCCTCACTGTCCCAAAGCCCTGGGATTACAGGTGTGAGCCGCTGTGCCTGGCTATCCCATTTATGGTTTGACAGGATCCCTCCCCAGCAGCGCTGGGAATAGGCAGCAGCAGGGTGAGGATGGAAGCAGGAGGAGCAATCAGGATGCTTCCACGGTGTCCCAAGCAAGAGCTGATGGTGGTCTGCACCAGGATGGCAGAAACAGGCAGTGAGGTGGGGTATAAGAGAGTCAAGAAGGACTCCAAAGTGTTTGGCCTGAACACCTGTAAGAGTGGCGTTGCCGCTTACTGAAGGAAATGGTTAATTGGAAAAAACCAAAAGTTTGTTTTATGACTTGACTAAACAGGAGGAGAACAAAGATGATGCAAAAGGAGAAGTCAGGGACAGCATCTAGATTCCTGAAGGAGAAAGGGGTCTGCTTCTGGCCTTGGCAGAGGTGGCTTTTCCTCACAACTGTGTTCTTGATCCTTTGGAACATGGGACAACCATTGGGGTCCCTGAGGCTGCTATAGTCACATGTCTTCTTCCACTGGAGATACTTTCTTTACCTTGTGGTCTCTTCGTTTTGATGCCTCAGGTAACACAGGCCAGGACTGCCCTGGAAATGAGAAAACTGAAGGGTCAATGCCTCATCACAAGTGACAGCCATGATTGAGAACACAGGGCTGTCATATCTTCCATTTCATCGAGAGGGACTAGAAATTCAGATTTTTATGCAAAATCTTCCAGTCTTCAAATACTGTCATGCAATAGTGCAGTGGCATAATCATGGCTCACTGCAGCCTCAACTGCCCCAGCTCAAGTGATTCTTCCACCTCGGCCTCCCAAGTAGCTAGGACCACAGGTGGGCATCATCACACCCGGCTACTTTTTTTTTATTATTTGTAGAGACCAAGTCTTGCCATGTTGCCCAGGCTAGTCTTGAACTCCTGGGCTCAGCCTCCCAAAGTACTGGGGTTACAGGTGTGAGTCACCAATTCAATTTTGTTTAAAAAAATTATATAGACCACAAAACACAACAGTGGCCTGGAGGTGGCCTGAGGGCCGCCACTATGCAATCACAGCTTTAGATCATGAGCTTGTGTTCCTTTCTGACTCACTCTCCCTGCCTGTGAAGCGGCGTTGAATATCTCACACATCTGCTGGGAGGCAGAAGAATTAGACCGTGTGAGGGATTAGGCTTATCAACTTCAGGATCTACCGAAACAGAGTGGCGTTACTGCTGTGGGTTATTAAAGCCATCAAGCCTGCGGTGCAATATCCCTTCATGAATCTTTGTTGACACCGCCAACAGTGCAAGTCTCTACACTAGAGTGCAATTCAGTTACTCACATTACTCAGTTATTTAGCTGAAACTCACTTATTTATTTCCCACAGCACCTAACAGTGCCTGACTCACAATACATAATCTGAAAGTAGTTGCTGTAGGTGACGTTAGTCATTTATTCACTCATTAACTCCACTAGGATTTTTTTTCCTTTGGTACCAATTATGTGCCTACTGTTGCCCGGGGGCCACTATGGAAAATACCCAGCCTCAACCGCACCCAGGTGACCATCCAGGTGTGAAGAACACACGGACCCCTGAGCGCTCAGTGGAAAGAGGACTGTCACTGCCAAGGAAGTAAATCCAGCTGTCCAGGTTTGCCTGGAACTGAGGAGTGTCTCAGAATATGGGACTTCAAGTGCTGGAACCAGGACAGTCCAAAGTAAAGCAGGATTGCCGGTCACCCTGAGTAGAATAACTAATAGTCACAAACATAGACTCAAAATCAGACATCGCGCAGTCACCCCTTTCCCACTGTCCTGGCTGTGTGATCTTAGACAAGTTACTTAACCTGTCCAAGCCTTTGTTTTCTTAGTTATAAAATGAGAATCTATCTTGTGAAGTGCTTTGAAGGACTAAATGAGAAAATACTCACTGTAAACATTCAATAAATGGCAGCCACCATCATCGGCATGATTCCTGGTAAAGGGGGAAAACTGTGGTTCTCCGACATTCCCAACACATTGTGTTTGTCCTTTTGTGGCGGGATCCTCAAGACCCAGCAGCTGCTCTCATGGTAATAACTCTGTGGCCTACTCCTCTTGGGGAGGACAACTCTGATCTGTTTTCTGAGGCTGGACGCAACATGAAGGAGGTCTTAGAACATTTTAACCAATTAAAGAGCTGAAAGGAGAAGTCAGTTACAATGGCAAGCAGCTACCTGGGTGATAACGAAATCCACGCACAATCAAGATATTCCACCTTCGTAGCAGGGATGTCTGGAGGGGCTGCAGAGTCCCCCCTTCTGCCCTCTATATTCCAAATGGGTTGTAGGCAGCACATACAAGACAACAGGCAACATTTTGACCCCTCCCCAAATTAAAAACCAAGGACATAACAATCCATTGAGAACACTCAGAGTGCCCCACCCTGGCAGTTGCTGTATCC
The DNA here is from genome assembly GCF_000001405.40 of Homo sapiens. NCBI lineage: Eukaryota > Metazoa > Chordata > Mammalia > Primates > Hominidae > Homo > Homo sapiens. The sequence continues at coordinate 49,655,051 of NC_000018.10, read as the reverse complement.
TCATCCCACACTCCTGAGATATTGTGGTTCTCTGCTTCTCATCGCTCTCTGGCACCACATCTGGCTGTGGTCCTACCCCCATCATGTGCCACCCCATCCTTAACAACTATAACCTTTCTTGACATTTTTTTTCTTTGAGACAGAGTCTCACCCTGTCACTCAGGCTAGAGTGCAGTGGTGCAATCTTGGTTCACTGAAACCTCTGCTTCCTGGGCTCAAGCAATCCTCCCACCTCAGTCTCCTAAGTAGCTAGGACCACAAGTGTGCACCACCACACCCAGCTAATTTTTCTGTATTTTTTGGAGAGACAGGGTTTCACCATGTTGCCCAGGCTGGTCTCGAACTCCTGGACTCAAGCAATTCACCCACCTTGACCTCCCAGAGTGCTAAGATTATAGGTGTGAGCCACCGCACCCAGGCTCTTGAGTGACTTTTTAAAAATAAATATAATACAGCTGTTTTATATTATCTTATTATATTTTATTATCTTAATGTATTTTTTAAATATTTGAAATTTTAAAATATTTATTTTAAAAATAAATATAATGCAGCTGTATTATATCAAATATGCAAAAACAAGATTGTAAAAATTACCTTTAAAATTCTTCCAACTAGGAATAAACATCAAAAGAACTTGATATCTACCCTTCTAGAAGCATCTCAATCAATAGATAGATGCATAGATACATACATACATACATATTTACATGTATACACACATACATACTGTGATGGTTAATAAAGGGTGTCAACTTGATTGGATTGAAGGATGCAAAGTTTTGTTCCTGGGTGTGTCTGTGAGAGTGTTGCCAAAGGAGATTAACATTTGAGTTAGGGGACTGGGAGACGCAGACACATCCTCAATCTAGGTGGGTACCATCTAATCAGCTGCCAGCGTGGCCAGAAGAAAAGCAGGCAGAGGAACATGGAAAAGCTAGACTGGTTTAGTCTTCTGGCCTCCATCTTCCTCCCATGCTGGATGCTTCCTGTCCTTGAAAATCGGACTCCAGGTTTTTCAGCTTTAGGATTCAGACAGGCTTCCTTGCTCCTTGCCTTGCAGATGGCCTATTGTGGGACCTCACCTTGTGATCGTGTGAGTCAATACTCCTTAATACACTCCCCTTCATATAGTCATCTATCCTATTAGTTTTGTCCCTCTAGACAACCCTAATAAACACACCCATATACTTGCATACATACATACACACTATGGTATCCATTCCTCCCTTCGTCCTTACTAACAAAACCTCAGTTGTACCCAAATAAAAATTCTGATTTTCCAAGTTTCCCTCATAGCTACGGAAGGCCAAGAGATGTATCTGACCCTAGAGTCGTAAGCATTCATTTGCTGAAGATTTCTCAGAAAGTTTTTCTTTTCCTAAGTGCTTCCCCTTCCTTCTTGTTTTTTCCTTTTTGTTTCCCCAACTGGAATATTTAAACAGTGTATACTTTTTGGAAATGCCGAGGCTGGATACAACTATGACAAACATCCTGAACCTGAAACTTTGCACACATCCATGTTTATTTAATAGAGTAACTTCCTAGAAATGGAAATTGCTGGGACAAAAGACATGCATCATTTTTTCATATTTTTTATTGCAAAATACTGTCAGGAATTGAGTAGCAATTCAGATTCCCATCAGGAGAATGTGAGCACTTCCCTCACCCTTGCACATGCCCCTGCTACATTTTTGCTAGTTTAATAGAGAGAAATTGTATCACAGAGACTTACATTTCTGATAGTGTGGCAGACTAGGAAACATAGAAAGCTTTCTGCTCTAAAAACACCTAGAAGTGGTAGAGAAAAGGTAATGAACAGGCTTTCAAATGCACTAACTGAGCTTTGCTAAAGAAAGGGAAATCCTGCAGCCAAAAGGAAAGCAAAGCAAACTGAAACCAAAGAAGCAGGAGATCGTGGGGGCAGCTGCACTGGATGCAGGGGAGGTGGAAGGGGAGAGCTGCCAATCTTGATACCTAAGAAGCTTTGGATGTAATGGCCACCAACAGGGACAGGAGCTGAGGCCTGGGCCTAGGGCACGCATGCGTCAAAGCTGTGAATCCTGCATACAGCCAAGACCTTCCAAGGCTTCCACTCTACGGAAAAAAGTGACAGAAAAAACAATCTCCTCACTTGCAATGAGAGATAATGAAATAGCTTATCTAGCTTGTCCAGGGCTCTAGATAGAAAACATATCTCCCCTGATCATTCATGAGGGCTCTGCCTTCATCTAGGCCTGAGATTCAAATGTATATGATCTACAGGATCCATTAAGCTCCCACCTCACCCCAGTTGGCACGGAGACAGGGGAGGCGCTTTGTAGCTATTTTTTAAAAGAGTTTAAGGGTTTTTATTTTTATTTATTTATTTATTTATTTTTGAGATGGAGTCTCACTCTGATGCCCAGGCTGGAGTACAGTGGTGTGATCTCGGCTCACTGCAACCTCCGCTTCCCGGGTTCAAGCGATTCTCCTGCCTCAACCTCCTGAGCAGCTGGGATTACAGGCACCCGCCACCACACCCAGCTAATTTTCCTATTTTTAGTGGAGATGAGGTTTCACCACGTTGTCCAGGCTGGTCTCAAACTCCTGACCTCAAGTGACCCACCCACCTCAGCCTCCTAAAGTGCTGGGATTATGGGCGTGAGCCACCAGATCTGGCTGGGTTTAGGAGCTTTTAATGCTTAGACTAGAAAAATCACAGGCTGGGTTTGTCATAAAGTCATTGGTCCATCTCTGACAGGGAAAGAATTCGCCCCTCACTTTGGCCACAGGTGGGAGCCCAGACTCCTCCCTAGCAGGGTCTCCTGAATGGAGAGGGGCTTTCCTCATAGCACAGTGCGGTGACTCCCCAGCCCCGAGGTAAGAAAGCAAGAAAGCAAAGCCATGAGCCAGGCCTATGCAAGACAATTTTTTTTTTTTTTGAGAGTCTCGCTCTGTTGCCAGCCTGGAGTGCAGTGGTGCGATCTCAGCTCACTGCAACCTCTGCCTCCCAGGTTCAAGCAATTTCCCTGCCTCAGCCACCCAAGTAGCTGGGACTACAGGCACACGCCACCACACCTGGCTAATTTTTTGTGTGTGTATTTTAGTAGAGATGGGGTTTCACCATGTTGGCCACGATGGTCTCCATCTCCTGACCTCATGATTCACCTGCCTCGGCCTCCCAAAGTGCTGGGATTACAGGCATGAGCCACCGCGCCCGGCCAAGACACTTTCAAGTGTTGTCTCCGTTGCCTTCACACAAACCCCAGGAGGGAGACAGCCCCCGTTTACAGAGGAGCAGCCTGAAGCCTAGTCTTCATCAATTTGACCATCATAAAGCTCACAAGTCGCAAAGCTGGGATGAAAATCCAGGTCTTCTGACTTTCACTCTGCCGCACCGAATTCTTTGAGCCAGCCTCAGCCTCTCATGAGAAGGTCACTCTGAATTTCTTGTCCCATGCTTTGTCCTGGCCCCTATGAGGAAAGGGGTTAGCTGAAGGCAGCTGTTCTATAAGGATGGGTAGGGTTCCTGACAAGGTATTTCCTCTGAAAAAGCAAATGCGACCTTAGCAGCCAGTCTAGGGAGCTCCCCATTGAATAGAGACTTCCGAGGAAACGACGAGGTAGAAGCATCTGAAGTGCAACAGTGCACCTTCTGCTGATTCCCTCCCACAGAAAGGGCAATGCTCAGGGAAGGTGAGGAAAGCAGGACTCAGCACGGCAAACAGGAGTGGGGCAAAACTGCCACAGCAGGTTGGAAGACAGTTCAACAGATCGAAGGGTATGTTTCCCGGCAAGCAGGGAGCCCAGGAGGACCTCTGGCTTCAGTCCAGGGTGTGTTGTTATCTGCTTGCCCAAGAGTGACTTGGAGGCCTTGAATGTGTCCCATGCCAGGCCCCAGGGGCACTCATTTCCATAGCCGCGGCAGCAGCCCCAACTCACTTGGTCAACTCACTTGGTCACTGCCTATTAGCCCTGTTTTCCTGTGGGTTACGGGGAGAGAGATGCAGGAGCCCCTCCACCTGGACCTCTGGCATCAGGCCTGCCAAAGCCATTCGCGCCCACTACTGCCCCAGCCGGGCCACTCCCACCCCCAGCCGAACCCCCAGCCGCCGCACCTGCCGGCAGAGGGGACACTAAGATCCCAAGAAGCTGTTCTTGCTGCTTGGCAGGAAGCTCAGCAGGAGTGAGGTTGTGTTCTCTGGGAGCCAGGAATAGCAGAGAACACAGATTGTGGACAAAGCAGTGAAAGGAGAAGACCTCAGGCTTTCCACAGAGGTTCTGGAAAAGCCCCAGAATCGGGCACCACTCACCTCTCACTGAGCACGCCAGTCCCAGCACCCCAGTCCCAGCTAAGACAGTGCTCTTGGGGAGGGGTTAGCACAGGCCCTCCAATGCCCAGCCAGTCCCAGACCATGTTCACTTCCTCAAAGGGCACTCATGTCTGGGCCATGCTAAAAGGTCCTGGGTTCGTGCCCAGGAAGAGCACTTCCTTGGGGCCCTGGCAGCAGCGAGTCACAAAGTTACGATGTGGCTCTTATACAATACTCCACGGGATTGTGAATGATGCGTGCAGACTCCAAAAACTGCAGTTGGTTCAGCTCAGCATTGAGCCAAACTCCTCCTCCAGGAAGCCCTCAGCCAAGCCTTGAGGGCAGGGCGGGGGCTCTCTCTGGGCACCTGCTGGCTCATGCAGGGTCCCTAGTGAAAAAGTCTGGGGCATGGCCACACTTTTGTCACCTGGTCCAGCACCTCCTACTTTTTTTGGAGGGGGCAATACATTCCCCATACCATTAGTGCACAATTCAGCAATTTTTAGTGTATTCCTGTGACTGTACAACTATTGCCTTTATCTAGTTGCAGAAAATTTTCATCAGCCCCCAAAGAAACCCCATACCATTAGCAGTCCTTCCCCTTCCCTCTTCCCCTAGTCCTGGCAGCCACTGATCCACCTTCTGTCTCTGTGGATTTGACTGTCTATTCTGCACATCTTGTATAAATGTAGTCACGCAAAATGTGGCCTTTGTGTCTGGCTTACTGGGCTCAGTGTAACATTTTCCAGGCTCATCCATGTTGGAGCATGTAGCAGTACTTCTTTCCTTTCTGATGGCTGAACAGCATCCCACTGTATGGATAGCACACCTTTTGTTCATCCATTCATCACTGATGGACAATTGGTTTTTTTCTACTTTGGGTTTTTTTTTTTTATCGAGATGGAGTCTCGCTCTGTTGCCCGGGCTGGAGTGCAGTGGTGCGATCCCGGCTCACTGCAACCTCCACCCCCTGGATTCAAGCAATTCTCCTGCCTCAGCCTCCCAAGTAGCTGGGATTATAGGCACACGCCACCATGCCCTGCTAATTTTTTTTTTTTGTATTTTTAGTAGAGATGGGGTTTCACCATGTTGGCCAGGCTGGTCTCAAGCTCCTGGCCTCGTGATTCGCCTGCCTCGGCCTCCCAAAGTGAGCCACTGTGCCTGGCCCTGTAGTGGGCCATGATGAATAACGCTGCTGTGCATATTTGTGTACAGGTTTCTCTGTGCAAATATTTTCTCCCATTCAGTGTTTTGTCTTTTCACTTTCTTATAATAGTGTCCTTTGAAACATGAAAGTTTTTAATTTAGATGATGCCCAACTTACTTTTTCTTTCATCACTTGTGCTTTTGGTGTCACATCTAAGAAACCATTGCTTACTCCAAGGTCTCAAGATTTACCCCTACATTTTCTTCCAATAGTCTTGTAGTTTTTAGCTCTTCCAAAATGTCTTTTGATTCCTTTTGAGTTAGTTTTTATAGATGGTGTGAAGTAGGATCCATCTTCATTCTTTCACAGTGACATCCAGTTGTCCTGGCACCCTTTGTTGAAAAGACAAGACAATTTCCCTATTGACTTGTCTTGGCACTTGATATTTATATTCAATGCGACTGCCAGAGGATGCAAAAGAAAGCCAAAAGCCAAAGGAAATTTAGGATTCATTAATAACCATTCCCAGGGTGTCAGTGCTTCTTTTCTGGGACAGACATGTCCATTGGGCACCTCCACCACCCCTGAGCATTGCCACTAGGGGCAGCTCTGCCAGTTCTCTTTTTTTTTTAAGCTGTACCTGGGTGTAAAAGTTAGTTATGCTTTAATAGCTGTACTCACAAAGCTAGTACCGGAATTGTACAGGTCTTTTCGGCACCAGTAGTAGGTATTTCTCTGAATCACTGGCCATTTGCTCCTCACAAACTATTTTATTTATTTATTTAGAAACAGAATCTCACTCTTTTGGCCAGGCTGGGATACAATGGCACAATCTTGGCTCACTGCAATCTCTGCCTCCAGGGTTCAAGCAATTCTTGTGCCTCGGCCTTCTGAATAGCTGGGATTACAGGCGTGTGTCACCATGCCTGGCGAATTTTTATATTTTTTGTAGAGATGAGGTTTCACCATGTTGGCCAGGCTGGTCTTGAAGTCTTGGCCTCAAGTGATCTTCCCACCTTGGCCTCACAAAGTGCTGGGATTACAGGCGTGAGCCACGTTGCCTGGCCCTGCGTAAACAATTTAAATGCTAGGACAGTCCATCATTTCAGCAACAGCTGACCTTTCCCTGAAAGCAGCTGTTCCCAGCTCCATGAGTGTGGAGTGACCTCAGCAGACACTGGGCCTAGGCCATATTCACTGGGGAGAACACAGTGGAAAGTCAGGCTGCCCCACTTCTGCAAGACAGCTTGACTTGGGTGAAGCATATGCACTGCTGGGTAACTGGATTTACTGCTACGCTCCCGGTTCCTGAGTCTTTTCCCTTGTCAGGGCCATAGGCTTGCAATGGCCAAGTCTTCCTGGATTGCTTTGGGAAACATTCATCACTTAGAGACTTCCTAGCATTTTGCTTACAGCTTTACTATAGTGTTGAACAGATTGAATTGTAACACAATTAATAGCTAACATGGATTGAGAATTTATTATGGACGAGGCATTGATCTAAGAACATCGCCTGTGTTATGACCACATACTGCGTTTATGTTCACTTTACAAATGAGGAAGGAAACAGAGTGTTTAGGTAACTTTAGAAAGATCACGCAGTTCATAGGGATTTGGACCCCTGGAGCCTGGCCCCAAATCATTAATCATTCACATACTCAGATTGTGAGTCATGGAGGACACCATCTGCCTCTGTTGCTTTCCTCATGCCCACAAAAAACTGTCTGAAAGCTGTTCACCGATCATGAACGTGATCAAAAACTATCTTAGTCCATTTGTGTTGCTATAAATGAACACCTGAAGCTGGGTAATTTATGAAGAAATTACCCACAGTAAAGTGCTTTTTCCCTTTACTCATGGCTCATTTAAGCAAAAATGTCTACATTGTGAGGAATGTCTACAATGAGCATGGGCTGCTCTGGGTCTTTGGATGTGCCTCTTGCCCATGTCAGATTCCTGCACATGGCCCCGGCCCCCAGGGCGCCAGCAGGGTTATAGCCAGACCCACTGATGACTGTGCCTCACCAGTAAATATGCCAAAAGCAATATGCAGGTGCCACTAAAGGCTGTTTGCATGACCCCTGGAGGTGAGAGACAAGCTGAAAAATGCCATTTCAGGATACCCGGGATATTTCAAAGGTATATGGGGACAATAGGACAGAATATTTGAAATCAGGTTTTGCTGAGGAGATCTTGACTGTGAAGTCTCCATAAGTTGCTAGGCCAACAACTTGATTTAATGAAGCTTCGAGTAAAAGAATAGTAAAAACATAAACTGGCCTCACCACAGCACAAATTTCCTCCAAAGAACTCCCAGCTCTGACTGATGTTTTATCACCCTTATCATCAGAGGACACCTACACACCACAGAGAAGGCTGCTATTTTGCTGTAGTTTTAGTTAGCAAGTGTAAGGTTCAAGAAGGATAATGGCCCAAGGTCACAGAACCAGCTTCCAGCAGAACTGGCCTCATGCGCCACTCAATGCACCTGCACCGTCTGTAGAGCCCATTGCCATTTCCTTGTTCAGAATTTGATCCTCAGTCAAAATCAGGTGACTGGTTTAAACTTTGAAACTTTGACACGTGGTATTAAAGGCTTTTAGCATGTATATGGTAGAGCAGTTGTTCTCAACTGGAGACAATTTTACTCCCCAGGGGACATTTGGCAATGTCTAAAAACATTTTTGGTTGTCACAATTCAGTTTGCAGGGTGCTGTGGCTGACTGCCACTACTACTACTTGAGACCGTCATTACAGCAGTCACTACTGTTACTGCTTGCAACCTTCATTACAAGACTGAATGAAGGGACAAACATAGAAATGATAACAAAAAAACAAAATAACTATTTTAAGGAAAGGCAACATGGGGAAGAAGAGAGCTCCCTGCTTCTAGTGAGCAAAGGCAGTTCCTGAGCTTCTACGGCCCTTTGTATTTATTGGGTAACAAGAGCAAGGAGGAGGAGGTAATGATTGATCAGCTGCTTAACTGATCACAGGTTCATATTGTTCCTGACAGGCTTCAATTATGCCTAATCATAAGAAACATGTGTGCGGCCTCCAGCAGGGTGTTGCTATTGGCATCTGGTGGGTAGAGGCCATGGATGCTGCCAAATATCCTGCAACACACAGAACAACTCCCCACAACAAAGAACTATGCAACTCCAAGTGTCAGTAGTGTCTCGTCTCTAGATCCCAGAGTATGGGGGGTTAGGGTAAGAGGGGATATAAGGGGAGTCATTCCAGATTAATCCAAGAAGGGGGCAACTCCAAATTTCTGCCTTGGGTCCAGGCCAGGGAGACAATTAACAGCCAGCTTTGGTTTGCTTGAGTGTTTACATAAAAAGGGGATTGTTTATGTTCTTCAAAAGTCCCATGGAACTGACTCTGCCTGCCATTGCCAAGGAGGCCTGTCATCCTAGAGCAAGCATATTCCTCCCTAAGGAAGCGAGTCCTGGCTGCCGCTCCTCCCCAGCCCCACGCAGGCTGATGCTTCATCCAAAATGAAAGTGCCCTGGGACACACATGGAGAACACCCAAACCTTCGGGATCCTCCCCCGCTCTTCCTATTGCAGCTCTCCCCAGGGACAAAGGGACATTGCTCAGATTGGATTCTGCCATAGCCTGGCTCAGAATCTGTCTCACGCCCCCTCAGTGGAGAGAGAGGAGTGGCCTGGATCTCGAAGATTCCTGTGGAAAGCATGCCCTTCTCCATCCTCCGCCTCCTCACGCCCGCTGTTTCTGACCTAATTCCCCTCCTTGTGACCTACTTCCCGTGGCATGGAACAAGAAGATAGAAGATAGGCATCACATGGTGGGGGAAAGGTGGTGGGGGAAAAGTTTGCTACAGACCTAATTTGTTAGGCAAGTCTATCGCAAGGAAAATAATTAGTAAATTAATAAATGAGGATCCTATTCTACCTTAAAGTCAACTCCATCCTTTATCTCATAGAATAAAGGTTTAAAATTTTTTAGGCATTGTCTTCCATAAATATATAGAAAAAAATTTCTATTCTCATAGGTATGTTTAATTTTGACATCATTAGCATTTCAGGCCAGATACAATGTATTTCAGATGAGAAATGGTGTCACATTGGGTAAAGATGCTTCATGCTAGCATCATGGAGGCAAATTTTTCTTCCTTGCTCAGGTCCTCATCCAAAGGGCTTTTTCCATACTCGTTCACTCAACAAACACTGGCAGAGCTCAGGTGAGTTATAGGCCAGGGCTACCAAGGTAAGCCATAGGTCTGCTCAATGGGGCTTACAGACCAGCAGGGGTGACCGACCTGTAAGAAGTAAGAGTGGCCTTTCGGAACTGCAGAGAGCTGAGGTTTACTAGCAGGCAGGCATGAGGTGGGGAGCACCACATGATGTTGGAAAGGCAGGCAGCACTAAGGATTGGGCTCTTTTGTTCTGAGGAGCCACAGGACCATAGTAGGAAAGAAAGAAAGTGATCAGAGTTGCTTTTTGGACTGCTGGGTGAAGACTCTTCTTTTTTTTTTTTTTTTTTTTTTTTTGAGATGGAGTCTCACTCTGTTGCCAGGCTGGAATGCAGTGGTGCAATCTCGGCTCACTGCAACCTCCACCTCCTGGGTTCAAGCAGTTCTCCTGCCTCAGCCTCCCAAGTAGCTGGGACTACAGGCGCGCGCCACCATGCCCAGCTAATTTTTGTATTTTTAGTAGAGATGGGGTTTCACCATGTTGGCCAGATGGTCTCCATCTCTTGACCTCATGATCTGCCCACCTCGGCCTCCCAGGTGCTGGGATTACAGGCATGAGCCACTGCGCCTGGCTGAAGACTCTTCTATTGCAGCCAAGGCCCTGCCACTTCCCAGATGAGAGACCACATTGGCCTGAAGCCCATGCATGCAGGGCCCCCTCTGAGACTCCAGGCCTGGCTGCTCCCAGCTTCTTCATCAGGGTAGACTGGAAGGGGGTCAGCCCAGGGCAACAAAGTCAGTTCGGATGCCACCATAATAATTCAGACCAAAGGAAAGAAATGAGTCTTAGTGGGACCAATTTGCAGGTAGTTGAGATAACATCCTAGGAACTAGATGCTAGTTGAAGCAGGGGTCAGGGATCTCTCTTTTTCCTGATTTGGGCAAGTGGCGGAAGAGACTGGGTGTTCTGTCTCCCTGGATATGCGAAAGGCAGAGCAGTTGTGCAGAAGAAAATGAGGTCACTCAGGGATGTGATTAACTGGGGGCCCCATGGCTTGGTGAGGGGGCCATGAAGCAGACATCCCAGAACCCAGGACTTGGCCAGAGAGTGGGAAATGCTGGACTCGGGAGTCAGACGGCCTGGGTTCCCCCTGCAGCCCTGTTATCCTAGTTGTGCCTCACATTCCTCAAACACTCGCTGCCCAAAGTGCCCATAAGGAGTAGAGGATAATACCTGTGCAGTGCTTACATGGCGCCCAGGCCAGCACAAGGTAGGTGCCCAGTGAACATTAGCTGTGGTTATTTCAGGAGGTGCTTAATAGACTAATTTGTTGGATGAGACCAAGACTGTCTCAATGAAATTAAAACCAACCATAAGACAGGCAAGACTCCAAAGGACAAATACTATATGACTCCACTTATATGAGATACCTAGAATAATCAAATTCATAAGGAGAGAAAGCAGAATGGTCATTGCCAGAGCTGGGGGAGGGAAAATGGGGAGCTGTTGTTTCATGGAGGCAGAGTTTCAGTTTGGGAAGATGAAAAAGTTCTGCAGATGGATGGTGGTGATGGTTGCACAGCAATGTGATTGCACTTAATGCTTCCTAACTGTACACTTAAATTGTTCATATGGGGCTGGGCGTGGTCACGCCTGTAATCCCAGCACTTTGGGAGGCCGAGGTGGATCACGAGGTCGGGAGATCAAGACCATCCTGGCAAACACAGTGAAACCCCATCTCTACTAAAAAAAAAAAAATACAAAAAGTTAGCTGGGCTTGGTGGCATGCGCCTGTAGTCCCAGCTACTCGGGACGCTGAGGCAGGAGAATGGCATGAACCCAGGAGGCGGGGCTTGCAGTGAGCCGAGATCGAGCCACTGCACTCCAGCCTGGGCAACAGAGCGAGACTCCGTCTCAAAAAAAAAAAAAAAACATTGTTCATTTGGTAAGTTTTACATTATGCATATTTTACTATAATAAAAATTAAATTTAAAATCTTCAAAAAAATATAGAGCAGCTAAGACAGCTTTGGGAAAATGAATGGAATGAGATGATAAGAGGACAATTGAGAAAACATGATAGAGAGGAAGGTGCTTTCATTCAAAGCTCAGTGCAAATAAAATTTATAATTAACAATGTGGTCCACTAATCATCAGGGAAATGCAAGTTAAAATCACAATTAGCTATCACCTCACACCGGTTAGGATGGCTATGATCAAAAAGATGAAGATAGGACATGTTGGAGAGGATGCGGGGAAAAGGGAACATGTGCACACTGTTGGTGGGAATGGAAATGAGTACGTCCATTATGGAAAACAGGTACTTCAAAAAGTTAAAGATAGGACTACCATATGATCCAGCAATCCCACGACTAGGCATATAGGCAAAGGACATTTTAGTGTCAATTTATTTGACCATTTTTATTTGCCAATTTAAAAAATAATTTTCTTAAAAAAAGGATATGGTCTGGTTCTAACGCTTTAAAGACTCGTTTCAAAACTCCATGTTCCCTGGCTTTGCACACTAGAGTTCACCAAACCAGGAGCTGATTGATACGTCAGAGAGATCTGCATGCCCATGTTTATTGCAGCACCATTCACAATGGTCAAGATATGGAATCAACCTAAGTGTACATCAATGGATGAATGAATTTATAAAAAAAAGATGTTGTTATATATACACAATGGAGTACCATCCAGCTTTAAGAAAGAAGGAAATCCTGTCATATGTGACAACATGGATGATCCTGGAGGATATTACATTAAGTAAAATAAGCCAGGCACAGAGAGACAAATACCGCATGACCTCTCTTATATGTGGAATCTAAAAAAGTTAAACTCATAGAAGCAGGAAGTAGAATGATGGTTACCAGAGACTATGGTAGGAGGTTTGAGGAAGGTACTGTTAGACAAAGGGCATAAAATTTCCATTACACAGGAGTTCAAGTGTACCATGTGGTACACTATTGTACCACATGGTGACTACAGTTAATAACAATATATTACATACTTGAAGATTGCTGAGAGAGAAGAATTTAAGTGTTCTCACCACAAATAAACATGTGAAGTAATATATATGCTAATTAGCTTGATTTAATCATTCCACAGTATATGTTTTTTTTTTTTTTGAGATGGAGTCTCTCTCTGTTGCCCAGGCTGGAGTGCAGTGGCACGACCTTGGCTCACTGCAACCTCCGCCTCCCAGGTTCAAGTGATTCTCCTGCCTCAGCCTTCCGAGTAGCTGAGATTACAGGTGCATGCCACTATGCCCAGCTAATTTCTGTATGTTTAGTGGAGACGAGGTTTCACCATGTTAGCCAGGCTGGTCTCGAACTCCTGACCTCAAGTGATCCGCCCGCCTCGGCCTCCCAAAGTCCTAGGATTACAGGCGTGAGCCACCGCGCCTGGCCAATGTATGCATATTGCAAAACATCATGTTATGCACCACAAATATATACGATTTTTGTCAATTAAAAAATAAATAATTCCCTTTTAAAATAATATGTTCTGATTCTAAGGCTTTAAAGACTCATTTCAAAACTCCAGGTTCCCTGGCTTCACACACCAAAGTTCATCAAACCAGGAGCTGATCATTTATGCAGTTCTGGGCCAATGCTTAATGCTGGGCATGTAAGCACCTCCCATGTGCGTAAGAGCAGCCCCTGCTCTTACTGTAGAAGAAGCTACAGTCTACAGCAGATGACATAATAAAATGAAGGAGAATGTGTTTCAAGAACCATGAAGCATTATAGAGATCATTGTAGAATACAGGCTTCTGGATAGAGACTTCTGCTTCCTCTCTCCATCTACAGAACGCCAGGCACCCCTGGGCTGGCTGGTCCTTCATTTGCCTTCTCTGTTAAACTGGCTGCTAGACCTGGGCATAGGAAGGTGCCCTCTCCTGCCACATTCTATGAGCTTAATACTCCCGCCCCACAACATATGTAGTGACACTTGTCCTCTTTGACACTGGCTGAGCCCACTGAGGTTCTTCCCCAAGACCACCCCAAAACACACACACTCCTCCATTTTTCCCTCCAATCAAAAAATTTAACATTTATTTACTCCAACTAATAACTAGCTTTCCTCTCACTTCAAACATAGCTGCTGGTGTGGGCAGCTACCTGGTCACCTGCCTACATGTAGGTCACTACTGACCTTTCTGAACACAGAAAGGTTCGAGGCAGGGTCCCATTTCCTGTGTATTTCTGTACAGCTGTCCCCAAGATACAAATCACATCACCAGATCAAACTGCCCTCTTTTCTTTCCTCTTCTTCTGCCCCTTGGCATTCCCCTTTCCTATTCAAAGAAGCCCCCTGAAGCTGGGGGCCTTCAGTTCCCACTGAGTGGAGGTCCAGGCAAAACCAGCTTCACTCTGGCCCTGCCCTCAAATCACACTCTGCTGCCGCAGCACGAGGAGACCCGGAGGAGCCCCAGCCACACCCACCTCCCCAGGAATGCCGGCCCCACTGACCAAGCAGAGGATAGGAGAGGAAGAGAACTGTCTGTCTCTCAATGGACCCCCCTATAACTTGCCCCTCCTGGAGGAAGAGGAAGACAAGCCTGGTGCTGGGGTGCCCTCGGGGATATTTCATGATCCTTAGCTCCATTCACCTGCTGGCTCCTCTCACCCCTCCTTCAAGCCCAGGCCAGGCTGTTTTCCCCTTTCTCAGCTCCCATGATGCACAGCTTCCCGCCAGCATGCTTCCAGGGGCAGCTCTTTGGGCTACAGCCTGTCTTGAGAACAAAGGGGCTAGTGGCATAGAAAGGGGTCTGGGAGCACTGGGGAGCTTCCCTCTGCTTCCCTGGGTGAGGCCTGAGATCTTTGTGAGCTGAGCTGCTGAGAGCCACCTACCCCAATGTGAGGGCACCCTCTTTGCAACAGACGCTGCTGTACCAGGTGGCACAGCCAGGGCAGGGGGAGGAAAAAGGTTGGCAATGGAGGCAGGATTGTAAGGGTGGAGCAATCTTTTCTGTTCTGGATAAAATGTAAAGAGGAAAAAATCCCATGAGATCATTGCTGCGGCTATGACCAAAATCTGGGAAGCCCCTTCAGTGAATCCTGAGTGTCCTTCAATTCCTCAGCTTCCTCCCCATGGCCCAGGAAGTCAGGACCCGGCCTGGACACTGCAGCTTGGCCACTCCATGCACTGCTGGTCAGAGCCTGTGAGGAAGGGGCATGGTGAGTCAGCAGGGGACCCACAGGGACCTTTCTGGGTTCTGCTGACTCAGAGTTGGATCTCATCAGCCTCTCATCACGGTGGCCTTGGGCCAGCCGGAGCAGAAGAACAGGAGGTTCCTGTTTCCTCAGTTCCTTTCCAGAAAGGCCCCAACACCATCATTCTCCTCCTCCTCCCTCTTCCAGCCTCCCTCACCCTCCTCATCTCCACCCTTGCCTTTAAGAGAACAGCACCGTCACTAAAAACGTGATGATTCAAACCACGCTGGCAGCTCAGATGTGAGGCTTGGATAGCACCGAGAAGGAAAGGGCTTACAGTGCCCCATCCCTGCTCAGCGACGTGAACAGGAGTGGCGTGCATCCATAACACAGCAGAAAACATCAGAACATGACCAGAGGCTGCGGCAAACATGACAGGGCCCTTCCCCATGCCCCCTGCAGCTGTGCGCACTGGCCAAGCTTCCCAAGCTTGAGTTCTGCTGGAAGGACCAGGTGGGGAGCTGGGAACCACAGGTGGTGCTCTCACAGAGCCAAAGCAGCGACAGCTGACCCTACACCTATCATGTCCACCCAGGGAGCAATAGGGTAGAGAAGGCAGAGGATCTGAGGGGATAAGAACTGGGTGCACCCCCAGTCCTGCATCTCCTGCGTAGTGTGCCTTGAGTCCTTCTAATTTATCTGAACCCCGTTTCCCATGTGTACAAAACAAGACTAATAAAAACTCACAGGTTTATTCTGTGAAAAGACAGGCAAAATGTTCCCCAATGTTGGTTATAATTACGGCAATGATTATCCAAATGCTTGGTTAATCAACATGTATGTATCGATCACCTACTGTGTGCCAAGGACATTATGTACATTGCTTCGTGTTATCTTCACAACAACCTCAAAGGAAGACAGCATTGTTCCCATTTTAAGGATGAGGGCAGGAGGCTTTGGTTAATCATTTGCTGAAAGTGACACTGCTAATAAGTGACAATGCACGTGCAGGTGTGGGGGCCTCCAAGGCCCATGCTGTTTGCACTGCAGGACTCTGTCCCAGATCTCAAGGACAAAAAAAACACACAAGAGACAGATACAGGTGGATAGGACAATTAGAATGTGGGTAATACCAAGGATAAGGTGTCACACTAAATGGTCCCAACGCCTGCAGGGGAGGTCAGCCTCCAGGAAGACCAGCAGGGCCTACACGCAGGGAGGCTTCTAGCAGATGGTGAGGCCTGCCCAGGCCTCCCACTGGGGGGCCCAGCTGAGAACTGGGTGCAGCTGGGGAGCAGGGCAAAGAAGGTAGGCTTGGGAGGCGTGCCAGGTCGCAGAGGTCCATGACAAGTCTCTGGGAATGTTCTTTCCTGCTACAAAGTGTGGTATCCCCATCCCCAACCCAGTCCCTACCCAGGGCATAATTACAACTGGGTGCAGTCAGCCTGTATCCCCTGAAGCCTTCCCCTGTCTTCCCTGAGATTTCCTTGGGGGTTCCCTTCCCATCTCAGCACTCGAGGCCTCCAGATTCCTCCCCTTTCCATTGGTTCTCAACCCTGTGAGCACTAGAATCTCCTGGGGACTTTTAAAAACATAGACGTGGACTCCTCCTAGAAATTCAGTTTCCATTGGTCTAGAGGCAGGGAGGAAGTGCTGGACAATTGCCTAAAAGATAAAAGGACTTGCCCAGGTCACAAATCCCTCTGGTAGGGAAGCCTGGACTGAGATAAGGCTCCCGACAGCCATCAGGAGCAGAGTGTGGAACAGATGCTAAGGGCTGTCCCACACTTGTTTCTCAGATTTTGGACTTCCAATTCGGAGCTCCTTTCTCAACACCACTCTGCCCCCAAGAATGACCACCATTGTTTCCCACTTGATGTCACAAGCATGTCCTTCAACAGAGCCTGACTTTCAGACTTTGGACAGTGAAAAATACACCTTTGACAGTCAGGCTGTGTAGAGCCCAAAAGAAGTTTCTAAACTCCTATTAGCCACAAGTCCTGTAAATAGATCTCACTTAACAGCCTCAGGTCAACTCCTAGAGGCCCTGAGCACTGCTTTCCAATTCTTCTGTAGAAAATAAATAATAACAATATAAAACTTACAACACTCTTGTAAGAATTACTTGAAGTAATACCCACAAGGAATAATGCCTGACAGGTAAGCCAGCATCCAGTCCTTCACAAATGCCTCTGCAGGAGATCTGCCATGGGCCAAGCACTGTCTGAGCATGGGGGTACATGGTGGCACCCCTAATATGGCCCAGAGTCTGCCATGGGCCAATCACTGTCTGATCCTGTTAGACTCTGGTCTCAATCCCCCATCTGCTTTCATGAAAGTCAGCCAGTGAGTGTTCTGTTTAGTTGGTCCTTAGAAAAAAACAAATGTGTTAGGCCATTCTTGTATTGCTATAAAGAAATACCTGAGGCTGGGTAATTTATAAAGAGAAGAGGTTTAATTGATGTAAGGTTCTGACGGCTGTACAGGAAGCATGGTGCCAGCATCTTCCTGACTTTTGGTGGGGCCTCAGGGAGCTTACACTCATGGCAGAAGGTAAAGTGGGATCAGCACATCACATGGTGAGAGCAGGAGCAAGAGAGAGGAGGGGTCCTAGACTCTTTCCAACAACCAGATCTGGCATGAACTAACTGATGAGAACTCACTCATCACCACGGGGATGGTGCTAAGCCACTCATGAGGGATCCGTCCCCATGATCCAGTACCTCCCACCAGGCCCCACCTCCAACATTGGGAATCACATTTCAACATGAGGTTTGGAGGGAACACACATCCAAAAACATCCAAACCATATCAAAATGTATTAATAGTTGAATATTCAAAGCAGACACAATGGTGAGCAATCCTCCATTTAACAAAAGAATTAATTACAGGACTTCTCCAAAGAGATAACTCCCTTAGCCCATCTAAAACAGAATTTTACAGCCTGAGCAACATGGCAAAATCCCGTCTCTACAAAAAATACAAAAAAATTAGCGGAGGCCAGGCGCAGTGGCTCATGCCTGTAATCCCAGCACTTTGGAGGCCAAGGCAGGTGGATCACTTGAGGTCAGGAGTTTGAGACCAGCCTGGCCAACATGGTGAAACCCTGTCTCAACTAAAAATACAAAAAATTAGCCAGGCATGGTGGCAGGTGCCATAATCCCAGCTACTCAGGAGGCTGAGGCAGGAGAATCGCTTGAACCTGGCAGGCAGAGGTTGCAGTGAGCCGAGATCACACCATTGCACTCCAGCCTGGGCAACAAGAGTGAAACTCCATCTCAAAAAAAAAAAAAAAAAAAAAAAAAGGCAAGCTGTGGTGGCTCACTTCTGAAGTCCCAGCTACTTGGGAGACTGAGGTGGGAGAATCGCTTGAGCCCAGGAAGTGGAGGTTGCAGTGAGCTCGCGCCACTGCACTCCAGCCTGGGCAACAGAGGGAGACACTGTCTCAAAAAGAATTTTTAAATAAAACAAAATAAAATTTTATTTATATAGCGTCAATCTAGTCACAAATTTTTTGGTATAAAACAAAGGTTCATAATGTGCATATAGCTCTCTATGTCTGTATGGTTGTGTTCTCACTATAAATGTGATTTAGGCAGGACCTTTCAGGTGAGGAAAGCTAGACTTGGAGAGGTTCTAAGCAAAAACAGACATTCCCAGCACTCCATATTTTGTGGCTGATTGTTGAGAGCACATTTCTCAACCTGCCAAAATCCTGTTGTCAATACTATAATTTCAGGATTATTTCTAGGTTCGTTACTAGAGAAATTTCTCTGAATGTGTAGAGAAAAAAAAAACCCTATTGTTACACCTACACTGTCTACAGAAAGTAGAGTACAGGTTACCAGGGACTGGAGTGAGAAGGAAATGGGAGCTATTGTTTAATAACTTCTGTTTAGGATAATGAAAAAGTTCCAGAGTTTCTGTTTGGGATCATAAAAAGTTCTAGAGTTTCTGTTGGGATCGTGAAAAAGTTCGAGAGTTTCTGTTTGGGATCATGAAAAAGTCCTAGAGTTTCTGTTTGGGATCATGAAAAAGTTCTAGAGTTTCTGTTTGGGATCATGAAAAAGAAGTTCTAGAAATGGATAGTGGTGACAGTTGCACAACAATGTGAGTGTGGTATTTAATGCCACTGAATTGTACACTTAAAAATGGTTAAAAGGGTAAATTTTATGTTATATATATTTTAACACAAAAAAATTAAATCAAAAAAGTGTTCAAATTAAAAATAAAATCTAACATAGAAAAAAAGACCTAGCACAAACTGTGGGTCACAGTAGGCTTATGTTGTAAGCTTAACTTCACCTCTGCTCTTTCCTTCTGCCTCTCTCTACCCCAGTGTAATATAGAGGACTAATTAAAAGAAAATATTCAGAATTGAAGTAATGCTGAGATACTTCTAACCCAGGATACTGGCAAAAAATAATGTGTGATGATACCCTTTGCTCAAAAATATGTAGGAATAGGACACTTTCATATATTCTATTGAAAAGAAGAATCGGTCAGCCTATTTGGAAAGCAATTGAACAATACTTTATAAAAATATATTTATTAAAATTAAAAATAAGTACACTAAGGCCAGGCACGGTGTCTCACATCTGTAATCCCAGCACTTTGGGAGGCCGAGGCGGGTGGATCACAAGGTCAGGAGATTGAGACCATCCTGGCTAACATGGTGAAACCCTGTCTCCACTAAAAATACAAAAAATTAGCTGGGCGTGGTGGCGGGCGCCTGTAGTCCCAGCTACTCAGGAGGCTGAGGCAGGAAAATGATGTGAACCCAGGAGGCGGAGCTTACAGTAACTCAAGATCGCGCCACTACACTGCAGCCTGGGCGACAGAGCGAGACTCCGTCTCAAAAAAAAAAAAAAAAAATACACTAAAAAATATCTGGTATTAGAGAAAGCATAGACATATATATTAATGGAAAAAATTAGAAAGTCCAGAAATAGACCCAAACAAATATGGTCAGTTGATTTTTTACAAAGGTATGAAGTCATCTCAATGAGAAAAGATGATCCTTTTAGCCAATGTTGTCAAACAATTGGATGTCCATATGCAAATGAATTAACCTCAACCCATGCAGCCTACCTTATTCAAAAATTCACTTTAAAAATGAATCATATGCCAAAGTATAAAATCAAAAACTATAAACCTAAAATTATAAAACACAGAGGAAAACATACAAGAAAATCTCCATGACTTTGTGTTAGGCAAATATTTCTCAGGTGCTGTATCAAAACTATGATCCAGAGAAGACAAAAATTGTTGTTAGACTTTACTAAAAACTTTTTAAAAGCACACTTAAGAGGATGAAAAAAAAAACAGGCTACACACTGGAAAATAATATTTGCAAACACATAAATAACTTGTATCCAGGTTACATAAAGAATTCTCAAATAAGAAAACAAGCAGTTGAATAAAGAAAAAAGGTAAAAGGTTTGAAAAGAATCTTTGAGAAAGAGAAGAAACATAGATGGCAATTAAGCACAGGAAAAGATGTTTGATGACACTTGTCATTAGGGAAATTCAAATTAAATCCACAATGAGATACCAGTAAACACTAGGATGGCTAAAATCAAAATAACAACACCACGTGCTATCAAGGACACAGAACAACATGTACTGCTGGTGGGAATTCAAAGTGGTACAGCCATAGAAAACAGGTGGCAGTTCCTTGTAAAATTAAATATATACTTAGCATACAACCCCGCAATCCTATTTCTAGAAATTTAACCAAGAGAAATGAAACCATACATCCACATAAATAAACTTTACATGAATGTTTATAGCAGTTTTATTTTAAGTGTCAAAAAATGGAAACAACACAAGTGTCTCTCAACTGAGGAATGGATAAATAATCCATTAGTACATCCATAGAGTAAAATACTAGTCAGAATAAAAGGAAACAAATCACTGATATTTGCAACAATGTGAATCGTTTTATAAATGAATGATATGGATGAATTTTGTTATGAATGAATGAGTCTTGTTGTGGATGGATCTTATCATGCTAAGTGAAAGAAGCCAGACTCAAAAGTCTACTCTGTGATTCCATTTCTATGACAATCTAGAAAAGGCAAAACTATAGAAACAGATCAGTGGTTTCAAGGGTGGGAGATGGAGAAGAAATTGACTACAAAAAAAAAAAAAAGTAACTTTCTGAGGTTATGGACCTGTTCTGTATCTTGATTATGGTGTTGGTTATGATCTGTATGTGTCTGTGCAAACTTGCAGAAATCTACATGAACATGGGTTAATTTTACTGTACCTAAATCGTACCTTCATGCATTCCCTTTAATCAGAAATCATGTATGGGAATCTATTCCATAGCATTAAAAAGCACCAATTGCCTGGGCATGGTGGCTCACGCCTGTAATCCCAGCACTTTGGGAGGCCGAGGCTGGTGGATCACTTGAGGTCAGGAGTTTGAGACCAGCCTGGCCAACATGGTGAAACCCCTTCTCTACTAAAAATACAAAAATTAGCTGGGTGTGGTGGTGGGCGCCATAATCCCAGCTACTCGGGAGGCTGAGGCAGGAGAATTGCTTGAACCCAGGAGGCAGATATTGCAGTGAGCCGAGATTGCTCCATTACACTCCAGCCTGGGCAACAAGAGCGAAACTCCATCTCAAAAAAAAAAAAAAAAAAAAAAAAAATCAACACAGAAGCATTGTTTATATTGCATAAAACAGAAACCAGTCTGATGGCCTATCAATAGAAACCTGTTTAATAAATGGTGGTGTAGCCATTTCAAGGAATAGTATTTAGCCATTTAAAAAGGCATACTATTTATGCCAGTTAACCTGGAGGGATTTTAATATGACATTGTTATGCAAGAATAGCAAGATACAGAAAGTCTATATAGAATGATGTTATTTAAAAAAAAATACACCACCATGAGTTAACCTATAGATGAGTTTGTATGATTGTGTGCACATGTATGAAGAAAGGTGTAGTGGGATGGGCACTAGTCTGTTAACATTGATGACTTGAGTTGGGGAGCTGGGAATAGAGAGTCAAGGTGAGTTTGAAAGAAAGGCGGGAGGGAATGGAGGGAGGTCAGGCTCAAAGGATGAAGGAAGGAAGAATGCCTAGAACTAGCCTGAGATTAGCTGTGACTACAGACCTCTCCTTCGCTGTGTTCTCTCCCCTTATTGCTGAGACTTTTTATCAATATCTCAGTCCCACCAGGAGAGGAAGAGAAAGGGATTTCAAAACTTCTCCCAAGGACCTGCAGCCTTCCTACCGCACAAGGGGCTGGGACTGGCATCACTCAGTTCTGCATCCCAGCCAGGATGTAGAAGGAAGCGTGTCTCTTTGCTGTGGGCTGTCTTCCCCCACTCCAGGACAAGGCGAACATCGTGGGGCTGGTGGGAGAGGACCACAGGCAGGAAGAGTTTGGGGAGGAGAGGCAGCTATGAGTAGAGCTGATGTCTTCTTGAGGACAGGAAGCAGTGAGGGCTGCCGAGGCAAAAGCCTCGCTTTCAAAGAAGCTGGAGCAGAGCCGGAGTCATTCTCTGATGAGCTCTGGACACAAGAGTCAGCCAACAAGCCCTGACACTCCCTTACCGTGCACTTAGCTCTGCACGAGTTGCTAAGGAGGAAATATGAGAAAATAGGTCTCATCCACCAGGGAATGGATCTCACAGGATTTACACTTTCATTCGCGGGACAAGAGTATTGCATTTAAAAAGTAAAGAGCACTCAAAGAGTGTTTATTAATACAAATGGAGCTCAGAAGAGAGGGGCCAGGCACAGGAATTTTTGAACTAGTGCCCATGCCCCTCTTTTGTCTTTGCCCTTGCCTTCCCCAGCTCTCACAGGTGGTGGCTTCAATTTCCTTGCCTGGGAGAATTTTGCAGCGGGGTGTCTGAACTTTCCAAAGTTGAGGAGAACGGGACTTGAGGAGTGGGATGTTCCTAGACTAAAATCAGTAATTAGGGAGTGGCCTGTGGGTCCCCAAATCAATAGAAACTTACAACCTGCTCCCCGAAAGCACCTCACACTGAGAGGCTCTCAGAAGGAATGGCTTTTATGGCACAGCAGGGAGGCTGGACCTTGGGCACTGGGCTCACCACAGAAGCCCGTAACTCAAAGGTGACCAGCAAGACACAGCACAGTAGATCCACAGAGGCCACACCTGCCAGGCAGGGGCATCCTCCACTGTGACCAGTAAGGACCCATGGCAAGAGGGGCTGGGAGCCTTTAGCCAACCCAGTGGGGGACCAGAGGGTGACCAAAGAAAGACCTGGGTTGAATTTCTGGACAGCCCAGTATGATGGGGATGTGAAGTCAGCATTGAGCCATTTTACAGAAAAGGAAGAACTATGGTATTGCTTGGGTACTCCAGTTGGTGAACTGAGCATCTTTGCAGTCTTCCGGTCCCAAGAGATCTGGAGGTGGGGATTATGGATGAGGTGGGGTTCAGTCTGACCTTGGGGACAATAACCAGGACTGGGGACAAAAGTAGGGACTAGAGTACAGAATGAGCAAATGTGATCGCCCAGGGGAGCAGGGAGCATGTGACAGGGACAGTGAAGAAACAGGCTTGGCTGGAGCCCAGGGTCCAAATCAGGGAGCAGAAAGAAAGCTACTTTCAATGTCTGTCTTCCTTATCATCAGAACACATCTATCACAGAACACTTGCATGCACAAGAGGTCCGGCTGCCTGTGAGGTCGTAGAGGAGTGAAATGCATGGCTGTGCCTTCCGTGAGCTCATGAGGTGGTTAAGATGATACACGCACATGCAAACAAGCACACCTAAGGCAGAGTGCTGCAGGAAGGACAGAGATCATTCGTGTGCGAGTGTTGATCCAGCCAGGGCTTCTTGAGAGTCTTCTTCACACCATACCAACCACTGCAGATGCAGAGGTGATTAATACAAGGCACCACCCTGGAGAAACGCCCAGAAATCACTCCCAGTGGAGGCAGGTTTCCTAGAACTGGTCCTAGAATGTGTGGCGGGATTTGGTGGGCATCCAGGGAGAAAGCGAGTGCTCCCCCACCTTCGGTACTAACGGCACATGGGGTCAAAGGCCTGGGGAACATCCTAGGTGAGTCAGGGGTGAGGTGGGCAGAGAGGGGGCCAGTCTGAGCAGAAGATCCAAGGGAGAGGAAAGGCAGAAGGGGCTGGAGAGGACAGTTGGGAGGAGATGACAAAATGTCCTGGATGGCACCCGAAGGCCTCTGGGCTTTACGCTGTGGGCCCCTGGAGCTACTGAGGATTTCTGATCTGCAGTGGGGCCTAAATGTGCCCCCACAAAAGCTCCTAACACTTCCAAGGTGAGTGGCAAATGGGACTGGGTGGGGCTGGAGTTTCCACGTGGGGAACGTGTCCCAGCAAATATCATATGTAGCCTGGTTATCTAGTGGCCATCTCTGAGTAGCCTCCCAGACATCCTGCCAGCCATGGACACCAGTGAGAGCCTGAGGACTCTGAGTCCTGAGGGAGCCCACTGTCCTCTGCAATAGGCTGATTTCAGGCATTCCTTTCTCCTTCCAGTCAGACAAGAAAAGATAACAGAGGGTCCCCATCACGGCAGCTTCTGTCCCCATTGTCACCTGAAAAGGGGAGAGTGATGAACCCCTGGGGCCCACAATAAATCTAAGTGCACTCCATGAGTCCCAGGATTACTCAGATGGAGTCTGGGCCAGCTAGGCCTGGTTGACCATCAACTTAACTGCAGGATGCACAAAATGTATCTTCAGGTGCCTCAGGTAAGGAAGGGTGTGGGGGTGTGTGTGTGTGTGTGTGTGTGTGTACCCACAAGGCTCCTGGTCACAGGGTGTTGGGTAATCCAGTCCTGATGCCCAGCCCCACAGCAGCTAAAAGATTGCAACAGGCATTGCCTTTGGATATGCCAGCAAGCAAACTCTCTGCAAGCAGGTCATTGTCCCCATGAACTCTGATGTCATGAACAAATTGCACCACATACTCCCTCTTCTCACAGAAAGTCCTATACAGCTGAAAGAAACCAAACACCAAAAGCAGCCTAGACTTTAGGCTGTGCAGCCATTCTCACCAACACTTAGGTACCCAATAAATGTGTGTTGATTTAATGGTAAAGGGGTAACAAAAAGACCCACCCCAGGGAGTTCTGTAGGACATGCCAGGGCAGAGGAGCTTTCCACACCTTACCTTGGGATGGTGGTAATGGTGGTAGAGGTACTGGTGTTGATGGGAAGAGACAGAAGTTGTGGATTTGCTAAATCAGAATTTGCAGGTTTGGGTTTGCTTTTTTAGGAGCAAAAATTAAAAATTTTAAAAAGCATAGGTTTGCTTTCTTGATGAGAATGAATGGATGAATAAAATAAAGTAGGAAAGAATTTCCAGGCCATTAACAATTAGGCATTAATATTTTCAAAAGCATCCCAGGTGAAGTCAAAGACTGAGAACCAACTGCCCCAAGGGAAGAGTCTCAAAGAGGAGCTTGTTTTCAAACCGAATTACATGCCTGGAATCAATCGATCAACCATTTCTGTAGAACCCACCCTTGAGCCACCACTGCACCCCAGATTCCTGCCTCTTTCTATGGGCTCCATTCCACATCACCCCCTTAAGTGCCCTGCTGCCCATTTGACTGCCAATCCCTTAGCACTTTCTTCCAGCCTCAGGTGTGAAAAACCTACGATCACTACCCACTGTCTAGACCCCACCACCTCCCACCCTGCATGCTTTGGGATCCTCCCCTGACTGCAAGAGGTAAGAAGAGTTTTTCGTTTTGTGTTTGTTTCCCAAGCATACAGGCAGCCAGAAGTAGGGAAAATAGGAGCATATTCAACATGCGACTGCCAGGTGCAAGGGCGAGCACCCGTTGGACCGCCGGCTGAGTACAGCCCTGCCAGGGCACCCTGCACTTGGAATCCTAAAATGCAAATTTCCCCTGTGGCAGCCCTGGCCTCTCCTGCAGGGGGCAGCCACTCTGGAAGGAAAGATGAGATTTAAATTGGTAATCAAGCACTGTACCAAATTGGACTTTGACCTTGTTCAGAATTCCACTGGTCCATGTTCCCTGACCCCCCTGCCCCCTGCTTCTGCCCAATTGTTCCCTTGAGTAGCTGCCTGCCATCCGAGGCAGTCAGGCGGGCTGTCGCCAGCTGCTCCTCCCTGGCTGCCTTCCACCTGGCCAGCTCAGAAAGCAGTGGAAATCAAGAAGCTTTGCCTTTCCAGCTTCTCTTGCTACTTCTGGGCCGGAACCAAGACAAGAGTGGTTTGGATGGGGCCTCGGCCCCGCCTGGGCCTGCTCATAGGGCATGGGAAGAGGGGAGTGCAGCCTCAGCACGTCCGTCACTCTCAGTGCATTCTTGGTTACCAGAGCAATTCCCAGACAAGGCTTGGAATGGCCAGCATGGCCCACCGGCCTGCTGCATCCAGGGCAGCAGCACAGAACCCACACTGATTTCTTCAAGCTCCCTCCACTGCCCCAGAATGCCCTCTGCTCTCACTGCAAAACACCGAGGTTTTGCTCATTTCTTGTGTCTGGAAGGTCTTCCATGTTCTCATCTACATGTCTAAATCCTACCCTTTCTTCCAGGGCTGGGAAACCGCTTGCTTCCTAGAGAGCACCTACCCTCTCCTATAGCCCCACCATTCTTCTCTTACCTCCTCAATCCATGATTCAAATCAAGTATCTGGGGCATTTAATCTTATTTGCCTTGTCCCATTGTTTCAAGTCTCATCTTCCCAACAAGATGGTAAGCTCCCAGGGACTGTGTATTACCTAGATTGGCACTGAGTAGGCCTACTAGGAATTAATGAATGAAAGAATAAATGAATGAGTAAACAGAGTGCTTTGGTCATTGAAATGCTTCCTTTATAAGCCCAGGAATTCTTCCCACCAAGAGAGCTAGCTCTTCTTTGCGTTGGCTTTCCTGGAGACCAAGCCTCTGGTGGAAACTGCCTTCAGTGCCTCCCAGGAAGCCAGGAAATGTCTCACCAGGAGTAACCAGTTAGCCAAGCAGCTGGACTTCTGCCAGTGTGCAGGGCACTAGTGAGTGCAGGGTGCATCTCCTGCCCTCTTTGATCTAACTGGGATGATAGAATGTGCTCACATGAAGCTTTGGTTTCCTGTCAACCTGCAAAGTCATGGCCATGATATGTAAATGCTGAGAGCAACAGGGTATAAGAGGGGCCTGAGCCAGGCCGTCTTAATCAGAGAGCACTCGAAGGACATAGCAAAGAGAGCTGTTGAGTGGAGGCAAGGAAGAAGCCCTCTCCTTCCTCCTCCCCAGCTAGATTCCTTCCCTGTCTACTTCCTCCACTCAGGTCAGCAAGATTCAAAGGATAGGGCCAGGACCAGGGATAAGATTGAGGATGGTCTGGAGGATGGCTGATTGACTCAGGGCATTAATCTAGGGGGCCAGGACCAGGGATTGGCCACATCAGAATGCAGGGTAGCCCCCACGTGTTCACTATTGATCCAAAAGGGGAAACAAAGAGAAAGAGGCTCAAAAAGCCAACCGAGGATGGGTGCAGTGGCTCATGCATAATCCCAGCACTTTGGAGGGCTGAGGTGGAAGAATCACTTGAGGCCATGAGTTAAAGACCAGCCTGGGCAACATAGTGAAACTCCATCTCCACAAAAATCAAAATTAGTCAGGTATGGTGGCACACACCTGTCGTTCTAGCTACTCGGGAGGCTGAGGTGGGAAGATCACTTGAGCCTAGGAAGTCGAGGTTGCAGTGAGCCATGACCATGCCATTGCACTTCAACCTGGCAACAGAGCAAGACCTTGTCTCAAAGAGAGAGCGAGCGAGAAAGTGAGAGAGTGAGTGCACGAGAAAGAGTTACAACACCAAAAGTACAATCTATTTTTTAAAATTGATTAATTGGACTTTATAAAAAATAAAAATAAAAGTCAGCAGGATAGAAGAATAGACAGGCAGGAAAGAAGATGTGGAAAGACAAGTGAGGTGTGAGCTGTTGCATTTTTGACACAGGGAGCCGGGGCTGGTAGGGCTGTTACTGACCTCTGTGCACATGACTTCCTTCTTCAATCTCGGAAGGAAGTCAGGAGCCAGGGGCCACGCTGGGGGCAACCCAGGCAAGGCGCATGCTCTGCAATGCCCCCTTTGTGCCATTACACACCTCTGTCCTCCCTGTGGCAAGGGCAGGAAGCCCTTCAGGTGACAAGAGGCCCATGCTTGTCTTCTGAGGCAAAGGAGAGGGGACTTGGAGCACAGAACATCAAGGGAAGAGGAGTGGGCAGGGACTGGCCTAGAGGCAAGCATGTGGAGTGGGCAAGGCGTGCCTGTGGGCCTGGAGAAACAGGGTTGAGGAGGCTTTCTGGGGCACCCCTAGGGACAAAAGGCCCCCGAGTTTTTCCTCAACAGTAAATCCCCCAAGGCACGGTGTGGGCCCTTCCACCCTGGCTCAGAGCCCTTCCCACTGTGTAAGCAGCGTCATCTGTCATCAGTGACTGAGCTGAGTGCCAGTTCTGCTCCTTTTATTACCCATGCATTCCCAGGAAGGGGCAAGGACCCGAAGCAGAAAGCAGCCCCTGTGGGCTGGCACTGTGGGCACACCTCACAGCTAACGCGGCACCTTTCTTTCCAGAGGATTTTTTTTTGGGGGGGGGGACAGAGTCTTGCTCTGTCACCCAGGCAGGAGTGCAATGGCATAATCTTGGCTCACTGCAACCTCCGCCTCCCAGGTTCAAACGATTCTCCTGCTTCAGCCTTCCAAGTAGCTGGGATTACAGGAATGCGATACCATGCCTGGCTAATTTTTGTATTTTTAGTAGAGATACGATTTCACCATATTGGTCAAGCTGATCTCGATCTCCTGACCTTGTGATCCAACTGCCTCAGCCTCCCAAAGTGCTGGGATTACAGGCGTGAGCCACCATGCCCAGCATTTCCGGAGGAATTTTATACAACCCCCTGTAAGACCACCTATCAATGGCAAAACTGTTGGTCCACAGAGCACGTGTCCAGGCCAGAGACAGCCCCACCTCTGGGGTGCACCTTTTCCTTTCATTTCCAAATGTCCCCCAAGGCCATGGAAGGGCTCTGCTCCCTCCAACAAAGGAACAGCATCCCAAAGCCCGGTGCACACACAGATGAACTTCCTCTCCTATGCAGCCTGAGACGTGGAAATGAGGAAAGCAGTGATTCTCAAAACTGGCAGGGAAGGGCTGTGGGAGAGTTTCATTCATTGTAGGGAGGGTGGATCTGAGAACTGTACACTCTTGAGCATGCACACACGTACGGGCACACACACAGAGCGTAGCGTGGCAGCTGAGAAGCAGTGGAGAAGCACAGAGAGGGAACAGAATGGGGGCCAATTTGGAAGTTGATGTATCCACCGCCGATCACTTCATGCTGGGTTAGAGCTGTGGTTCCTGTACCTGGCTATGTGGCAGAATCACCTGGTGAGTTCAGTAAACATGCAGATTCTCAGGCCACACTACAGTCCTACCAAGACACAACCACATGGGTAGGGAAATGTGTGTGTGTGTGTGTGTGTGTGTGTGTGTGTGTGTGTGTGTGTGTTTCACAAGCTCCCCTGGGAATCGGATGCCGTGTTTCCCTATTCCGAGTTCAGAATTGCTGGATTTAGGTGAGGTTGCAGGCAAATCCGCAATGCTCTTGTTCAGGCCACGGGCCGCCCTCTAAGGACACACTCTGGGCCCAGAACACAGACTGGGCAAACTAGATTCACTCCCAGAGAAGCATCGTGCAGCCTGAATTCCTGCTGTCACGCTCTTGGCCACACTAGCTGGTCACCTTTGGCCCAGATGAATCAACTTTCGCTATTCCATAGGACCTCTCTTCTAGCACTTTGTTGTTTATTTTCACAAGATCAAATATTATGGATATTTAATGATGGAAATCTGAATGCTATTCTCATTCCTGTTTAATGTGTTTGCCCATGAACCTCACCTGCCAGAGGTAATGTGGAAATCCGTCACCCACTGGCTCATTCAAGACAAGCCTGGGGTCATTAAACCATGACCTTATTTTCTTTGGAGCTTCTATTTGCCTAAATTCTTCTACCTTCTGCTGCAAAGGGATTTGAAGAGTGAGGCTTAGACCAGTACCCCTGGGCACAACAGCTGCGCAGAATGAGACAGTGCCTTTGTTTCTCTGTTTTTTTCTACTTAAGCTAAGACACAGTCACAGAAGAAAGAGGATAGCATCTGTGTGGGCTGGAGCCCAGTCCTTGTGATTTACCACTGAGGTCTCGCTCAGGAACAACCCTGGGTCTGAGTCACACGTGGCAGGGCCTTTAAGAGGAGAAAAAATAATTCCTGAAATGAACAAGTTTACATTTTGGCCAGGGAGGCCATGCCTCCCTGAGAGGGAAGCACTCCCTCTCACCCACAAGGTCAGGACTGGTCGATGATGGAAATCGGTGAGAGAGGTTGTGAAGCTGGAGAACATGGAAACGAAGGTTGGGGCCATCCCAAAGTGGGTAGTCAGACAGGAAACTTTATGCTGGGTCTCTAAAGGGCTAAACCCGAGCGGAAAGGTGGAACAAGAAAATATCTGTCCCACAAAGTGAGAAGATTACTTGTCTCAAACTTGGTGCTGAGTCAAGGGGAAACTGTCTTCCCTGAGAATGTGTAGGGAAGGAAGGATGGGCAGAAGGAGGTCAGAAAACTGATACCTACTGAGTGCCCTTTATATGACAGGCACTCACACCACACTACCATAGTTAACCTCACAGATTCTCCCCATTTTTACAGAATAAGAAGCTAAGACAAGAGAGCAGAGGCTTATGGCGTGAGATTGCAGATCCCAAGGTCACTGGCATCATCTAAAGTGAAGAGCTCTGCTCAGACTCTGACTTCTGCTGTCATCCAATGCCCAGAAATGGCCTCCATGTACACCCCTGGAACACGCCTTCTTTCCATTCATCTGGGGCATACTTTGTACTCAGAGACACCCACACCATCGAGACCTTTTGCTCTCACAGTGGGACAGAGTAACAAACCCTACACGGCCTGTCCAGCAGTTTCTGTGTTGCTGCTGTCAGGAACACAGATGTATCTGAGGCCAAGTCCGTATTCTCCGTTAGCTTTTTTTTTTTTTTTTTTTTGAGATGGAGTCTCACACTGTCACCAGGTTGGAGTGCAGTGGCGTGATCTCGGCTCACTGCAACCTCTGCCTCCCGGGTTCAAGCGATTCTCCCGCCTCAGCCTCCCAAGTAGCTGGGACTACAGGCGCATGCCACCACGCCCAGCTAATTTTTGTATTTTTAGTAGAGGCAGGATTCCACCATGTTGACCAGGGTGTTCTCAATCTCTTGACCTCATGATCTGCCCACTTCAGCCTCCCAAAGTGCTGGGATTACAGGCATGAGCCACCGTGCCCAGCCTCTGTTAGCTTTCCTTGTTATCCACGATTCCGCTTTCCATGGTTTCTAAGATCCTCCCATTGAGTACCTGAGGTCCACCGTGGTCTAAAAATATTAAGTGGAAAATTTCAGAAATAATCCAAAAGTTTTAAATTTCTCGCCCTCTGAGTAGTGTGATGAAATCTCACACCATCCTGCTTCATCCCACCTGGAACATGAATCATCTCTTGTCCGGCATAGGCTGCCCCCTGTTTTAGTCACTTAGCATCAGGCTCAGATTGTCTGGGTAGCAGTCAGATCTTATCATATCACTGTGTCAGTATGAAGTATCAGTGCTTGTGTTCAAGTAACCCTTCTTTTTACTTAATAATGGCCGGAAAGTGCAAGAGTAATGATGCTGGCATATTAATTGTTCTATTTTATTATTTATTGTTATTAATCTCTTGCTGTGTCTAATTTATAAAGTAAACTTTACCATAGGAATGCATGTATAGGGCTGGGCACGGTGGCTAACACCTATAATCTTATCACTTTGGGAGGCAAAGGTGGGAGGATCACTTGAGGTCAGGAGTTTGAGCCCAGCCTGGCCAATATGGTGAAACCCCTTCTCCATTAAAAATACAAAGTTAGCCAGGCATGGTGGCAGGCACCTGTAATTCCAGCTACTTGGGAGGCTGAGGCACAAGAATCCCTTGAACCCGGGAGGTGGAGGTTGCAGTGAGATTGTGAGATCATGCCACTGCACTCCAGCCTGAGCGACGGAGCAAGACTCTGTCTGGAAAAAAAAAAAAAAAAAAAAGGAATGCATGTATAGGAAAAAAATCATATATAGGGTGTGGTACTAACCACAGTTTCAGGCATCTACCGAAAGTCTTGGAATGTGGATCCCCCTGAGGATAAGGGGGGACGGCTATAGTCACAAAGTTAAAGAATCTCAGTGCTGAAGGGGATCCCAGTAAAGCTCATCTGGTCCAAGCTTCTGTTTTCTCCGGGGGAACTGAGGTTCTGAGAGAGGATGGAGTCCCAGCATAACCTGACAATGCAGAAGTCAGGACTAGATGCCAAGGAGTGCATTCCAGGCAAGAAGGTTGTGAGAGTGAGTGTGCATACGTGTGTGTCACACACACTGAAGTTGGGGGAAGGTCAGGGGCCAGAGCAGGGGTGCTGTGGCTGCAGACAAGTTTAAAATAGGGAAGGGCCTGGGAGAGCACCAGGTCCCTGAGTGAGTTGTTCAGAATGGGTCCATCACGTTTGCAGGGAGCTTCTAAACACATTTGGCCTGAGGCGTGGCATGAAGAGGTCTTATAACTGTGTGAAGGAACATTGTGCAGAAGAAAAAGATGCGAAGGAAACCTCCTAAAAGCCAAGCCTTGGGACAGAGGTCTCTAACTGGAGACATCAATTAGGAGACGCGATCCAGGTTAGAGCCAGAGGGGATGCATTACCAAGTTCCACTAGGAAAAGGTAACTGGGATCAGAGAAGAACATGGGGGGAAAGGTGGAAGGAGCAAGAACGCATTAGTAAAGGAGAGGCCTTACAAATGATGTAAGGGCTAAAAAAGAATACAAACATAAAAAATAAATAGAAAGGTAGAGGCCACAAGCCAACCTTCCAAGGAGTCATCCCAACTGTTCAAAACCAGGAACAGCAAGGAGCCATAGAGAAGCCAAGAAGCCATTCCGCAGCCTGTGGTCACAGCCACCAGAGCAGCCTGAAGGCCCACGTGGCACTGCAGCTTCCAAGCTCCCGGCTGGGGGTGAGGTCAGTTTAGCCTATGTCACTGCTACAGCCTCTCGCCTCCTTTCTCCCCAGCCTGCCAGGTCCTCTAGGGTCTGTTTCCCTGAAGCTTTGTGCTAGGAGATGGGGAGCATGGCGTCCACCCTCATGAGGGCTACAGAGCCCCGCCCGGCGGTGGCAACATTCACACACCCAGCCCTTCCTTAAAAACCCTCCCTCCTTGCCCAGCCCTCCCCTCAGTCACCACTTCTTGTCAGGGGACTTCAGCTGTTAAATCAACTCTCTGATGAGGTGCCCGACCCAGATCTAATCTCAGGAAAAGGTCAAGATGATTTTCCTGTTTGGGTTCAGCCCCAAGGGCATTCTTGGAGAGGAATCTGCCAGCATCCTGCCTTGACAACCGTTCATTATTACAAAGTCGCAAACATGAATAAAACATGTTCATTTCTAAAAGAGAAAACCTGCTCCGTCTCATGCCTCTCTCCTCCCTCCCCCATTTCTCTCTCTCAATCTCTCTCTCTCTCTCCTTTCCAAACCTGCTCTCAGAGGATGGGGAAGAAATCATGGGTTCCAAGGAGCGTCCTGTACTCATCAGTCACCACACAGAGACAAGCACACACTTCAGTCACAGACTCCTTCTGGCTTGAGCTGCTCATTGAGGCACAGGAAAGGGAGAGGGGGGCACACTAAGTCTCACCCACTCAGTTTAGGTGTCTGGAGACAGCTGGGTTGAGCTCAGGAAAGATGTCCAGTTAGGAATGAGGGATTGGTGGTGGTTTGTATATTATGTTGGAGAAACAGCTGAGAGTGAATGTAGGAAAAAGAGAGAGAGAAGAGAGTGTTTAGGATGCAAGAACAGAGCCTGGTAAAGGAGACTGAGGAGAGGAAGTTGGAGACCCAGGAAACCACGAACAGGTGTGGATCACAGACCGTAAGAATGGGATTTTTTTTTTCTGAGAAACAAGAGGTCACCCATTGTGGAAAGCAGTGTGACAATTCCTTGAAAATCTAAAAGCTGAACTACCATTTGACCCAGCAATCCCATTACTGGGCATATACTCAGAGGAATATAAACTATTATAAAGATACATGCACACGAATGTTCATTGCAGCACTATTCGCAACGGCAAAGACATGAAGTCAACCCAAATGCCCATCAATGATAGACTGGATAAAGAAAAGGCGAAACCTGGGGGGTAAGGTAAAAATTTTTTTTCAAAAAAAAAAAAAAAAAAGAGAGAAAATGTGGTACATGTACACCATGGAATATTATACTATGCAGCCATAAAAAATGAAATCATGTCTTTTGTGGGAACATGGATGGAGCTGGAAGATGTCATCCTTAGCAAACTAAAGCAGGAACAGAAAACCAAATTACCACATGTTCTCACTTATAAGCGGGAGCTAAATGATGAGACCCCATGAACACGAAGGAAACAAAAGACACTGGGGTCTACTTGAGCGTGGAGAGTGGGAGGAAGTGGGAGGAGGGAGAGGGAGGAGGGAGAGGAGCAGAGAAAATAACGATTGGGTACTGGGCTTCATACCTGGGTGATAAAATCATCTGTACAACAAACCCCTGGGACAAGAGTTCACCAATACAACAAACCTTCACATGTACAAAAAAGAGGTCAAGAGAATTGTCTTGACCTCTGTCAAGAATCTATCTAGAAGGATGAACATTGGCCCTACCCACAGGCATCTTGGCACCTCACTGAGAGCAGTGTTGGTCCTGAGGAGAAGGACAAGCCAGACAGCTGTGAGTTAAGGCAGGAATGAGAGGTAAGGTAGTGTGGAAAGGGCAAGTTTAGAAAACACCTTCCAGAAGGTATGAGAAACAGAAAGGTAGCAACATAGGGCTGTGAAGGCAAGGCAGCGGGAAGGAAGTTTATTTATTCATTTTTTTAAATGAATGAGGTTTGAAAATGTTAAATGCAGATAGAAAAAGCTAGCCCAGAGGGGAGGTGTTAAAGATATATGGGAGACAACGTTTGGTGGGATGAGCAGGTTGTGGAATCCAGGGCACAGTTAGCAGGGAAGGGTCTTTCTCTTTGGCGAAGGCCTATTTCAAATCAAGGAGAATGTCTAAGGCATCACAGGGGTGACAGACTTGCAGTCCCTTGGGCAACTGCCTTCCAAGGCATGTAGCCAGCCCCAGGAAGCATCGGATCTGGCCCATGACATAGCAGCTTCTCTCCAGAGGGACTGCTCGAGCTCTAGGAGGATGCATTCTTCTCACAGCTCAGACTGATGAATTCATGCCTTCAGGCTACCAGCTCATGGAGGCAAAAACATGGATCTCCATGGAAATGCACAACTGGCTTGGTGTGGCTCTGCAGATGCCCTCGGCTGGTGCAGGCACCCACAACAGATTTCTGGGACTCTCCCAACAATACCCTAAACCCCTGTCACACGCGTTGGTACCTCCCTAGTACTAGCTATCGCATTCCACCACAGATCACAGCCATCCAAGTGGCTCTGTTCATTGTTCTTTACCGTAAGTTCCTTAAGAGCAAAAACCTGATGGTTTTGATTTTTGTATCTTTGTTCAAAATTGCTCTCTGTGTGAAACGGATTGTATTTTGGCTGAATTCTACCATCCTCGTTCCAACATTTTGGCTCAGCCACCACTCAGAGATGGCCCCAGGAAGCCACCACCCCCTGCCCTGGCACTGGCCTGCTTCACAGGAGTGTTTTAACAAGATGATGGCTAGGGATTTCTAACCCAACCTACCCCACTCCCAGCAGCCAGATACGAAAGGAGAACTCCAGATTTTCAACCCTTTCCAGCTCAGCTGCCTCCCTTCCAAAAAAGAACTTCTGGGAGTTTGTGCGATCCCAAGTCTGCAGCTTCCATTGTCCAGCACAGGACTCCCTGGCCTATCCCCTTTATTAATTCAACCTCCAGGAGTGCTCCGAAGAGATGGCCACATTCCAATCACGTCGTAACTGGGGAAACAATAAAATGCCTGACTGGCTATAAACTGTCGCAGAGATAAAGGCCAGTTCCTGATCATTCCCCAACAATGGCCTTCTGGAGGGACTGGGAGTGCAGTCCCAGGAACACTTGGTTTGCTCACTCAGCAGAAATTAGAAAAACATTGCCAGCAATTTCTTTTTTTTTTTTCTTTGAGACAAGGTCCCGCTCTCACTCGGGCTGGAGTGCAGTGGCACAGTCATAGTTCACTGCAGCTTCGAATTCCTGGGCTCAGGCAATCTTCCTGTCTTGGCCTCCCAAAGCACTAGAATTACAGGCATGAACCACTGCACCCAGCCCCACATTGCCAGCTTTGAAGCCCCAACTGGCTCTAGCTCAGGGAAGAATGGGCAAGAGACACAAGGCAACAGATGGTGCTGCCAAGCTGGAGGGCCCCCAAATTGAGCAGAAAGCACCCTACACCCACAAACACCCCACACCCCTTGCAAGCCAGTGTGGTCTGCTTTAGCAGATATCAGGTAGGAAGAGTCCAGCTGGTCTGTAATCAAAAGAGTCAACTCTTACATCAGAACAGCATGTGCCAGCTCCTCAGGCCCTTCCACATTTTTATTTCATTTGATCCTCAAAACAAGCTAGGAAAAGTATTATCGTTCCCATTTCATAGATGAGAAAACTGAGACCGGGGTAGCTGAAGCATGCATGGATCTCAAGTAGCAGAACCACTCAGGTCTTCTGACTCTTTTTTTTTTTTTTTTTTTTTTTTTTTTGAGATGGAGTCTCACTCTGTTGCCCAGGCTGGAGTGCAGTGGCACGATCTTGGCTCACTGCAACTTCTGCCTCCCAGTTTCAAGCAATTCTCTGCCTCAGCCTCCCGAGTAGCTGGGGTTATAGGCACCCACCACCACGCCTGGCTAATTTTTGTATTTTTAGTAGAGATGGGGTTTCACCATCTTGGCCAGGCTGGTCTTGAACTCTTGACCTTGTGATCCACCTGTCTTGGCCTCCCAAAGTGCTGGGATTACAGGCTTGAGCCACCGCACCCAGCCCCTGACTCCTTAATTCACAGCTTTTTCCTAAAAAGTGCACGGCCTCCCCTTTACAGAGTGTAGTTTTTGCATCTGAAGTTATAAACAGACTCTGAAGATGCTGTAATTCTTTCATGCTCTCCAAGCCCATTTGGCAACAGTGTATCAGAAAAGGTCTCTTCCATTTCAGGATATAAGAACACTTCCTGGAACAAGCTCTGAGCAAGTCACAAAACATGCTCTCCCTGCCTGATCTGAGCCAGGTGGGGAAAAACATTGCCCTGGGATCCCCAGGCTCTCCAGCCGGCCTGATGGAGGTGGTCTGGGAATACATCCCACTGCAAAAGTAAAAGGACCCAGAGCACAGAGCTCCCTGTTCAAACAACCAATCTGAGCTTCCTTCAGAGTCAGATTGAAATGGCAAATTTCAATATAAATAATTTAGGAAACGTGAAAACCACTTTGTTTTTTCAGCTTACAATTTATCCAGCCAATCACCAAGTATGTTAGGGGCAACCCCTCTTTGCCCAGCCCAAGGCTAGGCACAGACAGAGAGGCAAATGCCTTTAGAAAACAGGCCCTTTGCAGAGCCCAGCGATGCATCATCTTCTCTTCTTTCCTGCCTGAAACTTCAAGGCTAAAGAAAAGAGAGAACAGAGTTTTATCAGAATCTCTGCTCCACCCACCAAGACTCAAAACCAGGCCTTCGTGGGTTAAGCTCTTCACGGTGCCAATTGCAGGCAGAAGCTCCTTCAATGCTTTGCTGTAGAACAGAGAGAAGGATGCACCAGGAAGGGCACCCAGGAGGCTGCCTTTTCTCCCTGCAGTTTTGGGTCTGCTCTGGTGCTAGATTACCTTGAAAGGTTGGTTACAGCACAGGGTAGAACCAGAGAGTTCTCAGCCCACCTCATTGGCCTATGGGCTACTTTCAGGGCAGGTCTGAACTGGTCTAGTCCAAACAACCACTTCTCATTGGAGCACATATACATGGCTCTACCTAAACCTCTAATCACCTAAGACTTGCTGTGGTCATCCTCACTCCTCAATGGGATGGCAAGTGGCCTGGGGGCAGGGAGGGAGGCAGAGCCCTTTGCCCTCCAAAGAATCCCTCCTTCCCTCTCAGTTGCTTAACATTCTTCCAGGCCCTTCTGATGAAAACCCACTCTCAAGAACGGACCTGAAAGCAGAATCAGAGCCACCGAAAGCTGGAATGACACCTTGATTTTCCAGATGAGGAGACTGAGATTATTACAGCACTTAAGATGTGTCCCCGCCCCTGCAACTCACACTTACAGAGACCAGGAAAATTCTAGGCATCAGTGAGGAGGGAAATATTATTTGTGAGTGGTTAGCACCTATTTGTGAAATCAACACTGGTAACTTCTGCTTCCCTTTTAAGATTCTTCATGGCCCGGTAAGGACAAGACTCAGCACACCCTTGCCACCCACAACACCAGTTATGGGAACAAATAAGTAAGCTATTCTGGGTCTATGTACCTGAGGGGAATGTGCTTGAGCTCGCACTTAAGCATCTATTCACAAGACATTGGCCTTAGGTCAATGATCAGAGCAACCTCAGATCCCTTTGCTCTTGCACCATTTTTCTCGGTTACACCAGAGTCACCATATGTCCTTCACCTCCAACCCCAGGACACTCACAGTTCACCCCAGGTAGGCAGTGACTGGCAGCAGGAGCCTTTATCCAACACCTTGCTCACACAAGCTGGTTCAAGAGACATCTATTGAGCACGTATTTTGTGCCAGGCCCTGGGATAGGTGCAGGCGGCTGAAGTCACAGAAGGCCTAGTCCCTATGCTCCCCACAGTCTCGTGGGGGAAGATGCATACACAACCAGCAACCCCAGCTAACCATGTGGGTGCTTTGCTAAAGCTCTTCAGAGGACTGCGGGGCTAAGACAACAGTGTGCAGCCCAGACTGAGGTGAGCAGGGGTGCCAAGGGGAGGCTGGGGAGCAGTGAGCAGGGGTGCTGAGGGGTAGCTGCAGGGCAGACATCCACCTACAGCCAATTTCAGTAAAATGTGGAAAGTGAAAGGACAGAGACATGTACAAAATCTGCCTTAAAACAGAAGCCTTCCCTACACCTGTCCCTTTTTTCTTCATTTTATTATCTCCTATCCTTCATAGCAGGGTTTTTTGAAAGTATTATCCACACTCATTCCCCACTCCATTGAAATTGTTCTATAATCACCAGTCACCTCATCATTGATGATCCAGACAGCTCACCTGCATCTTAGAAGCCCCCTAATGTATCTGGGTCTCTTGGTTACTCTCTCCTCCTTTCTTGGCCTCCCTCTCCCTACCCCGCCTGCCTCCCTGGCTGCTAACTCCTTGGTGGTTCTCTTTTTGGTTCTCTTCTTTTTTCATGCTACTCTATTTCCCCAGGGTCATTGTATTCGCATCCAGCTTCAACTACCACCCACCCCCCCCAACCCCCATTGATTAAAACAGTTTCCTGAGTGCCTATAATGTCCCAGGCATTGTGCTAAACACTTCATGTACGTTATCTTGTTTAGTCTTCCCATAATCTTACAAGATAGTACTTAGACTCCTTTTTAACAAACAAGGCAAACAACACACAGACAGAGCGTATGTTATGTCTTCTTCGAATGTGTATAATTAGGAAGAGGCAAAGCCAGGATTCAAATTCAGCTCGGTCTCCAAAACATCTTCTCTAAGGCACCAGGTTTCACCACCTCCAACATCAAGGTCTCTCCTTCAGTCCAGACCCATATGTCTGGACTAACTCCTGGGAGCTAACTTCCCAGGAGTTAGCTCCACCAAGCCAATCCACAGACACAGAAAGCAGAGGGGTGGCTGCCACTCTGTGGATATCTTTCCCAGGGGAAAACCTGTCAGGAAGAGAGCTTCCCTTCCTCCACCATGACTGTGCTTTCTATGTCTCCTCGGTC
This sequence comes from Homo sapiens, assembly GCF_000001405.40. Lineage (NCBI taxonomy): Eukaryota > Metazoa > Chordata > Mammalia > Primates > Hominidae > Homo > Homo sapiens. The sequence continues at coordinate 49,615,358 of NC_000018.10, read as the reverse complement.
TCCATTCCCATGGCACCACCATGTACCCTGGCTCCAACCCCAGGTATTGAGCTGGAATCATCCCCAAACCCCCTCTTCCTCACAGCTTCCTTTCTCTCCCCACTGTCCCTGCCTTGGTCTCACTCCTCAGCAGTTCTGATACCTTCCTAGTCTCCGCATTTCCAGACACCCCAATAGTCTGTTCTCCACACTGCAGCCACTCTGATATAGTTTGGATATGTGTCCCTGCCCAAATCTCATGTTGAATCGTAATCCCCAGTGCTGGGGATGGGCCTGGTGAGAGGAGTTTGGGTCAAGAGGGCAGATCTCTCCTGGCTTGGTGCTCACCTAGCAATAGTGAGTTCTCTTGAGATCCAGTTGCTGTACAGTGTGGCACCTTTCCCCAAGCTCCCCGCCATGGGAAGGGCCTGCTCCCACTTTGCCTTCAGCCATGAGTAAAAGCTCCCGGAGGCCTCTCCAGAAGCAGAGGCCACCATGTTTCCTATATAGCCTGCAGAACTGTGAGCCAATTAAATCTCTTTTCTTATAAATTACCTAATCGGTTATTTCTTTTTTAGTGAAGTTTTATTATTATTATTATTATTATTATTATTATTATTATTATTTGAGATGGAGTTTCGCTCTTGTTGCCCAGGCTGGAGTGCAGTGAGGCGATCTTGGCTCACTGCAACCTCCGCCTCCCAGGTTCAAGCAATTCTCCTGCCTCAGCCTCCTCAGTAGCTGAGATTACAGGCACCTGCCACCATGCCCAGCTAATTTTTCTTTTTCTTTTTTTTGTATTTTTAGTAGAGATGAGGTTTCACCATGTTGGCCAGCGTGATCTTGAACTCCTGACTTCAGGTGATCCACCCACCTTGGCCTCCCAGAGTGCTAGGATTACAGGCATGAGCCACCGCACCTGGCCCAGTCGGGTATTTCTTTATAGCAACTCAAGAACAGCCTAACGCACATTCTCTTTCTAAAACATAATTCTAACCACATGACCCTCTCATTAAAATTCCTCACTGGTTGCCCAGTGCCCTCAAGTCAGCTCCTAAACTCTTTAGCTTGGAAGACAGAGCCTTTTAGGACCCACCCAACCTCGGGGTCTCCACTTTGCCTCTCTGCCTCTCCATGGCCCAGCTATGCTCCATCGTCTAGCCATAGCTGAATGACCTTAGCTACCTGTCGTTCCAAGAAAGCCTCAAACCCTTCCCGCTCATGTGATTTTGTACATGCCTTTCCCTGTCTGAAACAGCTGTGTGATAAACCCCTACTCATCCTTAATAATGTTCAGATGTCACCTCCTCCAGGAAGCCTTCCTCAGCTCCTCCCCACCTGCCTGCCCTTCCCGGGCACATTACAGTGCTCTCTTCTCAGAAACCCCAGAGCATTCAGTACCTCCCTCTATTCACTGGAATACACAGCAGCTCACTCAGCTGTAACCTCTGCACCCCCGCTGGGCTGCACACGCCTCATTCCAGGTGGGGCCTTATTAATCTTTGTATCTCCAGGCTTGGCACTGTGCCTGGCAAATAGTTTCTTTAATAGATATTCATTGGTTGGTTGATTGATTTATTAAATATAAAACAAGGTCCCCTGTAAAGGAACTGCAATTTAGAGGGGAAGCAAAACCAATCCCGGATGAGACAATAAAAGATAATGCCAAGAGCTAGCAAGTTGTTCTGACCACAAGGAGCTGTAGAAATTTGCAGGAGAAAGATATTTGAAAGAGCTCGAGCGGCCCATGCAGCAGGTTTCCTGGATGAGGAGAGCATTCATCAATGCACAAGCCTGGGCCAGGGCTCCACCTACACCTGGTTTCTGATCGGAAAGTAGCAGCATTAGGAGCCAGCATCGGTGCCAACAGGCACCCAGGGTCCCTTCCACATAATTAGCATGTCTCTGGGGGAGGCCTGAATCCCACAGTCTGGGATGTAGACAAAGAGAGTCTGTTCCAGTTATGCTAATTGCTGCCTCTCTCCCACAGGGGATGGGGCTGTGAGAGATTCCAAGAGGCAGCCAAGCGATGGGGAATTCCTTAGCTCCTGCTTCCCCTGCTCCTCCAGCCGCCTGCACCCAGAGGGGGGCCTGCCCTCCATCACCAGGAAAAGCTGTAGGCAGAGCTGCATCCATATGGGAGGTGGGATTTGAAGACCAGGCAGCTTCCTACCGAGGAGCCTCAAAGCTTAAAATTCCACTTTAGAAACAGTGCTTTCTCCAGAATGCCGCTTTTTAAATGCAAATGACCCTGAAAGAAGTAACACATGACGTTCCTAACACTTACCAAGGTTCCTGGGCAGCTTTTCCAAGGGACCTGAGGGCAGCCAGGATGGCAGGTGCCCTGAGCTGTAGAGGGAATGCAGGAAGACTGGAGGCCCTGGCTCACAAATCCACTCCTGCCACAAATGTGCCCCCCACTCCCGTTAATGCCCAGTGGCCCATTGCTAAGCTGGCCCTTCCCTGTGCCACCCGGGCTGAATAACTCTCTCATCCTTAGCAGCACCCACCATCACATTCCTAAACGTCTCTGGTCAGGGACTGTCTCTGCTCGGTATCAGCAATTCCCAGAGGCCACAGGCGGTCTTCCGCTGCTCTACTGAGGTGCTGCTCCAGGGTTGGGAAGCATCTGGGAGGGACTAGAAGCACTTGATAGCCCTCCACAGTGGTTCTCAAGTTCCAGTGTGCATCGGCATCACCTGGAGAGCCTGCTAAAACAGACTGCTTGGGGAGGCGGAGGCAATGGGTGACGTTGGTCAAAGAGTACAGAGTTTCAGTTAGACAGGATGACTAATTTCTGGATGTCTATTGCACAGCACGGTGACTACAGTTAATAATCTTAATAATCATGTATCGTATACTTGAAAGTTGCTAAGAGTAGATTTTAAGTGTTCTTTTCACATACAAAAGATAACTATGCGAGATGATGAACATATTAAATAGCTTGATTGTGGTCATTTCACAATGTATATATACATGTTATGTATCATGAATGTATACAATCATGCTTTTTAAAAAAACATTGTTGAGCTCCACCCCCAGAGTTCCTGATTCAGTAAGTCTGAGATGCGGCCTGATAATCTGCATTTCTAACAAGTTCCCAAGTGATACTGATGCCCGTTGAGGACTCACACTTTGAGAACCACGGCTATGTAGCCTTGCTACACAAGCTGCAGTCTGCAGACCAGCATCCCTGGCATCATCTGGGAGCTGGTTAGAAATGCAGAATCAGAAGCTCCCGTTTAGCAAGGTCCCCAGGTGATTTGCATGCACATTCCATTCCGAGAGGCCTTCCCTAAAGTAGTGCTTCTCAAAGTGTGGTCCAGGCCGCCTGCATCACAATCATCAAGGAGCTTGTTGATAATGAAGATGCAGCCGGGCACGGTGGCTCACGCCTGTAATCCCAGCACTTTGGGAGGCCAAGGCAGGTGGACCACTTGACGTCAGGAGTTGGAGACCAGCCTGGCCAACATGGTGAAACCCCGTCTCTACTAAAAATACAAAAATTACCTGGGCGTGGTGGCAGGCACCTATAATCCCAGCTACTTGGGAGGCTGAGGCAGGAAAATTGCTTGAACCCACGAGGTGGAGGTTGCAGTGAGCTGAGATCATGCCACTGTACTCCAGCCTGGGTGACAGAGTGAGACTCTGTCTCAAAAAAAAATTTTGAGATAAAAATAAAAGTAATGAAGATGCCCAGCCCCACCCCAGGTCCCCTGACTCGGAACTTCTGCAGACAGAGGTCAAGAAAGTGCATTTTAACAGCCCTCCAATAATCCTTACGACTACCACCATCAGCACTGTGTCCATTTTGGCTGCTCATTAGAATCTCCTGCAGTGCTTGTCCAGGCTGTACCCCAGAACAATTAAATCAGGCTCATTTTGGGGACACCCAGGCAATGGCATTTTTTAGAAGTCCCTCAGTTCATTCCAATGTGCATTTGAAGTCGAGAACTTCTGGTCAGCAGCAGCATCCTCTTGACAGCAAGTGTTTGAACATTTACCCCAGGTTACTTTACATCAGAGCTTCTCAAATTTGGCTGCAAATCAGATTCCCCTGGGAAGCATTTTACGTTTTATTTTTTAAGATGAAATTCAGTTATCTTGGGTGTATACCTAGGAATGAAATTGCTGGGTCATATAAAAACTCCACATTTAACATTTTTGGAAATGCCAACCTGTTTTCCAAAGCATCTGCACCATTTTACATCCCCATCAACAGTGTATGAGGGTTCTGAGTTCTCCACGTCCTCACCAACACTTCTTTTCTTTTCTTTTTTTTAATATATCCATTGTGGGGGCACAAAATATACTACAAAATGTGGCACTTTGACATACAAATTAAGAAGCTGGCTTAATGTCTCTCTGACCTTCCCCCACCTCTCCTGTCTTTCCCAAAGCACAGGATGAGGCTATTCTCTGAAATTTCCTGAACTACCTAGAAACTGGGCCTGCTAAAGAGAAACACAATTGCCTTTGATCCTTTCACTAAAATTACATTAACCGGAGAAGATTAAAATTCATGTCACAGAGGAAGAGACTGATAATTAAACACCACACCTACAGTCCAGACCAACTTTGCTCTAAACTATTGTTTGTTCTCCAGTACCTTCAATTTACAAACAGAATCCTTCCCAAGCTAATTTCTGTCTCCAAGGTCCATTCATCTCTCCTAAATCATTTACCCCTACGCCCCCTGTCTCCCCTTACCCTATGTAAAAGAGTATGAAAGCATCTGGACCTCAGTGGGTTTTTGGGTAATTATTCTCCTGCGATTCCCCCATGCTTAGGCACATCAAGCAAATTTGTATGCCTTTTTTCCTGTTAATCCATCTACTGTCAATTCACTTCAACAGCCTTAGACTCAAATCTTCAGAGGGAAAGTTTGAAATTCTCCCACACCGTCCTATTAGGTGTGAAGTGTATCTCTCAGCTTTGATTTGCATTTCCTTAATGATATTTAATATCTTTTTCTGTACTTATGGGCCACTTGTAAATCTTCCTTGGGAAAATATCCATTCAAATATTTTGCCTATTTTTAATTGGGTTGTCTTTTTATTTTTGAGCTGTAAGAGCCTGGAGGGCTATTAAAGTCATTCATACTTGGGCTTCAAAACAGTTCAATTAAATCAGAACACTGGAGTGGGCCTGGGATCAGTATTTTTTTAAATTCCCCTGATCTGTAGTCAGGGTTGGAAATCACTGGTTTATGCCATCTGGCCACGCAGGAACAGAGATGCCACGTAACAGCCCACATCATTTATGAGCTCACCCGATCACCATCAGGCCTGTCTGGGCCTGTTCCTCATCATACATTAAGTGCCTTTTTTGTGCCAACCACAGTGTTAAAGTGAGGAGAGGTGGAAGTCAAGAGCAAATGGAGATAAATAAGATGCAGCTACTGTGTATAAGAGCCTTCAGCCTCATAGAGAAGATGGGCCCCGCACAAATCATTACAACACAAAGTGCTCCAATGGATACATGTGCAGAGTGTCAAAGGGCTTCAAGAAAGAGAAAAGCAACTCATTCCTTCCTGAGTGCATCAGTATCACTGAAGGTGGGTTGATGGTCACCCGGGCCTCTGCTCTAAGGACAGTCCCCTAGCAGCAGACAGAGTTAGCACCCATGGGAGCTTGTTAGAAATGTAGAGTCCCAGGCCCCACCCCAGACTTACTGAATCAGAATCAAGTTTAACTAGGTCCCCAGGTGACTCATGTGTACATTAAAGTTTGAAATGCACTGACCTCAAGTGATGTCAATTAAGAAGCATCCAGAACATCTGCCCACCTAAAACAAAATAAAAGCTACTGCAATGAGCTCATTAAATTGTTCCATAAGGTAACTGACTTCCTCTCTGTATCCCACATATTAAATAACTCTTAGTCATATATATCTTAGCAGGAATTTACCAGAATGGTTTCACCTATGCCATTCTCTTTCTGAAGCTTCTCTGCCAGCCAAGTTACTAAGGAACAGGAGTTGGAACCAGATTGAGGCAATATTGGCACTTGGGACACAAGCACAGTTGAAATTGAAGTATAGCAGCAACAGAGAAAGCAGAAAACAGCTCAGTGATTTCCTTCAAAGCCAGTCCTTACTTTACAATTTTATAGCCGATTTGTAGAGGCAAGTGTCTTGCCCAGCATCACACAATAAATTACTGGCCGGCAATAGCCAGTTTAAAATTTGGGTGAAATGACCCATTTGACTCTATTCAACACATTAGATCATACCTGATCTTGATCCTTCAACAGGCTAAATCACAACCTATCCCCTGACTGTGGGGCTTTCCAAGGTTGAATGATCCACGCCCCAGTCTCATATTGGGTTACATCTAATTCCCAAGTATCTTCCTACATAAAAGGTCCCACGTCTTCCCAGAGGTGATTCAGCCCAGTGTTTTGTGAGCTTTGCTGCTGGAGAAATCTTTTCATTTAACTTAAATGCCATATGCCACAATGGGAGATGAGAATTCTTAGGGGCAACTGATTTCCTTGTGCCAGATTTCCATGCTGAAATGCCAAATGAGATCCTCCTGCTCTCAGCCCCTCAGTCTCACAGACTAAGACCCCAAATGAGACCTCAGGTGTAATGCTCAGTGAGGGGTGAAGAGATGTGTGAATATACAGTATGGCTGGTTCTATTAAAGCCTTAATTCAAAATCCCTTTGGGCCACTGCCAAAAGCCCTTCTGAGCTCCAAATCCTAAGACTTAAGCCTAACTCTTTTCTTCTCTTCCCCCTCACTGACTGGGCATTAACAAAGAGCCAGGAACTTCAGAATTTGTCCATTCAAGTATCAAGTGCCTACTCGCTTCAGCCTCTGCAGTGTCCAGGCCAGGCCCCCTCCTTATCTCCCTACACAGCCCTCAGCTGTGGTCCTAGGAGCACTCCAGGAGGTACAAACTCAGCTGCAGCTTCCCTCCTTCAACACTCAGAATCTTACACATGGGCTCTCCTTACTCATTTTTAACCACTTTATTGAGATAGCATTAACATACCATACAATTTGCCCATTTAAGAGTACAAGTCAGCAGTAGTTAGTATGTTCACAGAGTTGTACAACCATCAGTACAATCCATTTCAGAACATTTTTATCACACCAAAAAGAAACCCTGTACCATTTAGCCGTCACTCCCTTATGTCCCTCACCCAGCCCTAGCCCCAGTCCCTCAACCAAAGGAAACCACTAATTGACTTTCTGTCTCTATAGATTTGCCTATTCTGGACGTTTCTGTTGTTGGGGCTCAGAAAACAATATCCAAAAATGAAGGCCTCAGATGCAACAGTTTTCACTGACCTTATCCTGCCCTCCTGTCTCTGGCCTCTCATTCTCTCCCCTAGGCTAGCCATAGAAACTAGACTCCCTCTTCCCCAAGGAGGGTCATAGAAACCAGAACCCCTTTCCCCAAAGCCAGCCATAAAACCTGAAGATATCATATTACTCTAACTTTCTCCCTGCCTGTCTGTGTAAAAACTGCTCATAAAGAATTATCTCAGCCGGGCGCCGTGGCTCATGCCTGTAATCCCAGCACTTTGGGAGGCCGAGGTGGGTGGATCACGAGGTCAGGAGATCAAGACCATCTTGGCTAACATGGTGAAACCCCATTTCTACTAAAAATACAAAAAATTAGCCAGGCGTGGTGGTGGGTGCCTGTAGTCCCAGCTACTCGGGAGGCTGAGGCGGGAGAATGGTGTGAACCCAGGAGGCGGAGCTTGCAGTGAGCCGAGATGGCGCCACTGCACGGCAGCCTGGTCAACAGGAGTGAGACTCTGTCTCAAAAAAAAAAAAAAAAAAAAAAAAAGAATTATCTCACCTACCTAAATGCATGATGGTGGACATTTAGGTTGATTCCATTTATTTGCTATTGTGAATACTGCTGCAATGAACATACATGTAGAATTATATTTTCGAGGTTCATCTACATCAGAACATAATTCCGATGTTACTCCATTGTATTCATAGGCCATATTTTGCTTAACCTTTCTTCAGTTGATGGACATTTGGGTTGTTTCCACTGTTTGGCTATTATGAATAATGCCACTATGAACATTCATGTACAAGTTTTTGTGTAGACATATATTTTCAGTTACTTCGGGTATTTACTTAGGAGTAGAATTGTTGGGTCATATGATAACTATTTAACTTTTAAAGGAACTGCCAAAGTGTTATCCAAAAGGACTGCATCAATTTACATTCCCACCAGCAGTGTATGCGCATTCCAACTTCTTCACATCCTTGTCCACACTTGTTATTATCTGTACATCTTATTATGCTCATCCTAGTGAGTACAAAGTGGTTTTAACTTGCATTTTCCTGATAACTAATAATTTTGTGTGTATTTACATGGGCTTATTGGCCATTTGTATATTTTCTTTGGAGAAATGTGTATTCATGTCCTTTGCTCATTTATAATTGGATTAGTTGGGGGGTTTTTTGAGTTGTTCTTTATTTGGGATATAAGCCTTTTATCAAATATATGATTTGCAAATATTTTCTCCCATTCTCTAGGTTGTCTTTTCACTTTCTTGATATGTCTTTTGATGCACAAAAATTTTAATTTTGATAAAGTATAATTTATCTATTTTTCTTTCATTACTTTTGCTTTTGTTGTTATATCTAAGCATCCATTGCTAAATCCAAGGTCATTAATAGTCATTCCTATGTTTTTTTCTAAGAATTTTATAGTTTTACTGCTTATATTTAGGTCATTGATCCATTTTTAATTAATTTTTGTGTAGTATCAGATAAGATCCAACTTTATTCATTTGCATGTAAATATTCAGTTGTCCCAGCACCATTGTTGAAGAGATTATTATTTCCCACACTGAATGGTCTTAGCACCCTTGTTGCACACCAACTGACCAGAAATGTATGTGTTTATTTCTGAAGTCTATATTCCACTGATCTATATGTCTATACTTCTGACAGTACCACACTATTTTGATCACTATTTTAAAACTTTGTAGTAAGTTTTAAAATCAGTAAGTGTTAGTCCTTCAATTTTATTCTTCCTTTTCAAGATTGTTTTGGCTACTCAGGACCCCTTGTAATTCCATATAAATGTTAGAATCCGCTTGTCAATTTTCACAAATAAGCCAGCTGAGGTTTTGATAGAAATTGCATTGAATCTGTAGAAGAGTTAGGGGATTATTGCCATCTTAACAATGTCAATACATTTTTCAGTTCCAGAATTTCTGCTTGGTTCCTATGATGATTTCTATCTCTTCCTTGATATTTTCTATTTGTTCACACATCATTCTTTTGGTTTGCTTTAGCTCTTTGCGCATATTTAAGACTTTTGATTTATAGTCTTTGTCTAGTAAGTTCAATGTCTGTGCTTCCTCAGCAAAAGTTTGTGTTAATTTCTTCTGTAAATGAACCATACTTCCTTGTTTCTTTACGTGCTTCGTACCTTTTTGTTTAAAACAGCATCTTTAACTCTGGAAATCAGATTCTTCCCCCTACTCAGGATTTATTTTCATTGCTTGCTATGGGTTGTATCTATTCACTTGCTTAGTGACTTTTCTAAACTATCTTTGTAAAGCCTATATTCTTTGTCATATGTGATCTCTGAGGTCTCTGTTCCTTTAGCTTGTAATCAACTAGTGTCTTGACAGAGATTCCCTTGAACACCAGAAGCCAAAAATAGAAAAGAAAAGTGGGGGAAAAAAACTCTCCTAGTCGTTGCAATGGGGCTCTGCATTGGGATCCTCCTTCAATACTTAGCCATGTCATTTACAACACTGCCTTAGCCTTCACTTCCTGCTGGTTCCAAGTCTAAAGACCAGTCAGAGCTGAAAGATAAGGTCTTCTCAGATCTTTTGTGAGCATTTATCCTGTCCTGGACATGCAGGTGGCTTTCTAAATTCACAGTGGACACAGTTCAATGCCCTCATTTCCCAATAAAACTCTCTCCCAACTTTTCCTCCCAGCTTTTGGTGATCAGTTGTTTACCTTAATTGTAATCTTTTGGCCCAGGCAGTAGAGGATTGTTCATTTTTCTAGCAATGTTTTCCAGGAATTCCCTGCATATAGATGCTCCTTCACAATGAATAAGTTCTGAATTAGGTGAAACAAAGACAAGAGCTTTGCATTAGTCCTTCAGGTAGCCCACAGACAGGTTAGAACAGACAAACACAATTCTTTGAGAATAAGACTTGCTCTTCTCCTTCCAGAACCAGGGACCAAGATCCACACTTGGAATGCAGGCTGCAGTCTTCAGGACTGCTGCCTTGCTGAGGAGGGCGGTGAGACAAGGGTAAGTAAGAATATGGCAAAGCTCTTCTACCATTTTTAAGTTTTTTTTTTTTAATTTATTTATTCATTGTTTGGTTGCTGTAAATCAGTGACCGTTTTCAGAGTTTTGACAAAATTAATACTGACAGTTTTTGCTGCAGTTTTCCATGTTTCTGGAGGCACAGGCCCTTGGAGCTACCTACTCTTCCACTTTTGCTGATGAACCTTACTCATTTTAAACTATAAAATATTCCCATCCTCCTCATTCTATGCACTGTGTTGTTTCCTCCCGACACAGGTTTGAGTGACTTCTGTGGTTTTGCCTGTTGCTAGAATCTGATCTGAACAATGCCTACCATATCACTTGAGCTCTAAAAATAAAATGCTTTTTGTTTCCCAAAAGAACCAGGTAAAACAGGAATCCTGTTGATGACCCTAAGACTTGGAATAGAAATAAATTAGTGCAAGGAGAGAAGTCAGCAAGGTTCATTCTCTTGGACCATTTACATTTACTACACTTCACTTTTGTTGTTTTAATTAATTACTCCTTACCTTTCCTAAGGGAATTTGAAGACCATTTATTAAATCATTATTAGAGCATTTACCTGTTATATATACATGAGAGCCAAAATTCCAGAACAAAATAAAAGAAAATTACCATCACATGGATAACACATTATCATTCAGATATTACATCCACAGTCAGATGTTCACAACTGTCCCACCTTCCCTGTAGTGACCAGACACGATGTGCCAGCGTCTTCCCCTGGCCTTTATGTACCATGAAGTGTCACTCCTCAGCAGTGTCAGCCAATTCTGCCTTCATGGAGTTTGGGCAAAGCCACCAGGAGTTACTGAGAAATTATGTACACATCTTCAGGCTAGGATGATCCAAGGTCTGTAACATCCTGCAGAAAGTTCAAGCTCATTCTCCAAGCACCAGCTGAGTATTCTTGCAGAGTCTTTTATTTATGGAATAACTTGCACATCTTTAGAGCTCAGGTGAATCTTGTTATACCAGTTAATACCATAATAACACTTCCTGATTTTGCACAGATTAGGACCAGTGACTCCTTAGTGCCTCTAGGCTGGTTTAGTCCTGGCTCAGGGAACATTACATTGATCTTTCGTCTTTCTTTTCCTCTAATGGTAATTAGGATTCTGATAAGCGCATTCCAGCAGGTGCAGGCTCTTGCTTGGTCTTCCTTGCCAGTCACCTCCAGTCATCTTTGTCCATTTCTGTACCTCTCTTTCATTCTCACACACCCATATTTATCTGTGCACGAGCTTTTAGCTTATCTTTTCTCACTGTTAAAACTGGTTTGAGTACGGTAAAGATTTGTACCATACCATGGACTGAATTCTTGGTAGACTACTAACTCCTTGATGGAAAAGTGTCTGAATTACTATATAAAATTACGGTTTTAAAAATATTCAGTTGGACTTAAATTCAGCCAAAATGCTGTGGACTTCAGCCTTAATGAAGTACACTAATGATGACAGACAGAGAAGAGAATGGAGTGGAGAGGTCCTCGCTTATTTATCATGATGTGCAAAGCCGGAGTGCACTTCCTTGAAGATGGTCTTCATGTAATCCAAACTTTCTCCAGAGTAAAGCATATAGATAGGGATGTCATCTGATTTCCTGGACTGTTTGAATTCTGAGGGGAAGCAGGAGGTGTAGTCTGGGAGGAAGCCACCCACAGCAGGTAGCAATGACTGGAAACAAGAGCCAGGTCCCCACTGCACAACAGGGGAGTGTGGCCAGAGGGCGGATGGGCAGGGTGCAGCCGTTTAGCCAATGGGGCCAGCATTCCCCATCAGGAGCCCAGCTCTGGGCAGAGCATAGTAGCAGCTACAGTGAGTAAGGCCAGGAGGCAGAACAGGAGCTCTCCAACAAACCTCTTGGCAATTGTTTACACAGGGACCAAGGGAAAACTTCCCTATCACCCTCTGAAAGTTAGCTGGAAATCACTGACAAAAGGCAGATTGATATAAGAAAAGGCATACAAATTTACTGGATCACAGTTTTACGTGATGCAGGAGCCTTCAGAATAAAGACCCAAAGATACAGGGGAAACTGTTCATTTCTATACTTAGATTCAATAAAGTACAGACAGCCTTGTAGAAATATGATTGGACAAAAAGGGTAGGAATAATGATAATAGAATGAATGGGGAGCTCATGCCTGTAATCCCAGCACTTTGGGAGGCCAAGGCAGGTGGATCACCTGAGGTCAGGAGTTCGAGACTAGCCTGGCCAACATGGCAAAACCCCGTCTCTACTAAAAATACAAAAATTAGCCAGGTGCGGTGGCAGGCACCTGTAATCCCAGCTACTTGGGAGGCCAAGACAGGAGAATCACTTGAACCCAGGAGGTGGAGGTTGCAGTGAGCCAAGATGGCACCATTGCACTCCAGCCTGGGTGACAGAGCGAGACTCGTCTCAAAAATAATAATAATAATTAAAAATAAAAAAGGAATGAATGGGGAAACCCAGCAAGGCCTGTCTGGATTCTTCTTGGCATCTCTGTGCAGCATGTCTTCCTTCTGGGTTGAGCAGGACCCTCTCTGGAATGGGGGTGTTATGACCCAAAGATGCAGCAGAAACTGTTCATTTTTATGCTTAGATTCAGCCAAGTATGAACAGCCATGTAGAAATATGATTGGACAAGGTAGGTCAGTTGATTCCTTTATGGCCAGTTCTTACACAGACAGGCAAAGGGGAAATTCAAGTAGTATATGATATCTTTAGGTTTCATGCCTGGCTTTGGGGGAAAGGGGTTCTGGTTTCTATGACCCACCTTAGGGAAGAGGGAGTCTAGTTTCCATGGCTAGCCTCAGGGGGAGAATGAGAGGCCAGAGACAGGAGGGCAGGAGGGCAGACAGAGCTGATTCTGAGACCTTCATTTTGGGGTCTTGTTTTCTGGGCCCCTCGGATGTGGCTTGTGGCCTGACCATATGGGAAACAGTGGCAGTGCCTGGAGAACCAGAACTCAGCATACCACCCTTCTGGCAACGCCGTTTACAAGGCCACCTCTCAGGGTCCAAACTATTTGTGCTTGTAAGGGATTCTCTGATGGGCGGGTTGAGGTAGGAAAGATGATGTCTCCCGATAATAAGCTCAGGTAAGCACAGAGCAGCTCTGGTCTGTCTTACAAGGCAGGAGGAGCATTACATGACCTAGCGGACTCTGCTAAGTGAAGAGTGCATGCCAGATGCTGTCCTGCCCCTTCCCCCACCCCCAGCCTCTCCCCTCTCAGTAAGCAAATGTTGAAGAAGTATTTTAAATATGGGTCTGAATGCAATACAATTCATTATCCTGCCTCACTCTATATTCAGTACAACACAGTGATTAAAAACAACAGTTTTGGAGTCAGAGGACCTGGACTCAAATCCTAACCACCACTTACATTTGCTAAGCCTTGGCGTTTCAGCCTCTCCAAGACTCCGTTTCCCATTTGAAATAAAGGAAAGAAAAACTGGCCTCACACCAGTACACTGAGGATTAAATGTGATAGGACTGAAAAGGGCCTGGCTTCATGCTGGACACTCCATGACTTCCAGAACCTTCTGAGCTTACCTGATAGCTGGAGCGTGTCCAGGACTCAGTTCATAGATTCCTTCTCCTTGCACCTCCTGTTCCCGTAGCTGCTCCTCTTTCCAGGTGGCGTCCCTTCCCATCACAGGAGGAAATTCTGCTGGTAAAACATCTCCAGGCCATTCTTCATGAATGTGTGTGATACTGGTTGTCCCTAGAGAGCCAGTTGGGCAAGTTTGGAAATCTTGGCAACTACCAATCTCCCACCAGCCTGATGCATGAGAGAGATTATTTCTTCACTGTCCATTTTCTTATGAGAAAGTGTTGAAATGGATGCTTTCCCAAAGAAAGCAGGCGGTCCCCACCTCATAACAGATGAATATCCAAATTTCTTCCCCAAGGCAGGTCATAGAAACCAGAACCCCTTTCCCCCAAAGCCAGGCATGAAACCTAAAGATATCATATACTACTCGAATCTCCCCATGCCTGTCTGTGTAAGAGCTGGCCATAAAGGACTCATCTGACCTACCTTGTCTAATCATATTTCTACCTGAGAGGAGAGAGAGACTCACTAGAGGAGTCATCAGAAAGGCAAATTCTTGCAGTGCTTGTAAGGGAAGGATACAGCTCAGGCTTTAGTATCCATGAACCCAAGTTTTAATCCAAGTTTTTTCACTAAGATGCCTAGTACCTGCCACTTACCTCCTTGAACTCAGCATTCTCCTCTGCCAAGGACAAATACCTACCACATAGATTATTGTAAAGGTGAAATGAGGGAACATAGGTGAAAGGACTTTATAATACAATTAATGTATTCATCATTATTTTACAATTAAATTTACAAAAAATATATATAAGTATCTCTGCTCTATAAAGTGAAGCTCACTGACATGAGGAAGCCCAAGACTGCTTGTTTTAAAACTTTTTTAGAGACAGGGTCTTGCTATGTTGCTCAGGCTGGTCTTGAACTGCTGGGCTCATGCTATCCTTCTGCCTCAGCCTCCCAAGTAGCTGGGAGGGTAGTCATGAGCCACCACGCTTGGCCAGCCCAAGTCTTTTTTGAAGGCACTATTCTAACTTAAAAAGGGGGGGGCACATACCCTTGGGACAGAATAGGACAAGATTTATGTCAAGATGGAAGACGCAATGTTGGTTAATGTCTGTGGCAAAGGAGTAATTAGGAAACACATCTGTTAGATCTTGTTCGCCCACCCCTTGGTTCTGTTCACTTGGTTTCATCAACATCCACAGGTGAATAAAAATGTTTGAATACCATAACGTTCAATTTGATCGTACCTCTGGTACAATTTCCTCTGACTTCTCATCTCCCACCTCTGCCCCCATTGAACAGGAATTAAGAAAAGCTACAAAGTCGTCTTGTCTACCTTCCTCATCAGGGCTCCCCTCCAATGCTGTGATCCCCTATTCCCAGTGGGTGAGCCTCTGTTCAGCTTCCCTTGGCCCTATACAAAAAGTCTCCTTCTTTCCCGCTCTCTCCTCATTGTGTCATCCAGGTCCCTGCCACACTGAGAAGGCGGAAGCCTGCCAGGTACTTTCTCCCCCTCCCACTGTCAGCTGGATTCCCTCAGTGATGTGAGGTGTGAGAGGGAAAGCCCCTTGGACTAAGGCAAGTGACTTGGACTCTACACCATCTGGGGCCACTGACAAACTGCTTCTCTGTTTTTCCCATCTCTCATACCTGAGCCTCCCGGGCTGCCTGAAGATTGATAGTTACAATCTTTTAAGTCCTTGCATTATTTGCAAACTGATTAGGAAATAATCATCTGTCAGGTTGGATTCCCCAGGAACACTGTCTGAGATGGAGATTGCATGCAGAAGTTTATTGGGGTGAGTTCTCAGGACAAACACCTGGTTAGTGTGACCCACCTCCCCTAGCCCCTCCCCACCAACCAGGTGTTTGTCTTTGTGAACTTCTTACAGATGATACTAAAAGCAAAATCTCTAAAAGGACAAATGGATAAATTATATTTCATCAAAATGTAAAACTTCCACTCTTTAAAAGACACTAATGTGAGAATGAAATGACAAATAACGAACGGGGAGAAAGCATTTCCAAAGCATATGTCTGATAAAGAACTTAAGTCCAGAACTTATATCCATTACATAAAGAATGTCCAACACTCAATAAGAAAGCAAACAACCTCCCTCAAAATGGACAAAAGATTTGAACTGATACTTCACCAAAGAAAATATGTCAATGGCAAATAAATACATTAAAATATGCTCAGCATCATTAGTCATTAGGTAAATGCAAGTTAAAACACAATGAGGTACCATGATATATCTGTTAGCATGACTAAAATTGAAAAGACCGACGATATCAAATGTTGGAGAGAATATAGGACAACTGGAATTCTCATACATTGTTGGTGGCAATGTAATATGGTACAACCACTTTGGAAAACAGTTTGGCAGTTTATTTAAAAGTTAAACATATACATTCCATATGATCCAGCTATCCTACTCCCAAAAGAAATGAAAGTTCATGTCCATACAAGGATTCATATGCAAATGTTCATAGTAGCATTACTCTAATAACTCAAAACTGGAAACAACTTAAAGTTCATCAACAAGTAAACGGATAAACAAAATGTTATTTATCTATACAGTGGAATACTGCTTAGCAATAAAATGGAACAGATGACTGATCCATGCAAAGACGTGGATGAATCTCAAAATAATTATGCTGAGTACAAGAAGGCAGACACAAAAGAGAACATACTGTAGATACACTCCACTTATACAAAATTCTAGAAAATGCAACTAATCTACAAGGACAAAAAGCAGATCAGGGACAACCTGGGGAGAGGGCAGTGGGAAGAATTACAAAGGGGCACAAGAAAACTTCTGGTGGTGGTATGTTCACAATCTCGATGTGGTAATGCTTTCAGTTTCATGATGATTTCCTGTACCAAAATGTCAAATTATATGATTTACCTGTGTGCAGTTTATTGTGTGCCTGTTATAAGTCAATAAAAAGCTGTGAGAAGAAGAAGGAGAAGAGGAGAAGGAGAGGAGAAGGAGAAAGAAGCAGGGAGAAGGGGAAGGAAAGAGGAAGTCTACCTTGAAGGAGAGAGAGGCAGCATGGCCAGGCCTGATGGCTCATGCCTCTAATCCCAGCACTTTGGGAGGCCAAGTTGGGTGGATTGCTTGAGCCCAGGAGTTTGAGACCAACCTGAGCAACATGGCAAAACCCCATCTCTACAAAAAATTCAAAATGTAGCCAGGCATAGTGGAGTACACCTGTAGTCCCAGCTATTTGGGAGGCTGAAGTGGGAGGACTGCTTGAGCCCAGGAGGTCGAGGCTGCAGTGAGCAGTGATGGCGCCACCACACTCCAGCCTGGGCCACACAGTGATACCGTGTCTCCAAAAAAAATTAAAAAAGAGAGAGAGAGAGACAGCAGCCAGGGAAACAAACCCCAGGGTTGTGAAGCCACATTTCCTAGGACCTCTTTTTGGATGATATATATTCTTCAAAAAGAATCCTATATGGAATTTGGGGCAGCCTAAGCAGAAGGAAGAAGCTCTGTGTATCTAATAGAGGATACAGGATGAATAGTAAGACTGACATCTCTGGCAGGAAAATGAAAATGAATTATCTCCCTCACAATAAATAGTTGAGGCTTTGACTTCAAAACAAGCCCACTGAAGTTGCCTTGGGATAATAACCAGGGCAGAAGTAAAGATAATGTCATTTTAGCTTCTCCATTCCAGTGAGATAACCCTGCCTCTGTTCCTGGCCTCAGCCCTTTCTCATATGGCATCTGTCCATTGCCTCTGGCCATGAGCAATTCTTGTGAGTCCAAAACCATTTGCCTCTGGTGAAGGTATTAAACCACATAGCGTGCAGACTCGTCTGGGCTGAGATAATTAGCAAATGGCCCAGATAACTCTGCTCCCTGCTGCCCCAGCTGGCCTCTGGGCCTGAGCCCTCACCTGCTGAGACCTGTCCTAGCTTCCAGAGTCTTCTTGCAGCCCTTTCCCTCTGCACACACACACGCACCGGTATGATTTAAGGAAAGTCAAGGTTAAATGGTATGGATAACCACAAAGGTTTAGGAAAACAAATGACTTGAGCCCTGATTTATATTTGTTTGATTCTTATTCCTTTTATTTACATATTAGTCTTTTTTAGGAGAGGCCACCCCCAATCTATAGATAACCCACAGTTACAAAAGAGGGCACCGACACCTCTCTTCACCTCTCTATGGCAACCGTTGCTGCCATGGAAACCACTGGGCATACACGGGGAGGGACAAATACTGGTGTTTACTGAAAGGCTCTGTAAGTTCAGGAGGGAAGAAATGAAATCAACTGTGAAAATCAGGAATATTTTAGGGGCCTCGATTAGAAGAAAGATTCCCAAGCAGATCTAGCCTATGTGTAAGGTGGCTGCCCTGCTCCACTGTTTCTCTATCCCAACAGGAACCTTTCCTTTTGTTTCTTGGTTTTCGTTTGTTTGTTTGTTTCTGAGTTTGCTTGCTAGGGAGAGGAAAATTTCCTTTTGATTTGACCTACTGCCTCCATGCAAATCAAAGATTAATTTGGATTAACAAACGTCTTCTTTAAACAATGCAGACAACTCTGGACCAGGTAAAGGTCTACTAGCCATTGACAATGTGCATGACTTCAGTTCAGTTACAAGCTCCCAACAGATCCCTTGTGGAAGTCAGCTACACAGAATACCAGAGAGCTGGGGCTAAGAGAGTAGGAAGTCAAATGCATTTGGAAAATGGAGCACTTGAGGGATATGAGGGGGGGAAATACTTGGAGCTACATGACAATATGTCACAGGGGCCAGGAAAGGGGGCACCAGGGGACCAGGGCGGACAGAAAAGAAATGTGGATCTAATGGTCAGCAACAGAGGAACGGCTGACAAAAGGGTAATTGTCCACCTGCTGGATGGACATTTCTGTGGCCTTTTTTTTTTTTTTTTTTTTTTTGAGATAGAGATTTGCTCTTGTTGCCCAGGCTGGAGTGTAGTGCCGTGATCTAGGCTCACTGCAACTTCTGCCTTCTGGGTTCAAGTGATTTTCCTACCTCAGCCTCCCAAGTAGCTGGGATTACAGGTGCCCACCATCACACCTGGCTAACTTTTTGTATTTTTAGTAGAGACAGGGTTTCACCACATTGGCCAGGCTGGTCTCAAACTCCTGACCTCAGGTGATCCACCCACCTCGGCCTCCCAAAGTGCTGGGATTACAGGTGTGAGCCACCGCACCTGGCCCTAAGGAGTACATTTTATTAGCATTTTAGTTTATTTAATATTCATTGTTCTATTTAAATTTTCTTATTCTAATTGTGACGTTTTACATTTTTTCAGTTTTTATACAGGTTTTGAATTTATATTTCATAATATCTATTAGCATGATGACTTTCACATTTATACCTTTTATTCAGATGGAATTCATTTTTGTTTTGGGGGGGTTGATGGTTTTAACTTCTACTTTAGTTTCAGGGGTACGTATGCAGGTTTGTTATGTAGTTAAATGGTGTGTCACAGGAGTTTGCTGTACAGATTATTTCGTCACTCAGGTAATAAGCATAGTACCCAATAGGTATTTTGGAATTCATCTTTGTTGCGTGTTAAAATAGGAATCTAATTTTGTTTCTCTTTGTCAAATGAGCCTACTTTCTCATCATCCATCCATTCCTTTCCCAAAGACTAATAGGCCCCTTTTATCATACATAAAATTTCCGCATATATGTGGAAAGGATTTTATTTTATTCTATTCTATTTTATTTTATTTTGAGATGGAGTCTCACTCAGTTGCCTAGGCTGGAGTGCAGTGGCGTGATCTCAGCTCACTGCAAACTCCATCTCCCAGGTTCGAGCGATTCTTCTGCCTCAGCCTCCGGCGTAGCTGGGACTACAGGCACGTGCCACCACGCCCAGCTAATTTTTGTATTTTTAGCAGAGACGTGGTTTCACCATATTGGCCAGGCTGGTCTCGCACTCCTGACCTCGTGATCCTCCCATCTCAGCCTCCCAAAGTGCTGAGATTACAGGGGTGAGCCACCGTGCCCACCCAGGATTTTATTTTTGTCTCACACTGTCCTCTTATCAATTCAAATGTTTACAAAACACAAATACTTTCTTTTTTACCATGTACCTTTAACATTCACAACAACCCTGAGCAGTATTGTCTCTGTTTCTTAAATGAGCAGATAGAGACTCAGAAAGGCTGTATTTAGCCTAAAACTCACATAATGCTGGATGACACACCAAGAATTCTGATTCCAAACTAACTGCTCTTTTCCCAGATTACCTCCTGCCTGTTTAAGCACCTAGTTTCTTATATCTAATTTCATCTATTTATTTAAATATTCATTGAATACCCATGATGTTCCAGACACTATTCTAGCTTCTAAGATAACGGCAGAAAACAAGCCAGATAAAAATCTGTGCCATCAGAGAGCTTACATGGCAGAGGGCTCAGGGTAGCTCTGAACACAGAGGTGACACCTGAGAAATACCATATTTGATGACAAAGACTGTTCTAGTACCTACTTTGTATCCATCCTTCCAAGGGGTCTGGGGCTTCAGCTTGTTTGGAGAGTCAAAGGAAGTCCTGTGGAAGTTCCCCTGACTCTAACTAGTAACTGAACCCCCAAGCCAAAGAAGGCACTTGCAGTCATCCAGGCTATGACTCTTCCTTTGGGAAATTTCAACAATTTTCTTTACTATGCCAGAGACACCATTTTCTGCTTTCCTCTGACATCTGAACCAAGTTAAGAACTTATCTCTTATTGTCTAACCCAACTCCCTACAGCCATTATCAAGCCTGGTTTCAGAATGTCCTGGTAGAGATGGACAGTGGAGTTTCCACCATCACTAAAGCCCTTTATAAAGAGCTTCCTTGTCATTTAGAAATGTTTTCACACTTAAGACCAGAAATAAAGTCAAACTGATGTAATGCATTATACTTCATAGTCATAGATCAATTTAAGATTACTAAAAATTGACTACAGGATTTAATCATTTAAAGGGTACTCTGGTCTATCTCGCTGGCTTTAGCAGAGAAAAAACTAATTCCTGATAAACGGATGGCAAGATCCAATTTCCCTTTTAATAAATAGTAATTGGTAGGGGGAAAGGGGAAATAGGGACGGAATTGTTAAAAGATACAAAATTACAGCTAGTGGCTGGGCCCGGTGGCTCACACCGGTAATCCCGACAGTTTGGAAGGCTGAGGTAGGTGGATCACTTGAGGTCAGGAGTTCAAGACCAGCCTGGCCAACATGGTGAAACCTTGTCTCTACTAAAAATACAAAAATTAGCTGGGTGTGGTGGTGCATGCCTGTAATCCCAGCTACTTGGGAGGCTGAGGCAGGAGAATCACTTGAACCCAGGAGGCGGAGGTTGCAGTGGGCCAAGATCATGCCCCTGCACTCCAGCCTGGGCTACAGAGCAAGACTCCATCTCAAAAAAAAACAAAAAAACAAAAAACACCAAACGAAACAAACAAGATTACAGCTAGACAGGAGGAATAAATTCTAGTGTCCTATACCACTGAAGGGTAAAACTAGAGTTAATAAAATATGGTTTCAAGTAACTAGAAGGAGGATATTGAATGTTCCCAACACAAAGAAATGATACATGTTTGAAAGGATGGGTATGCTAATTATTCCAACATGATCACTATACCTTGTATGTATCGAAACATCACTATTTTCCCCACAAATATGTACAATTATTATATGTCAATTTTAAATAAATAGTAATTGGATCTTCAGCAGGGCCCATGGGCACCCTAAATAAAGACTGTATTTCCCAGCCTGTCATGTGACCATGGATTTATTTCTGGCCAATAGAATGTAAGCAACTTCTCAGTCATGTCTTTAAGAGGAGACTGTTCATCCCTTCCCTTTTCTGGCTTTCCATTGGCTGGTAGGGGACCCCTGGGCTGTGGGGATGCGAGGAATACCCCATGAATGGCACAGTGAAAAACTAAGAACCTGCAGCCCTCTTGGCCTGTAGAATAGAACCTTACTACCAGCTGGGACTTTAACCAATAGAGAAATCAGCTTCCCTCTGGTCTAAGTCACTGATATCTAGTTCCAATTCAACCAAACCTAATAATCTCACTAATGCTCCCCAGTGTCCAGCCATGCTCCCTGTTCTTCCTAACATCCACCTTCAGGCCTTCAAGCTGCTACAATTGAAATAATTTTTCTTCTCGTCTTCAGTGAAATGATGTTCTTGTTCTGGTTCTTTAGTGAATTGCTGTCCACTTCTGCTAACGATGAGTGTCAAATAAAGAATATGCCTTATATTAGAGTAACTTTTTGTCAGACTCTAGGTTGGGGCAGCTATATTCTTTCAAACTTTAAGAATTGGCCAGGCACGGTGGCTCACACCTATAATCTCAGAACTTTCAGAGGCTGAGGCAGGCGGATCACTTGAGGCCAGGAGTTCGAACCCAGCCTGACCAGCCTGGCCAACATGGCGAAACCCCATCTCTACTAAAAATACAAAAATTAGCCAGACATGGTGACGCATCTCTGTAATCCCAGCTACTCAGAAGGCTGAGGTGGGAGGACCACCTGAGCCCAGGAGGCAGAGGTTGTAGTGAGCCAAGATTGCCACTGCACTCCAGCCTGGGTGACAGAGAGAGGCTCTGTCTCAAAAAAAAAAAAAAAAAAAAAAAAAATTGAGTTGTCAGACCATTAAGAACTTTATAATTTTTTATTATTTTACTATTTAAAAATTTTAATCTTGAAATTGGTTAACCTTAGGTAAACACTAACCATATTTTTTTATATACATTATATACACGAGAAATAAATAGTCTTCCAAATAGCATTTTTTAAAAAGCATCATTATATACAATTAAGGCTTCAAGCCAGGTGTATAAATATACAACTCACTGAGAATTCAATTTGCAAAGCTTCCATTAGTAAAAACAGAAGTCAGAAGTGACCAGGATGTACAGCCAATAATATGGGTTGAGCAACCCTAATCCAAAAATCCAAAATCCGAAATGCTCCAAAATCCAAAACTTTTTGAGCACCAACAAGACAAAAAATGGGAAAACCCCTCACATAAGTTACCACAAACCATGCTTCATGTACACAACTATTTAAAATATCGTATAAAATTACCCTCAGGCTATGTGGATAAGGTGTAACTGACACATCAATGAATTTTGTGTTTAGGCTCGGGTCCTATTCCCAAAATATCTCATTATGTATATGCAAACATTCCAAAATCTGAAAATAATCTAAAATTTGAAACACTTCTGGTTCCAAGCATTTTGGATAAGGGATACTCAACCTGTACAAGCTTCGCTTTGGCTAGAAAGCAATCACAGAAACAAGAGAAGCACACAATTGGCTTGAGAACATATCTTGAAATAAGACTCAACTGGTTATGTCTTCAGAAGTTTAACAGTGATACAACTTTGGCACGATACAGATTAAAACAATGTCCTTAGAAAACCTAAGTACAAAGAAAATCATTCTTCCTCTCCTGCTTGGTGTCACACTTCCTCCCGAATCTCAGCCATAAAAAGTCCAACCGTTGGCACAGATGTTCTCCTGGTTATACATTAATAAAAGGGCTTAGGATTTTATGGATGGCTCTATATAAAAAAAAAAGTCCTTGTTTGTCTCACGTCTGGGGCATATTGGTGGGAACTGGCTGCAAAAGTCTTCATGGAGTTTCAGAGATAGACTTTGCCTCCAGGAAATCTGAGTCCTCTCCCTGGCTGCACCACTAACTAGTATATAAGTCTAGGCATGTGGCTGAACCTCACTAAGCCTCAGTTTTGTAAAATAGGGATAATAATAGTTGCCCTTCTCCCCCTACTCTAATTAGGCAATGCATACACAAATCTTTTGAAAAGTGTAAGTGTCTCAGATATTGTGTGTATTAATTCAAATCAAGATCTAGAATTGGTGGCTTTTCCAAGAAGTTCAACAAGAAAAGGCACTGGTATTAAAGTAAAATATTTCAAAGAGGAAAAAAAGCACTGTATTAAATCTTAGAACCAGCTCTGTCTGGCAGGTGCCGGTTTCTGTGTACACAGATGTGTATTACATATGTCATAACTTCTATCTCTCTAAACAGAAGAGATTTGCTCCAAAGCAGTTATATCTGGCAACCGGCCATCATTCTGGCCCCAGCATGAATGATACTCTGCTTGCTATTCTGCTAGTGATCAAACACGTCACTCATAGGGGAGGTGGCACATAATAACTAAGAAGGTGGCACATAATAACTAAGAAGAAATAGAAACCACTTAAAGCCTCAGGGTCCCTAATGCTTATATCCTATAGCCTCCCCCAGGCCCCAGGTGCCTTTCCCCATGCATATACACATACACCATCCAAACAGAAAGAGGGTCTAGAAATCCCAACTCCACTGGGTTCCAAATGGAGAGGCTCAGTAATATGTCCATTACCACATTCTAATTAATTTTAAGTGTTCAATAGACATTTGCTCAATTAAAAAATGAACAGAAAAATAGGAAAGCCAATGATGTGTGCTTCAGAGAGTGAGCTGGGGAGCAGGACGGAATGGCTAAGACGTAAGCAGTATGGTCAGTGCAACCCATGAGAACCCCAACAGCTAGGGCCCGAGCAAGATACCAGGCCTGCCATCCTGACATGAGTCAGCTCCTGTCGGAAGGACTTCTCACTGAGGCTCAAAGCAGGCTGAGCAGCTGACAGCCTTCTACACAGGGCCTCTTCGGAGCCAGCGTTCCTCGTCAGGCAGAGTACAGGCTCGCCCAGCAACTGAGAAACCAATCCAGTGTGCACGAGAGGCCCCAGGCACCCAGCTGCTTACACACAAATCTGGACTTGGTGCTCTGGAGGTGTGGACAGAGGTTTGGAGTTAGAGCTATTCAAGAGAGGCAGCAAGAGCTATAGCAGCGCAGTCCCCTCCCGCGAGGAGTCCCAGCCATCACAGGAGACCAGTTGTTCCCAGTGCTCCAGGGTCAAGGCTGAGAAGAATCCTTCCATTGGGTGGGTCCTCAGCAGTAACTTTCCTCCATGGGCTTGGATAGCAGGAAGTCTTGCTGCCTTGCTGGCAAGACTTGCCCGGGCACCCTCAGGGAAGCTCCACAGTGGGACTGAAAGAAACCGTGTGAGAGTGGCATTTGTTAGCTCACACACCAGCAAACGCGCAAACCTGTATTCAGGGTGTGCTCTTTTGACCTTAAGGCCAAGCTTTCTGACACCCCTATGGGACTATTTTACATGTATTCCTTTCAGAATAAATGGACAAGGTCCCGAGTGCTGCCTTCTCTCCCTAACCTGACAAGCCATAGATGCACTTTGAGAAACACCACACTGCAGCACCCTCTGGACCCTGAGTTGAGTACATCACAGTTCTTGCATTTACATATTATCCACCCACAACATACACACACACACACACACACACACACACACACACAATCATGGACACACAAGTGTGGGGAGAACTATCAAAGTGTCCTCTTTGCCTTGATCTAGAAATACAAGAGAGACACTGTATTGGCAGAAAGGGGGCAAGACTGAGAGTTAGGAGACCTGGATTCTAGTCTCAGCTATGTGAACACACCACTGAACCTCTCTGAATCTCAGGCTCCTTATCAGTGAACATGTGAACAGCATCCATGTCAGGAGGGAGGATGCTAAACATGTTACATATGATGCTATGACTTCCTAGTGTTCATTTATTACTTGGACTCCTATTGTTTTTGAGGGAATGGAAAAGGACAGCTTGTTTTCTAAAATTAGTAGTGAGAGGGTGAATCATAGAGTTCTCAGGTATATGAATTCCAAAGCGGGAAAGAAGAATAAATATCTTAGCCTTTATCATAAGAATAGCCATCCTGACTGGGCACAGTGGCTCATGCCTGCAAACCCAGCACTGGGAGGCCGAGGCAGGCAGATCACTTGAGCTCAGGAGATAGAGACCAGCCTGGGCAACATGGTGAAACCTCATCTCTACAAAAATTAGCCAGGCATAGTGGCACATTCCTGTAATCCAAGCTACTCAGGAGGCTGAGGTAGGAAGATCATCTGAGCCCAGGGAGGTCGAGGCTGCAATGAGCTGTGATCATGCCACTGTACTCCAGCCTGGGTGACAGAGCAAGACCCTGTCTCAATAAAAAAAGAATAGCCTTCCTTAGTCATCTTTCCTGGGTGTGTCCAATCTACATGGTTGTCTGGAGGATCAATGAAGTTAATATATGTGGAAACACTTTGAAATGTACACATTTAAATACATAAAGATTTACAATCGTTATAGTAGTAGAAAATCATACGAGCCTACGCTAGACTGAGTCCCTTAATTAGATGGCACGAGTCCTGTGATGATGGTGCTTGTGGTTGTGTTGAGCTCCTAACCAGGAGACAGAGCAGCTGGGATGCAGCGCAGCCTTGGGGGTGGCAAATGGTTAATCACAGGGGACCCCGGAGCACGGGCACAGCTGCCTGATAATTGATACCCAGACAGACGCGAGGTGATTCATCTGAGCACTTGGAGCCTCGGTGCTCAACAACACAGGCTTTGGGGTAGACCGACCTGCTTCAACTCCCTCTGCCATTGCTGGGGGCCTTGGGAGAGAAACTTCATCTCCCTGAGCCTCGGTTCCTCATCTGTACACAGGGCTAACAACCCCTGCCTAGTGGGTTGATGACAAACATCATTATGTAAGTCCCTGGGTGCAGGCTGGGCCCAAGCTAAGTGCTAGGTGTACCACAGCAGTATTATTATCTAGTACCCTTGTTAGAGCAAAGGGTGGCGACAGGCATGGTGTGAGGAGACAGTCTCCTTCCTCCTTAGCAGGTGTTTTGGCTTAGAGGGCGTGTGGCTGTTCCCCAGGATGAGCCCACTGCCTCACACCACAAGATGGGCCTTCCTCACGTCTGAAATAACGGATTGCAGCATGGGACAAGGGGATAGTGAAGCATGACAACCCCTCTGTCTCACTTAGCTCCACATACATGGGCATTTCTGTTTCCCAAAAAGGGGAAGGATTGGGGTTGGGCACCGTGGCTCAAACCTGTAATGCCAGCACTTTTGGAGGCCAAGGTGGGCAGATCACTTGAGATCAAGAGTTTGAGACCAACTTGGCCAACATGGTAACTTGGCCAACATGGCGAAAACCCATCTCAACTAAAAATACAAAAATTAGCCAGGCGTGGTAGCAGGCACTTGTAATCCCAGCTACTCGGAAGGTTGAGGAAGGAGAATCACTTGGACCCGGGAGGCGGAGGTTGTAGTAAGCCAAGATCACTCCACTGCACTCCAGCCTGAGCGATAGAGTGAGACTTTGTCTCAAAAAAAAAAAAAAAAAAGTGTGTGGGAGAATTAGGCCCACACTTACCTGCATTCTAGAAAACCTAAGAAAGGAGAACATGCTTTGTGCTTCTCTTTATCTCCCACCCCATTCCCAAACCTGACCTGGTGGCCAGAAGGAAGCTAGGAGCCCTTAGGCACGTTCCCACAGCTCTAGTTATTACAGAGAAGATGTCAATCAAAGATGGCAGGGGCCAGGCACAGTGGCTCACACCTGTAATCCCAGCACTCTGGGAGGCCAAGGCAGGCGGATCACTTGAGCCATGGAGTTCAAGACCAGACTGGGCAACATGGTGAAACCCCGTCTCTGCAAAAAAATACACAAATTAGCTCAGCGTGGTGGCAAGTGCCTGTGGTCCCAGCTATACAGGAGGCAAAGGCGGAAGGATCACCCAAGCCTGGGGAGGTCGAGGCTGCAGTGAGCCAGGATCATGCCACTGCGCTCCAGCCTGGGTAACAGAGTAAGACCATGTCTCAAAGGAAAAAAAAAAAGATACTTCAAAGATGGCAGGAATGGGCACCAACCTGGGGACTTAGTTACAGAGAAGATCTCATGCCAGTAGGGTCATGTACAATGAACCCCTACAGGTTGAGGCAGGACAAAGAGCAGAAGAGACATTAACACTTCCAACATCCTATCTACAGTATTTCACTTGCTTCTTTATCTCCTAGCAGAAGGTCAGCTTCTTTTTTTTTTTTTTTTTTTTTTTTTTGAGACGGAGTCTCACTCTGTCACCCAGGCTGGAGTGCAGTGGTGCAATCTCAGCTCACTGCAAGCTCTTCCTCCCAGGTTCATACCATTCTCCTGCCTCAGCCTCCCGAGTAGCTGGGACTACAGGCACCCGTCACCATGCCCGTCTAATTTTTTATATTTTTAGAGAGATGAGGTTTCACTGTGTTAGCCAGGATTGTGTCGATCTCCTGACCTCGTGATCCGCCTGCCTCAGCCTCCCAAAGTGCTGGGATTACAGGCGTGAGCCTCCATGCCTGGCCCTTTCTTTCTTTTTGAGACAGAGCTTCATTCTTGTCACCTAGGCTGGAGTGCAACATTGCGGTCTCAGCTCACTGCAGCCTCCACCTCTCAGGTTCAAGTGATTTTCCTGCCTCAACCTCCCAAGTAGCTGGGATTACAGGCACACACCACCATGCCCGGCATTCTTTTTTTTTTTTTTTTTAGTAGAGATGGGGTTTCACTATGTTAGCCAGGCTGGTCTCAAACTCCTGACCTCAGGTGATCTGCCTGCCTTGGCCTCCCAAAGTGCTGGGATTACAGGCTTGAGCCACCACGCCCGGCCCAACTTCTTAAAGGAAGAGATTTTTATCTGTTTTGTTCATGCTATGTCCCTGGCACCCAGATCCATCCCCAGCACATGCTAGGAGATCATCATGTCAACGTGTCCTGGGTGGAACGTGTGAGAAAGTCCTGGTTACCTGGTTTCGTTTTTCATCCTCCAGCCATCCCGACACTTGCGAAACCAGAGCTCCCGGCCTGGGGATATGCTGGTGTTCTCAGGGTCTTCTGTACAAAATGTCAGTCTAGGAGGGAAAAGAAACCACTGATGTAGGCAGAACTTTAGGGGGAATCCAGCTGTGCTTTCTAGATTCAAGGCAGATGGGTGAGGAGGCAGGGGTGAAATTTTCATGCCATGCCCCGACTCAAAAGCCTTCAGAATTCCCCATCACTACTGCAGGGACTCTAACCTGTGTCTCACTTTGAGGCTTCCATGATTCGGCCTCATGCAGCCTCTGCCAGACCTCTGCCACCTGCTTCCTTCTGTCTATCCAAAAGGCCACCTGCCTCTCAAGGCCATAGCCTCTCAGAAGCCTTCCTGACTGCCTGAGCCCTCATTAACCTAACCCTCCCTTGGCCTTTAAACTGGTTACAAAGTATGTCCTTATATAAATATTGCTTTTGTTAGTGTTGCTACTTCTTGCAACATGGAGTTTTAAAAAATGTTTTATTTTAAAACATTATGCCCTATGTGAAACTGCTTGCTGATTTCTGTGGTTGACTTCTCCGTAAACTTGAACGGAGTGATTCAAAGTACCTCTAGTCCAGTGCTCTGTAAATATCCATTGACAAGAGCAACTGCAACTCAGCTGCAAGTCAAAACCAAAGATTCAGCAAATGGACAGCCAAGACCACAAGAAAGAATCAGGGCCTAATAACCATTTCCATGTAACTTATGGCTGCCCCACGCAGCCTCAGGGGCGTGTGATTAGCGTGACCACGTAATCCTTAAGGGTGTGGGGCACCTGACCCTGGAGCTGAGGCAGGACAAAAGCCCCATTCAGAAGAGCTTAAGAACCTTTCCCAGGAAGCCCTAAGGACCTTAGGACCTATATGTTTATACACATATAAAAACATGACCTATCTCACGCACAATCAGGAAATGCAAATTCAAACAACAGCAGGGGGCCCATTCACACCTAACAAAATGACAAGAATGTCCCACCAGACCTGGGTGAAAAGGAGGGAAAAGGGAACTCTTCATCCATAGTTAAGATGGAAAATTAGTTCAACCACTTTGGAGACAGATTTAACAATATCTGTTCAAGCTGGAGAATGCATATACTACAACCCAGCAATTCCACTTTTTAGAACACATGCTGAGAAACAGCCCTTACACACATGTGCACAAGGAAAATGCAGAGGATGTTCATCTCAGCACCATTTGTAACTACAAAAAAGCAACAACTCAACTATTCAGCAGAACAATGGCAAAACTATTTGTGCAATGGTGATTTACATACAGGAGTTAAACAAGAATAGATTAGATCTTTATGTTTTGGATAAATTTCACAAACAATATTAGAATGAAAAAATCAAATTGTAAAATATTATGTCCACTCATGTAAAATTCAGAAGCATCCAAAATTCTATACATTGTTTATGTACACAGACAGAAGTACTAAGGCGGCTGGGCATGGTGGCTCACACCTGTAATCTCAGCACTTTGGGAGGCTGAGGCAGGCAGATCACCTGAGATCAGGAGTCTGAAACCAGCCTGGCCAACATGGCGAAACCCCGTCTGTAATAAAAATACAAAAATTAGCTGGGCATGGTGGCAACACACCTGTAATCCCAGTTACTCAGAAGGCTGAGTCAGGAGAATCACTTGAATCCGGGAGGCGGAGTTTGCAGTGAGCCAAGATTGTGCCACTGCACTCCAGCCTGGATGAAAGAGAGAGACTCAGTCTCAAAAAAAACAGTAAGTACAAAGTGTATAAAAACATGATGGAAGGAAACACACTAACATTTGTTAACATTGAAATATTAGTTATATTTGGTTTGAAAGAAGAAGGGTAGAGCAGAGAAGGACACAGGGGCTTCAACTGTATCTATAATGTTTTACTTTTTAAAAATCTGATATCTAAACCCAAATGGAAAACTATTTACATTTGTGAGTCTCAATGGTGATTTAATAGGTGTTTATTTTCTTTGAAATATTTTATTTATAAATGATCATCTTTCTGCTCTCACATCCATAGGTATAGTTTGTACCTGCAAGGGCCCAGAGAAGTAAAAACATACACAGTCTAGACCACAGGCCAGCACCCCCAGTTCACAGGTTTCTAGACTAGAATCATTCAGCTGAGGGCTCCAAGCCTCCACTTCACTTCCCTCTGCTGCCAAGCTGTGTCATAGATGACGAATGTAAACCAGACATGGCAGGAATTATAATGGAGAAAATGCCAGAGGAGGGACAAAGAGGGAGGCAGCTGCCTCCTCCCATGCCAAGGCTGGCAGTGACCTCTGTAGAGGTCAGCTGAAGGACTTGGTTAAGGAAACTCTCCCTTCTTGACAAAGGTCTCGCAGGCTTCCCTGGCTTCTGTTTAGAAAAAAGCCTGCTCAGGGAGTCCAGGCACGGTGTTAGGAGCTGATAGAAAGATCTGGATCTTTTATGCTAGGCTTGGGGTTAAAAGAAATGGGAAACTGCCAGCTAGTGTGGCACAGAGGATTCTCTGTTACTTGCAGTTAGGACCACAGCCCCACATCCTTGACTTAGAACCTCTGAAGGAGAGAGAATAATGCTCTGAAAATCAGATGCTGGGGAAAACCAGTTCCTCCCACAGACCTCATCCATGGGGGCTCTCTGGAAGTGATACTCCAGTCTGCTTTGCTCAGAAGCAAGCAAAGCCTTTTGTCTGCATGGACCCCACAGTAAACACATCGACAAGGCAGCACTCCTAAAAAGCCCAGTCCAGGAGAAGTCCCCCTCCTCCAGGCTGACACAAGGCCTGGCAAACAGAGCCAGGGCTGAATTACTGCCTCCACTGGCCCACCCGTCTCCCTGAGGGCCCATGTTCAGGGCATGAGATGCGTAACAGTTTTGATAGAAGCCTTGATCTGGAAGTCACTTGTCCTTGCAAAGGTGTTTGAAGTTTTACCTGCATGCTGGAGGGAAGGATTGAGGGTAGATGCAGCAAAGGAAAGGAAATGTCACAGGCACAGCCTTCTGTTCCCCACCTACACCAGGCAGAAGAAGGAGCAGGAGGCACTTACTTCCGCTGGGTTTCCCCAGACTTCACCCGGATGCGCCTGATATTCAGCTCCCGTCCGGGGTTGCGGGGTTGAGACAGGTAGCTGCGAAACTCCTTCCACAGGTTGTACCAAGACTGAGAGGCCCCCTCCCAGGTGAGCTGGATCTTCAAGAGGTCTCCCAAGTCCTCCTCGGTGTAGACCAGGAAGGTGTTGGTGGCATTCTGCTCGATCCGCTCCACTCTACAAGTGGGAGAGAAGCTGATCTCACTCCCCTAACAGCTGGAAAACTGCCACACTGTGTGGGGTGACACAGTGGCAGTAACAACCCCACACAGACAGGAGAGAGACAGTGTGAGTGCTTTCCCCACCTCTATCCCTCTACTTCCTATCAACAGGACCAAGATGGAAGCTCAGGTGTACTCCATATGGGCCAAACTAACTTTGCCCTCAGCACCCCAGCTTCTTATCAAAACGATTCCTGGGCACCCCCTCCACCCCACTTATGCTACTTCCTGAAAAGACAGAACCAAGAAAGAACACAATAAGAAAACACAAAGAAGTCACATCCCCACTCAAGTGCGCTGTTCCGCTCAGCCTTAGAACCTCTGAAGGAAAGAGTTAATGATGCTCTGAAAATCAGATGCTGGGGAAAACCAGCTCCCCCCACAGACCTCATCCATCCCACAGACAGGCATCTGTCTCCCCCAAACTCCTAGCCTCTTCCTGTCTGTCCCTCTCATTTGGCTTGGCCTCATCTGCCTTGCCCTACCTGTGTGTAAGTGTGCACGTGCGTGTACAAACCTGGTCTCCCAGCTAGACTGTGAGCCCTGAGAAGTGAGCTACTTTGATGATGTTTCATCACAATCCCAACATTACTTGGCATGATGCTTTGTCCCTGGTGGATACTCAACAAACATATACAGATCGCTATGCACCCCTCCCATAGCCACATCATTAGGAGAGGTCCAGGGATGACGTTTACGAAGTTACAGATTGCCTGAAGCATCGTCAGGCATTGCCTGAAATGAAACAGCAGTTTCTGCCCAGCTGATCCAGCTGCTGACCCAGCAGCTTCTCATGATGCCGATTCATCCCAGGAACTTTTCTCCCCGAAACGCTGAGTCAGGGCTTGGTAGAGAAGGTGCAGTGGGAGAGAGGACTGCAGAGGCCAGCTAGACCACCTGGCTCCTCCCTGAGCAGTCGGACTGCACTCTCCTGCGTGCTGTACTCGTTCACACGCTCCCTTGTGCTCTCTCATTCTCAAACCAACCTGTTCTCTGTCCCGAACCCAGCAAGGGAAACGGATGACTTACATTTCCAGTGGCAGAGTCTGGGAATCTGCATTAGTGCCATAAAGGGTGACGTAAAAGGTGGGCTCAATTTCTCCCATGTTCTTGTAACTGAAGACATGGATTTTCATCTGATAATGGTAAACTGCAGTGACAGCAGAACAAAGATGCTTGTAACCCTTGCTTGTCATCACAGGAGACCCCTGACCCAAACTGAGTCACCAGCACAGAGATTTTAGGGCTGGTGTTCTTTTGGTTGAGCCCAGCCTGCAGCCCCCATCTGCTCTTGTTCTGTCCAATGCCATAAGAGGCCACTGCAGTATGGAAGGAGCCCTGCACTTGGGAGTTAGATCTTTTGAGGATTTTCACTTAGCTACTTTCTAACTACGTGCCCCTGGATTAAGGACCAAGGTATTAACCTCTCTGAGCCTCAACTTCCTCATATGTAAAATAATACCCACAGTACCCAGAAAACCTTGTGATTTTACAGCACATTATAAAAATGTAACATGTCATTTTGGTCCCCTGTTCATCTGCCTCAGGTTTCTTGTGATGATCAAATGAGAAAACAAATATGAAACAGCTTTGAAAGTTAAATGCAAGATAGAAATTTAAGATATTGATATTGTGATCATGGACTGATAGCCACATCACAAAAGGGGTCCACACTGTTTATTTTGTAAAGATTCCCTTTCCTAGGACATGCACAGTGTAATCTGATTTGCAACGATTTGATTGGATTGTGCTGGCCACTTCTCCTGGGCTAGGATGTGCCCTGCTCTGCAGCATGGTATTAAGAAGGAGGTATTAAGGGCCTTCCTCAGGGACACTCCAGGGACTGAAGGTTACCTCTGAAAGGCATGCCTGCCCGGGTTTTTAGGTACATTTTGCTGTTCCTCTTGTTCCTCATTTTCTTGGCATTGTAGCCAATGCTATTACAACGGTTCTTGCGGCAGCTCAGACAGATCCCCTTTTTGAAGCGATTGGAGTCAGTGCACTGGAAGGCAAAACTCGGCTTGTCCTGATTCACCAGAGAGTCAACAAAGAGGTGGACGGCTCGCTCATGCTCACATTTTACCACCTCTGTGATTGCTGGGGGTGGGAGAGATAAAAAGCATGCAGGATGAGCCCTTCTTGATGATTAGACACTCAAATAATAAATACTGTACTCCTCAACAGTGATAGCTGTTTATTGTTGCTGTTAGTATTTTCATGTAATTCTTTTGCTTGTTTATTTGTGTTGAGACAAGGTCTCACTCTTGCCCAGGTTAGAGTGCAGTGGGACAATCACGACCCCCCGCTCACAGCAGCCTCAACTTCCGAGATTCAGGTGATCCTCTCACCTCAGCCTCC
The DNA here is from genome assembly GCF_000001405.40 of Homo sapiens. NCBI lineage: Eukaryota > Metazoa > Chordata > Mammalia > Primates > Hominidae > Homo > Homo sapiens. The sequence goes on along the minus strand of NC_000018.10, from coordinate 49,581,153 downwards.
CCAGTATCTGGGACGACAGGCACATGACCACCACACCTGGCTAATTTTTGTAGTTTTTGTAGATACAGGGTTTCACCACATTGCCCAGGCTGGTCTTGAACTCCTGGGTTCAAGCAATCTTCCCACCTTCGCCTCCTAAAGTGCTGGGATTACAGATGTGAGCCGCTGCACCCGACCTGTGTAATGCTTCATTAATGTCCAGCAAGGTGCTAGGTTCCCATTAAGATGTAGAGGAATTTAAGGCCATTCATGCTGCCTAACTGTTCACTCTCTTGATGGGAAGACAGCACGAATACACACAAAGCAATAAAGAGCAAGAACGCCCATATAATAAGTGCTAAGTAGGGTGATGCAGACCAGCTGTGCAGCAGGAGTCACTACCTCCTAATAGGGCTATACAGCCACAGAATGCTGCAAATGGATCAGATCCTAAACATCATCTCACGCAGGGCTCAGCAAAATATGGCTTGCAGGTTTGCTACCTCTTTTTTTTTTCTTTGCTTTGTTTTGTTTTTGTTTTATAGACAGTGTCTCATTATGTTGCCTGGGCTGGCCTCAAACTCCTGGGCTCAAGTGATCCTCACCTGGGCCCAAGCAGTCCTCCTGCCTCAGCCTCCCAAATAGGTGGGACTACAGGTGCACCACACCATGCCTGCTGGCCACCTGTTTTTGTAAATAAAGTTTTATTGGAACAGTCACCCTCATTTGTTTATATATTGTCATGGCTACTTTCATGCTACATCAGCAGAGTTGGAACAGAGGCAATACGGCCCACAAAACCTAAAACATTTACTAGCTGATGCTTTAAGAAGATGTTTGACAACCTCATTCTAGTCTAATCCCTTCAATTAAAGATTATGACCCAAAGGTCCATAGGGGTGAGGTAATCTGCTCAGGGTCATAGAGACAGTTGGTTACAAAGTTAGGCATACAATTTGGATTTTCTGGCCCAAATAATTTCTGGGATCTTACAAAAAATTTGGCATAACCAACCCCAACCCTGCCTCATTGGCACCAGCAGCCTTAAGAAATGCTATCATCCAGCCGGGCAGTGGCTCACACCTGTAATCCCAGCACTTTGGGAGGCCAAGGTGGGTGGATCACCTGAGGACAGGAGTTTGAGACCAGCCTGGCCAAAATGGAGAAACTCCACCTCTACTAAAAATACAAAAAATTAACTGTACATGGTGGTAAGCACCTGTAGTCCCTGCTACTTGGGAGGCTGAAGCAGGAGAATCACTTGAACCTGGAAGTGGAGGTTGCGGTGAGCAGAGATCACACCATTGCACTCCAGCCTGGGGAACAAGAGTGAAACTCCATCAAAAGTAAAGTAAAGAAAAGAAAAGAAAAGAAAAGAAAAGAAAAGAAAAGAAAAGAAAAGAAAAGAAAGGAAAGGAAAGGAAAGGAAAGAAAGGCCATCATCCTATATTCTGAGGAGGGAGTAAAATCCCCTTGCATGGACCTCCAAACCCTGCAGAGCTACTTGGATTAAACCGGGAGAGGGAAAGACTGAGCATCAGGGCAGGACATGTGGAGGGCACAGCATCAGAGTGGAGAGAGCTGCCTGGGGTCAAGACAGGAAATGCTGTCAGCAGCCAAGGCAGTAAAAGGATAAGAAACCCCCCCAAAATTGGTCACTGCCCTACACCTCAGTTTTAGCAGCAAATTCAGTTCAGCCCAAATCTGCTGAGAATAAGCTCAAGCATTCAGAAGATAAATTTTGGAGCCAGGTATGGTGGTTTGCGCCTGTAATCTCAGGCTGAGGCAGGAGGATCATTTGTTTCCAACCTGGGAAACATAGTGAGGAAGAAGGAGAAGAAGAAGAAAAATGTTAAGTGAATGGAAAAAACTTAAGTGAAATGGTTTTGCTTCTTTAAAATGTTACCAAAAATTAAAATAGAGTGTATCCGGTGAGCCCTCTCCCTCTCCCTCTCCCTCTCCCTCTCCCTCTCCCTCTCCCTCTCCCTCTCCCTCTCCCTCTCCCTCTCCCTCTCCCTCTCCCTCTCCCTCTCCCTCTCCCTCTCCCTCTCCCTCTCCCTCTCCCTCTCCCTCTCCCTCTCCCTCTCCCTCTCCCTCTCCCTCTCCCTCTCCCTCTCCCTCTCCCTCTCCCTCTCCCTCTCCCTCTCCCTCTCCCTCTCCCTCTCCCTCTCCCCACGGTCTCCCTCTCATGTGGAGCCGAAGCTGGACTGTACTGCTGCCATCTCGGCTCACTGCAACCTCCCTGCCTGATTCTCCTGCCTCAGCCTGCCGAGTGCCTGCGATTGCAGGCACGCGCCACCACGCCTGACTGGTTTTGGTGGAGACGGGGTTTCGCTGTGTTGGCCGGGCCGGTCTCCAGCCCCTAACCGCGAGTGATCCGCCAGCCTTGGCCTCCCGAGGTGCCGGGATTGCAGACGGAGTCTCCTTCACTCAGTGCTCAATGGTGCCCAGGCTGGAGTGCAGTGGCGTGATCTCGGCTCACTACAACCTACACCTCCCAGCCGCCTGCCTTGGCCTCCCAAAGTGCCGAGATTGCAGCCTCTGCCCGGCCGCCACCCCATCTGGGAAGTGAGGAGTGTCTCCGCCTGGCCGCCCATCGTCTGGGATGTGAGGAGCCCCTCTGCCTGGCTGCCCAGTCTGGAAAGTGAGGAGCGTCTCCGCCCGGCCGCCATCCCATCTAGGAAGTGAGGAGCGCCTCTTCCCAGCCGCCATCACATCTAGGAAGTGAGGAGCGTCTCTGCCCGGCCGCCCATCGTCTGAGATGTGGGGAGCGCCTCTGCCCCGCCGCCCCATCTGGGATGTGAGGAGCGCCTCTGCCCGGCCGAGACCCCGTCTGGGAGGTGAGGAGCGTCTCTGCCCGGCTGCCCCGTCTGAGAAGTGAGGAGACCCTCTGCCTGGCAACCACCCCGTCTGAGAAGTGAGGAGCCCCTCCGCCCGGCAGCCGCCCCGTCTGAGAAGTGAGGAGCCTCTCCGCCCGGCAGCCACCCCATCTGGGAGGTGAGGAGCGTCTCCGCCCAGCAGCCACCCCGTCCGGGAGGGAGGTGGGGGGGGGTCAGCCCCCCGCCCGGCCAGCCGCCCCATCCGGGAGGGAGGTGGGGGGCCAGCCCCCCCGCCCGGCCAGCCGTGCCATCCGGGAGGGAGGTGGGGGGGTCAGCCCCCCGCCTGGCCAGCCGTGCCGTCCGGGAGGGAGGTGGGGGGGTCAGCCCCCTGCCCGGCCAGCCGCCCCGTCCAGGAGGTGAGGGGCGCCTCTGCCCGCCCACCCCTACTGGGAAGTGAGGAGCCCCTCAGCCCGGCCAGCCACCCCGTCTGGGAGGGAGATGGGGGGGTCAGCCCCCCCACCCGGCCAGCCGCCCCGTCCGGGAGGGAGGTGGGGGGGTCAGCCCCCCGCCTGGCCAGCCGCCCCATCCGGGAGGGAGGTGGGGGGGTCAGCCCCCCCGCCCGGCCAGCCGTGCCATCCGGGAGGGAGGTTGGGGGGTCAGCCCCCCGCCTGGCCAGCCGTGCCGTCCGGGAGGGAGGTGGGGGGGTCAGCCCCCTGCCCGGCCAGCCGCCCCGTCCGGGAGGTGAGGGGTGCCTCTGCCCGGCCGCCCCTACTGGGAAGTGAGGAGCCCCTCTGCCCGGCCACCACCCCGTCTGGGAGGTGTGCCCAGCAGCTCATTGAGAACGGGCCAGGATGACAATGGCGGCTTTGTGGAATAGAAAGGCGGGAAAGGTGGGGAAAAGATTGAGAAATCGGATGGTTGCCGTGTCTGTGTAGAAAGAAGTAGACATGGGAGACTTTTCATTTTGTTCTGCACTAAGAAAGATTCTTCTGCCTTGGGATCCTGTTGATCTGTGACCTTACCCCCAACCCTGTGCTCTCTGAAACATGTGCTGTGTCCACTCAGGGTTAAATGGATTAAGGGCGGTGCAAGATGTGCTTTGTTAAACAGATGCTTGAAGGCAGCATGCTCGTTAAGAGTCATCACCAATCCCTAATCTCAAGTAATCAGGGACACAAACACTGCGGAAGGCCACAGGGTCCTCTGCCTAGGAAAACCAGAGACCTTTGTTCACTTGTTTATCTGCTGACCTTCCCTCCACTATTGTCCCATGACCCTGCCAAATCCCCCTCTGTGAGAAACACCCAAGAATTATCAATAAAAAAAAAATAAATAAATAAAAAATAAAATAAAATAGAGTGTATCCATGCTATGGAATATTACACAGCCTGTAAAAATAATGTTAGTAAATCTGTGTGCTCTGATATTTAAGAATATCCATAACAGCAAGATGCAGTGGCACATGTCTGTAGTCTCAGCTATTTGGGAGGCTGAGGCAGGGGGATAGCTTGAGCCCAGGAGTTCAAGGCTGTAGTAAGCTGTGAATAGCCACTGCACTCCAGCTTGGGCAACATAGCAAGCTTCTGGCTGGGTGCAGTGGCTCACACCTGTAATCCCAGCACTTTGGGAGGCCGAGGCAGATGGATCACCTGAGGTCAGGAGTTTGAGACCAGCCTGGCTAACATGGTGAAACCCCATCTCTACTAAAAATACAAAAAATTAGCCGGGGATGGCATGGTGGTGGGGGCCTGTAATCCCAGCTACTGGGGCTGAGACAGGAGAATTGCTTGAATCTGGGAGGCAGAAGTTGTAGTGAGCTGAGATCGCACTACTGAACTCCAGCCTGGGCAACAACAGCAAAACTCCGTCTCAAAAAAAAAAAAAAAAAAAAAAAAAAAGCAAGATTCTGTCTTTTAAAAAAAGAAAAGAAAAAGAATATCCATAATATATTATTACAGGAAAAAAAAGAAAGTTGAAAAAAATTAAAATAAAAATAAAGTTGCAGAACAATGTGATTTGGGGGAAAAATATGCATGCAAATAATTTGCAAAGAAAAAAGACTAGAAGGATACACACAAAAGCATTCATACTGGCTACATCTGAAGAGTGGAAGTAGGGGTGGGAGTGGGAGCGCACTTTTGCTTTATTCAAGTCTATAATGCTTGATTTCTTGTTCAACAAATGTGTGTATTCCTTTTGTCATAAAAAGAAATTAATCAGCCGGGTGCGGTGGCTCACACCTGTAATCTCAGCACTTTGGGAGGCCGAGGCAGGTGGATTACTTGAGGTCAAGAGTTTAAAACCAGCCTGGCCAACATGGTGAAAACCCATCTCTACTAAAGATACAAAATTAGCCAGGCATGGTGGCACGTGCCTGTAGTCCCAGCTACTCAGGAGGCTGAGTCAGGAGAATCGCTTGAACCAGGGAGGTGGAGGTTGCAGTGAGCCGAGATTGCACCATTGCACTCTAACCTGGGCAACAAGAGCAAAACTCCCTCTCAAAAAAAAAAAAAAGAAAGAAAAAGAAAAGAAAAGAAATTAATCAATAACAACTGTGACCTTAAAGCGTGAGAAAGCAAAGCAGGAACCACTGGGTTGGTTAGTCTTGGGGAACAATGAGAAATATTAAATACAGCATTGGAGGCCTCTGTGGTGGGAGGTGAGAATAATGAATAAATAGTGCCTGCAGTGCTAAAGGCTCTGGCTGATTTAGAAGGAGATGGAATAAACTGAGTCAAACACAAAGCAGAAAAGAGGGAACTCACTTCCATATGCAATTGATCCCAAGACATCGTTGAGTCCACAGCCTGGCTGGAAGTCACCCCCATTGGGGTAGATGTCAATGTGGCCCACAGGCATCTGAATACCAATGCTCAAGCCGAAGGAACGCGTGTAGGTGTGGAGGACATCCACAAAATCTGCATCGTCCGGAGAGAGCCTCTTGTGGATGTCGGCCCCTTCAAACATGGGCCCGGCAGGATCCAAACCTGCAGCAGAAGGAGGCCCCAAAACAGCTGTGGTGTCAGGTGCACCTGGTCAGTGAGTCCTGATTACAAGTTAAGTCTGAGTGTGCAGAATGAAGATGACTTCTGAGACCAGCTGGGAGAATCAAGACATGGAAAGCATGGAAGAAAATAAGAAACCCATTTCCATATGCAGTTGACCCCAAGACATCATTGCAGAAATTAAATCCTACTGTTATGGAATTTATACTTTCTTCTGAAGCCTTCATGTATCCCGTCACCTCAGCCAAACCCCGTCAACTAGCCACAAGTTTCGCTGCCACACAGCTCCAAGGAACTGCTCCTGTTAAAACTGAAGCAGTTCTAGAAAGAACTCAGACTGCCTGAAACTAAGCCATTTGTCCCATTCATTCTGCCACTGAGCATCTTTCATGTCCTTAATTGTAGCAGAATTTTTACAGAATAACTAAGCTGCCTACATCCTTCTGGAAGGAGAATCCAGTCTCCCCAAACGGAGCTATTTGTATCTGAATTTATTCTTCTTCCTTTAATCAGGCCCAGGGGTGGAATGGTGAGAGAGAAGAGGACACCCAATACACTGAGAATCCATACATCAGGCCTCCAGAATTCCTCTATTTTGCAGCCACCGTGAGAAAACCTTTCCGCCTCCAAACATTTTGTGTTGAGCAGGCAAGCAGCACTGTTGAGAGCACTGGTTCTCATATTTGAAATTGGGAGCTTGTTAAATTTAAATTCCACCATACAGCTACAAAAAAATCTGGAAGGACACACAAGCAACTAGTTACCTGTATGCGTGTGCGTTGGGGGAGAGAGTGGGTAAGGGAAACGGACAGGTAGCAGAGCAGTAAGAGAGACTTTCACCATCTTTTGATTTGAAAACTGCATTAATGTAAAACCATTCCAAAAGAGAACTTGCAAAGTATAAAATGCAGATTCCCAAGTGCCTGAACTCCTAGTGGGTAGATATGAATTATGGCACATAGAAATAGATATTTATTCCCCGGATGATCCTAAAAGTAGGTATTCTGTGGGCCAAATATTGAAAAACTTCCCTGTGTTTCATTATCATTTATAAAATGGAACCTGAATTTATACCTTAATTCAAAGTCCACGTGAGATCTTAAGAGACTGAGTGCCTGTCAGTATTAGCTACTATTACCAAGCCCAAGTGATTATGGGAACCAGATTTATCCCAACCAGAACAGCTCTTTGCCCCACAGACACACAGGAAGGACCTGGAGAAAGTTAAGGGATGAAATGTGCCAGGAAGGAAGGGCCGCTGGAACAGTGGTTCACCACTACAAGTGGCTTTGCCCCCCAGGGGACATCTGGAAATTCCTGGAGACCTTTTTATTGCCCCCATTCTGATGGAGAGAGTTGCTAGCATCTAGCAGGGCCAGGCCAGGAATACAGCTAAACATTCTACAGTGCACAAGTCAATCCCAACACACACACACCCCACACCAAAACCTTACCTGGCCCCAAATGTCAATATTGCCTAGGCTGAGAAAACCTGGCCTCGAAACACCAAGGCTGGGAGGAGATGTGACCAACAAGAGTCCTGAAAGGAGGACATGGTTAACGACCGTGTTCACCAGACCACAGCACATTAGAACCAGGGAGCCTATCAGGAGACTTGAGATGGTAGTTTCAGGATAAACAAGAGGCAGAGCTACCGTCTAGAGTGGACGGTCAACTTGCAGAACTCATTACTCATATGAGAACTGGTAGAGGCTGAAACGCTAAATAGTTTCCAAAAATTTAGATAACTTTTTTTTCTTTTTTTTTTTTTGAGTTGGAATCTTGCTCTGTCACCCAGGCTGGAGTGCAGTGGCACGATCTCGGCTCACTGCAGCCTCCGCCTCCTGGGTTCAAGCGATTCTCCTGCCTCAGCCTCCTGAGTAGCTGGGATTACAGGCATAAGCCACTGCACCCAGCCAAATTTAGATAACTTTATGTGCAACCAAGACAGAAAGGGAGCCCAGGCTGCTTGAGAGTTTATCCCTAGCCCAGGACCCAAAAGAAAGATGGCACAAAAGCAGTGTGCTCCCAGAACAGCCCACGACAACCCATTTCAGAGGCCGCAAGGACCGCAGTACTGACACAGCGGCCTCTCCCTGCCTCTCACCATGTCCCCTGGAGGAAAGAGAAAGAGAGCAACATTCTGCTTTGCAATCAATACAAGAGAGAGGCTCTTTACTTGGTGTGAACAAAGGTCCCCACCAGACGGTCAGTGCCATGGAAACCAGGCTGTGCTGGAGGAATGCAGGCAGCTGATGGGGTTTCACAGGCTGGCTGGCAGGCAAGGCTGGGCCTTCACCTACCCAGCCAGAGCCTGCCTGCCCTGCTCTGACTGTCCCTGACACATATCTGTGGCCCACAGATTCAGGGGTACAGTGGCACATTTAACTTTTTTAACTAGGGATGAATGACAGGGAGAACTGCCTCCTTAAATAAAGAGGAGATAGAGAACCTCCGCCGCTTCTTCCATTCAGTCATAGACTCCTCCAAAGTTGCTTTGTCCAGCAAATGGAGCACACACACATGCACACATGTAAAACTTCCAGGGCTGTGCATTCTGGCCCGGCAGGGCAGGGCCTGCTGTAGTTCAACGGCTACTTTTTTTTTTTTTTTTTTTTTTAAGACAGGGTCTCACTCTGTTGCCCAGGCTGGAGTGCAGTGGCCCAGTCTCGGCTCTCTGCAACCTCCACCTCCTGGGCTCAGGTGATTCTCCCACCTCAGCATCCCGAGTAGCTAGGATTACAGGCATGCACTACCATGCCTGGCTACTTTATCTCTGTCCACAGAAGAGAGGCAGCATGGCACAGCAGTGAGGTGCATGGGATCTGGAATCTGACAGCATGGGTTTGAGTCCCAGCTCTGCTACTTATAGGGCCCAGGATATTGGGCCCTTTACTTAATCACTGAGTCCTAGTTTCCCCCTCCGTAGAATGTTCAGGGTTGCTATGTGGTTCAGAGATAGCATAGAGTAGCTGTCATATATGAGGTGTTTTTTGTTTGTTTGTTTTTTATTTTTTATTTTTTATTTTTGAGACAGAGTCTCACTCTTGTCACCCAGCCTGGAGTGCAGTGGCGCAATCTCAGCCCACTGCAACCTCCGCATCCTGGGTTCAAGAGATTCTCCTGCTTCAGCCTCCTGAGTAGCTGGGATTACAGGCACCCACCACCATGCCCGGCTAATTTTTGTACTTTTAGTAGACATGGGGTTTCATCATGTTGGCCAGGCTGGTCTTGAACTCCTGACCTCAGGTGATCCACCCACCTCGGCCTCCCAAAGTGCTGGGGTTACAGGCGTGAGCCACTGCGCCCGGCCACGCCCGGCCACACATGAGGTATTTGACATTAGCTAGCATCTAGCCTGCACATATGGACACATTTCTTGAATAAATTCATCTGCTTGCTTACCTGATTATAGCAAACAAGGCACAGGTTCAACTATAAATATATGACCTCTTTCCTAGTATCACAGGCTTCTCTCAGAAGCCTAAGAAAGTAAAACTCTAGCAAACCCCCATCCACACCCTCTGGTCCAAGCAAGATTGGGGTTCAGATATACCCTTGCAAGGCCCAGGCTAAGGACTGCCTGGTGGCCTTAGCATAGTGGCATCACTGGACGCAGGACCCCATGCAAGTCTCAATCTGTCCTCTTACCAGTTGCGATCACCTTGTCCACAGGTCCATGAGAAGTCTACCAAGGGGAAAGGAGAGGACGCAGCCTCCCCCATCAGACATACACAACAGCGTGTGTCAGGGGTGCTGCTTGGCAACTGGACAGAGGCCAGGCCCCTTCTCTACAGAGAAAGGCCAGAGGGAAGGGACCATGCTCAGGGCATGTGGGCATCATGCTCCATGCAAACATCCCAGAGCACTAATTAGCATTCTGCCTGGCTCTCCTGCCACCCTCAGGAGAAAAGCCCTCACCCCAGCAGATGCCACTCAAACAGGCAGGGGGAAAGAACTGGAAAGTTCCCTCCCTAGCCCCATCTCATTTCAGATTTAGAAATAGAGAAAGGCAAGATGTGCAGTTTGTCATCGTTACTGACATTCTGGGCCTGGACTGTGGTGTGTGCTACAATTTGAACTCAGGTGCCTGGATCTGAAACATCACACCTCTCATTCAGGGGCTAGGAAGAGGCGCTCAGACAATGGAACCCGAGTGGCTTCCAGTCAAACTGCTTTGCACCAGCAAGGGGTTAATGAGCAGTCATGGGTGGCCACACAATCATAGCCCGCTTTGGGCAGCTCAAGCCCCACAGTCTTGGAAATCAAAAATAAAGCTCTCAAGCTGGGATGAATCAAGTCATTGGATCAACAGGCATGTGTGTGCATGCATGCTCATGTGTGTGCACGCACATACTAGACTCAAGCCCAGGGACAGGATTCAGGAGAGCCAGGAAAACTTCACAAATATTCTTTTTAAAATTCTACCATATCAGCTTGTCACTGAAATCTGAAATTCTACCTTTACCAAATCGTTATTTAGCTAAGGACTCTCTTCTACCTGAGTTTTGTTTTGTTTTTTGAGACGGAGTCTTGCTCTGTCACCCAGGCTGGAGTGCAGTGGCACAATCTCGGCTCACTGCAACCTCTACCTCCTTGGTTCAAGCGATTCTCCTGCCTCAGCCTCCCAAGTAGCTGGGATTACAGGCACCCGCCACCACAGCTGGCTAATTTTTGTATTTTTAGTAGAGACAGTGTTTCATCATGTTGGCCAGGCTGGTCTTGAACTCCTGACCTCGTGATCCACCCACCTCGGCCTCCCAAAGTGCTGGGATTATAGGTGTGAGCCACCACACCCAGCCTGAGTTTTGTTTTAAAATGAAAACACTGCAGGGAAAGGAATTGTTCAGATCTATCCTTCTAGGTGATCACCCTTAGAATCTTGGGAGTAAGGGGGAAGCTAGGGGTAATTTTAAATAAAATAATGCTGGAAGAAGGATAGAAGTTCAGGGCAACAAATTTACCATTAATTGTAGCATAGAGGAATCTCTGTGTATATACTTGAGGGGCCCAAAAATGAGAAAGAAAACCTTTTACACTTTTCACAATCATTAAATGATTTAATCCAAACTCTCATGTTAAAAGCTCACTAAGATGCAGTTTTCAACATGGAAAATTCAATTTTCTGTTGACCCCCTGGGGACCAATATCAGAAAGGTTCCTTTTATTACAAAGTTGAACCACCCTTTCCAAATTGGTAGCTCTCATTCATAAATATGCTACCTTAACATGGGAAAGAGGCTATTGGGAGACAAGATAGAAATCAGAGGCAGAATTCAAACTAAAATCTACTATTCATTCTTTTCCCCTGAGTCCTTGGGTGGAGACCTGAAGGGAACACCCAAAAGCTTTGGGGCCAGGGCTCTATCCAGCTTCCGCTCTTGAGTTATTAGCTGTTTGCCCCTGGGCAAGTTGTCTCACCTCTCCGTGTTTGTTTCCTCACCTATTGGACCAGGCCTATGGTTTTCAAACTGTGTTCCCTGGTGCTCTGAGACTCTGAGATGCCTATAGGGAAGGGGAACGCCCACACTGGCAAGGCTAACACAAGCCGCCATATACCCACCCCACTTCACCCACAGCACCCCCCTTTCTGTGTCTCATATACTGCGGGCCTATGCGAGTTCAATTTGGAAAAAAAAAAAAAAGTTTCTTGTGACTAAAAACGCTTGGGAAGTTTTGAATTAGATGCTTTCCAGGTTCCTTCCAAAGCTAACTTTCTATGACTCACTCTGCTGCCTCATTTGGGAGCATTCCGGCTTAGCGCAGCTGAGGGAGCCCTTTAGTGATGGAAGTGGAGCTCACCTGTGATTCGGCCCACCGTTCCTTTCACGAAGTTGCCTGCATACCCGGCCACGTGCGCTCCGAGGCTGTAGCCGATCAAGTGGACATTCCCGAGAGAAAAATCGTCCTTCTCCTATAGAAAGTCACCAAAGTATGTGAGCAGAAGAGCAGGGTCCAGAGCCCCCAGAATCACCAGCAGTTCAACAACTCAGTCACGGAGCAGGAGGAGATGCAGGGGCCGTGGGCACAGAGACTCCCCAGGGCCCCACTGGCTTTGCTGGTGATGCTACATGTGTGGGTCACAGCCAGCTTAGGGGAGGCCAAAAGGACTTGGTGGCACTGCAAATGCCAAGTGTGGGGACAGGGTGGAGGGTATGACTGGAGGCTGCATATGTGGCTGTTCCCTACACATTTCCTGTTCTTTCTGGCAGTATCTAAGAGAGGGGAGGGTGATGGTGAGGAGGTCAAAGCTGCCGTACTCACTGGAGACTGCAGTGCCAACCACAGCCCTCAGCAGAATGCCCTCTGCCTGCCCTCTAAGGCCTGACCTCCACCCAGCCCCAGGAGCTGCCAACCTCCTCCTCACAAGCCCATGTGGGACCCCAGACTTGACGCATTGTCCCCTGTCAGAGCACTCATCTGGGGGGTAAGGAGGTAACCCCATGGCTCGGAAACCAAACTCTATAGAAGAGCTTAGGTAGAGGACAGAGGGACTGCTCGAGAATCCTGACCAGAATTCTGCCAGAATTCATCCCATTCCATGGGAACAAGGAAGGCCAGGCCGGAATTGCCCAGATAATGGTGCCGCTTTGACAGTGTACCCTGCCCTGCCTTCTCCCAGCTAAATCCACTGATCTCAGGCAGATTATTAACCTATTAAAAGTAAATAGGCTGGGTGCGGTGGCTCACGTCTCTAATCCCAGCACTTTGGGAGGCCGAGGCAGGCAGATCACCTGAGGTCAGGAGTTAGAAACTAGTCTGGCCAACATGGTGAAACCCCATCTCTACTAAAAATACAAAAATTAATTGGGCATGGTGGCTCACACCTGTAAAACCAGCTACTTGGGAGTCTAAGGCAGGAGAATTGCTTGAACCCAGGAGGTAGAGGTTGCAGTGAGCCAAGATCATGGCACTGCACTCCAGCCTGGGTGACAGCGAGACTCTGTCTCAAAAAAAAAAGTAAATATAAGACTTCAAGATCTGTTTTCCACACTTCATATTATAAAAGAGGTATCAGGCAGGCTGGGCACGGTGGCTCATGCCTGTAATCCCAGTACTTTGGGAGGCCTAGGCAGGCAGATCATGAGGTCAGGAGATCAAGACCATCCTGGCTAACACAGCGAAATCCCATCTCTACTAAAAATACAAAAAAATTAGCTGGGCATGGTGACACAGGCCTGTAGTTTCAGTTACTCGGGAGGCTGAGGCAGGAGAATCGCTTGAACCTGGGAGGTGGAGGTTGCAGTGAACCAAGATCACACCACTGTACTCCAGCCTGGGCAACAAAACAAGACTCCATCTCAAAGAAAAGAGATATTAGGCTGCATTTTTGAAATAACCCCCTCCCCACCCTCAGCACAGCCATGCTTCAGAGACAAGAGCAGTCTTTGTAGGAATTTCAGATCACAAGCCTGGCCTGGTTCCTGGCCATCCCCAACCAACCTAAGGGCATCTGTTTCTAAGATCAGGAAGAAACAACCCATAAGGCCAATTTTCAGCAAATTAAGTAACAGGAAAAATCCAGAGATCTATCAATAATTAAAAGGCTCTCAAAAAGTCCCAGCTTTCAAGTATTCCAAACAATACTTAATTCAATAAAACTTTTAATCTCAAAGATTTTTATCAGACTCCAGAAGTTCATGGCAACAGATGCATGACCTGCATTTCTTAAGAAGATTGGGTTTGAGATCCTGCTGGTGACAGGAGACTCCCTCTCATCCCCCAGTACCTGCAGCCAGTCGAGCATCCTGGCAATGCTGTGTCCCACCACCCTGGTATTATTGACCGCATCCGTGTAAAGCTGGTGGGCCAGGGGGAGCCAGTCAACCACAACTACATTGGCGTCTTTCTCTCTTGTGTGCAGGGCTGACACGAGTTTGTGCAGCCAGTTTTCAAAGATACCGCTCATCTGCAGAGAAAAGTGGAAGTTGTTTTTTATTCTTGGTTTCAGAAATCCTAAAAAATATGGAATTCCTTTCTATATGACCCTCTTCCCAATTAATTTTTTTTTTTTGACTCAGGGTCTCACTCTGTTGCCCAGGCTGGAGTGCACTGACAACAATCTCAGCTCATGATAGCCTCCAACTCCTGAGCTGAGGTGATCCTCCCACCTCAGCCTCCAGAGTGACTGGGTTACAGGCATATGCCACCATGCCTGGGTAATTTTTAAACTTTTTGCAGCAACAGGGTCTCACTATGTTGCCCAGGCTGGTCTTGAACTCCTGGGCTCAAGCGATCTTCCCACCTAGGCCTTCCAGAGTGCTGGGATTATAGGCGTGAGCCACCATGCCCAGTGCCCCCAGACAATTTTAGAATCTGCACATTGGCTGCTCAGGGACCAAACATTTGCACATGAGCAGGACCAGCACAGGCAGAATCACTACGCAGGTATTTGTCTTCCATTGCTCCTTACATCCCCAGTATTTCCCATCAAAACTTTCCTAGCTAATGTCCTATACTGTTGCCCCACTGTCTGTTAGGGCCACTATGAGATACGTGTTAAGGGTGATACTGGCATGAGGCTGGTCTGAGTCCCTGTTACAGGCAGGCAAGTGGCCTGGTCCATCCTTCAAAGGCAGCTAGGGAGGGTTGCCCTGGAAAATTGCTTCTCTCTTAGAGACGCAGGGAGATGCTGTCTCCTAGGTGAATGCAGAGTTAACAAATGACCCCTTCCCACAACCCATCTCTGCCATCCCTCTTGACCCCAGAGTAGGGAAAATCTGTCCCCGGAATCCCAAATTACAACTCAGAATGTATTTTTCCACAGAAACAAAGTTATAAATGGTGACTAGGTCCAGTTGTAAACCTATCCACAAGCACATTATCAAATAGATAGATTTTCTGTGCCTAGCCTGGGAACCCAAACACCATTTACAATCTTGCTTCTGTGGGAAACTGCTGTTCCAAGTTCCAAACAGATTACAAAAGAACTTTCTGGAATGCAACCTACTTGTAAGTCGCAGGCAGCTTGTATTTGCATTTTGACAGGGGGCCTTAAAAAGATTCACACATATGATTCTGATTGTAGGTTGTGTGATGAGCAGGGTTAGACAGGCTCTTAATCATCTCTTCATTCAACTAGGTAGGCAGGCACCTACCCTCTCCTGCCCCTGACCTCAACCATGGATGACAGATTTAAAGACCCCAAAAGCATGTAACAGATATGAATTTCTCATCATTAAGAGGAGGACTGTCCCCTTCCAATTAGCCCAGGCAGAAATCTGCTCACTTAATAGTGCCATTTCCCTACAGACTGTCATTATATGAATGAATAAATTCCTGGCTGGTCAAAAGCTTCTGAAGCTGAGCACTAAAGCCCTTTTTTGTTGAAGTTTGTCATGGGCTTTTCAATGTGAATTGCTCAGCTAGGGCACATAAAGAGCCCCAGTGCCTTTAAACGGGGCTATCTCTATGCAAACAGGAGGGCACTATGCCAAGGGCAGTCAGCAATCCAGGCCAGCTGGCTACTCATAGGTTCTCAGAGCCAGTCAAGTTGCTTTAGTTAAGCTCAGCTCTCACGGCAGGACAGCCCCCTCCAGGCAGTGGTTGACCAGCGTAATTAAGTGTAATTAGAGGGGTCCTTAAGAGCCAGTGGAGCTGGGCTGCTGCCCTCAGGAGAGCCACTTTCTGAAAGCCCGTTGTATGCCATCATTAATACCACCCTGCTGGAGTCCAGATTGCCCCTTAGTGAATGCCCGTTACATTCTTCACAGCTGTCTGAAATACAAGCAGCCCACAAGGAAAGGGGGGAAGAGGGTTTGGAATCTGGAAACACCAGAATTCTTTCTAATTGACCAAAACAAAGGGAATCAAATCTTATATAAAGCCGCAGAGCTCCCTCCCCGGGCTCACCGTCCATCCGTGAATGATGAAAAAGGTTTTAGCTGTCATGTTGAAACTGCAGTCTTCTAAGGGCTGGCTGTGGCCGACGGAGAGGTAGCATCCTTCATGCTCTGGGTCCTTGGAGGTGCGGAGGTTAAACCTCACAGATGGTTTGACCTCAGTCTGTGTAGCTTTGGGTTTGTGGAGCTTATCTGGGGAGACAGAACAGAGCGTGGGTGCATCTAGCAGACTTGCGGAGTGAGAGACCTGGGGTCTGATTCTAGTTCAATCGTGAGCAATTTGCTTAAGCCATCTGGGTTTCGGTTTTTACATCTGCTGAATGTTCCCTTTTCACCTCCCAGAAAAACTGTGAACATTTTATAAAAAAGGACATCTCATTTATACTTAAAGAGTATTAATTAGTCACTAGTATTAATTACTGTCACTCTGAAATAAATAGATCTCTCTCTTGCATTTCCCTCTTCTTTCCTATCAAAAGGAGTTCTACTTCCTTCCTACTTTTAGAGTACAGGTTCTCAGTTCTTTTTCTGAAATGCTTGGGACCAGGTGAGTTTCAGAATTTAGAAGTTTTCAGATTTTAGAAAGGCATCATGGAGCATACACCATATATTATATAATGCTGCCAGTGGGGCCTGGGCTATTCCCCCTGGATCAAACATCCTAATATTTCTGCAGAGAATACATAACCACTCACATTTGAGGGCAAATATAAAGATAACCAATAGCCTCCTGTTATCTCAGGCCAGGTTTTTGCTGCCAAATAAGTTCAGATCAGGTAAGGCCAGGTCTTGCTGCCAAACAAGTTACCAAACACATTTTCCAATTTTGAGAGTTTGTGGATTTTGGAATTGGAGGCAAGAGGCTGTTGACCTGCTGGAAAATAGGCTTCCCCTAGTGTTCCCATCTAGGGAAACTCAGGCATCCTCAGTGCCCTTTCTAGTGATGGCATGTGCCAGGCATTCATCTGGTTTGTTAAGTAAATGACTAAAGCCATGGAGAAACTCCTAAAAGCAACAAAAATCCCCCCTTCCAGCTTCACTGCTCATGCACAGTGCCACCTAGGAGACGGCCCTGCTCCCAAAGTGCAGCTCATGTCACTGATGGCCACTGTGGCTTAACACTAAGTAGGTGCTGTCATCATGACACCGTTTCAGAAAGTCATAAATGGACCCCACCCAGCACTCTTTCAGCCATCCTGGGATGCATCACTGGATAACTGGCTAGAAAGTGAGAGTATCAAACTCTCCTATCACCCAGCAGGGAAAGATGCCAAATGACCATCTTGGAGTTAATTTATCTCAGAGTTAAGAAGCAAAAGGAAGAAGATACCAAAAGGAAAGAGATATAGTGGTGGAGAGGGCGGAGGGGAAAGGAGGGAGAGAGGGGGAAGAATGCAGCAGATGTAAGAGGGATAAGGTTCCAGAAAATGCTGCTGAATGCACATGAGCGGAAGTCAGGTTAACCGTCATGAAAGTAATGAACAAAAGCCCCAACCAGCAGAAATTTGAACCACGGACATAATGAGTTCGACAACTCCCCACCTTCTACCCAGATAGCCACTCATGCAGAGGCCAGATGGGGAAACCTAGGAGAAAAGAAGTCTCCTGGATTCCTGAGACAGATCTGCGGATAAACCCACATATGGACAAAGACTCTTCCTCTTAGAGTCTGACCTGCTCTGACCCCAAAGTTCTCTAGGTACATTCCTACTACTTTTGGCCTGGGTCACTTCAGCCTCTGGGACTTTCTGATTGTTCCTCACCCAGATGTCCTCATGGCTCCTTCTCTCACCCCCTTCAGCTCTTTGCTCAATGGTCAACTTCTCCAGAAAGGCCTTCCCTGACCACATCATAAAATCGCACCACCTTCCCCCACCAACATGCCCCACCTTCCTCCTCTGCTTGATTTTTCTCCATAATACTGAGCACCACTGATACTTTAATCAGTGCACTGTCTGTCTTCCCACCACTGAAATGTAAGTGTCACAAGGGCACAGATTGCCATCTATTTTGTCCACTGCTCTCTCCCCTGCTCCCAGAATAGTGTCTGACACTAAGTAGGTATGCAGTAAATACTTTTTGCAATGAAGGAAATGACTCACACATACTCAGAGGCCCAGAACACAGAAGTTAGAAGGAACTTTAGCATTTTACAGGTGAGGAGCCAGAGATGAGACCTGCCCTAGGCAATGCTTCTAGTTAGCACCAGAGTTGGAAACATGTTGAGTAAAGCAAGGCTTTCCATTCATTCACAGTAACCCTCCCACACATACACAAGCCCACACAGACCATTTGGCACAACCTCAGCAGACTAGAAGATGAGATGATGGGGTTCAGTTTAGAGGCTCCCCAGCCCTCCACTGCTTATCAGCTGACTTAGTTCTCACTCTGATTCTGACTCCCCCAGAGCTGACTGACTCTGGCTCCCCCAGGGCAAGCTGCCTCCACTGGCAAAGGCTGCCATACAGAACCCAAGAGGAAGAGAAGCTAAAAGCCAGGAGGAGGAAAGGGAGGAGGAGTGGGAAGAGGAAGAGTCGGGGGAGCACAAGAGTGTTGAAGAGGAAAAGGCTGGCAACCTGGGGGAATAGGCCCGGCAGCTTCTAAGCACAAGCGACCCACCAGACGCTCCCTGCAAGCACGAATCAAACCAAAGCCAGCTACCCTGCCACCTGAACTTTCAAGACACCTACACCAAGATTAAAAGGCAGCTCCAGGAGACACAGCTCTGACAGCCTTCTTGCCTCTCAAACCTCCAGGTTCAGGCATGAGGACAAGGTTTCAGAGCTGCTGCCAGGCCGCTCGGCTGGCTGGACAGCACCAGCACTGGCTTAGGGAGCCGTATAAGGGAAGGAGGTGGGGGTGGGAGGGCTGGCAAGAGCCAGCGCACCCTGCCAGCCTTTGCCTTTTGCATGACTTGCCGGGAATGCCCCCATCAGACCAGCAGAGAGACAGGTGGACTCCAAGGTGGATTGGAGGAGAGAATGGGCAGCGCAGTGGGAAAGGAAGAATTTCATAGGAACAAGGAGGGTTTGAAGAATCAGCAAGACAGAGGGGACCCAGCACAGAGAAGTGGCTGGGGGGAATAAAAACAAATTCACGTTACCTTCCAGCCGTCCCTCTGGACCAAAAGGTACGGGGCTCCCCGCAGCAAAGCAATAGCAGAGGCTCCAGAAACAGAGCAGAGGAACGGAGTTGCTCATCCTGCCCCGCCACACCCCCTCCCAAGAAACAGAAGTTTTAAAAAACAAAAACCACCTCTTGGTGTTTCCAGCAATCCCGGCCGGTAAGACCCTTCTCTCGGCCAGGGGCTGGGGGACTGGAGGCAGAGAAGGTGGAAAATGAAAACTTGGCGGCACGGAGCCCGGGCGGTGGCAGGGAGCGAGTGTCAACGGCTTGCCCCAGAACGAGATCTGCCCTCGTCCTGAGCCGCCGGGAGGCAAGGACTCGCTGCTGTCACGCTCCTATAGAGGTAGTTTTTAAAAGTATGGGAGTCATCTGACCCATCGCCAGATGGTGATTTGCATAATTTATTCCCGTCTCTGGGCTCTGATTGGTCACACCTTGCTGACGCCGGAACCGAGACTGGAGAAAGTTTGAATGAAAGCGCTGCACACTCACCGCGTGGACGCCGCACGCTCGGCCCCGCTTCCTCCCGGGCCCGCTCCGCAGGCAGCTGCGACTCCAGCAGCTCCAGCTTTCTCCCACTGCCCTCCTCCGGACACCCAGATCCTCCTCTCCCCACTGCCATCCCAAGTGGCGGAGGCGGACATTTCCCTGAAACTCTGCGTCCGCTGGGGAGGCGATCCCTGGAGAAGGAGAGCATCCTCTCCAAGGCTCAAAGCCACACTCTCTCTGGGAGTGGTCTATCCGCTCCCTGGGCCGGGAGTCCGTCGGGGGAGAGCCACCTGGTCATCCCCTTTGTCCTCCTCTTCTCCCTCCCTTCCCGCCTAGCGAGGGCCGCAACAGGTGCAGAAGGCGCGGCCGCACAATAACCCGGCGGAGCTAAGGGGCTGTGAGCTGCGGCCGGCGCTGGAGGATCGCACAGTACCTGCTCGGAATGCTCGCTCCGCCACTAGCTGCAAAACTCCAAGCGAGCCAGCCAGCTTCTCCGAGGCGGTTCTCTCGTCCGCAATACGTGGGTGATAATGTATCGGCGGCTTAGGGATGTTGGGAAAACTAAGAGTTCACGTAGCAAAGCACTTAGCGAGGCGCGGAGCTCGTGGCAGGCGCTCTCCTACGGTGGGGTGGAGGGCTACGGGAACACCAGGCGACCTCCTCAAAGGGACCAGTGAGCCGAGATTTGGAGTCTAAGACGCGTGGCCAGAGCCCAGTGTCTGCCGATGAGCACTCACTCCTTGGCGAGTGAAATCAAGCATCTCCTTTCTCTCTGTTCTCCATCATTTCCTCCCGGCTCTCCTTCCCTTTATTGATCCGGGTCCTGCGGCAGAAAGCAGCGAGCGGAGGGAGAACTTGGCCCGGAGTCTGCGTCTGGCGCTGGGGAGCGGGGACTGAGCCCGGAACACCGACGGGGCGGCTGCGCCAACAACCACTGCGGACGCAGGGCGGGTACGAGAGGCTGAGAGGCTGCGTCCCGCCATCCAGCCTCGCTCCAGCCGGGAGGATCCGGCTCTTTAAGACGATACCCTTAACCCTGCAGTCGCCCGGAACAGGTCCTGCCCCTGCCTGGGGAGGGAAAACCCCCACAGCAGTCCCGCGCCCCTTCCTCCCTAGCGTCGAGGATCCAGCTGGAGAGACCTGTGCGAGGAAACCGAGCCGGAGCCAGCAGATCCTGTTCCGACCTCGCCTCATTACTTTTGTTACTCCAGCTGCCAGCAGAGCACGCTTTGTCCCTCCCGTGTGCTATCATTCATTAACAAGACTCAGGCGGGCTTTAGTTTTTTAGTATAGAACTCAATGGTCTGTGTGCGATGGTAAATATCACCCCCGGATATGTTGTTCCCACTCTGTCTCTCTCTTCATGAGGAAACTATACAGACATAGGTCTAATGTTATCTCCATTTTACAGATGGGAAAACTGAGTCATGGGGACAGGCTGCAGATTTGAAGAAAGTCTCAAGACAACCAGGTCTCTCTTCTCTGCTCTAGGTTCAATTTGGCCAATTGACCTTTAAATGTGAGCTCTTGGCAACCTGGTCTAGTGGCTGAGGCAGGGGGTAAGCTGTAGTCAAAAGTCCTCTTCCCTAACCCTGGCAACATAGACACTCATCTCTACCAAAAAAAATTTTTAAATTAGCCAGGCAAGGTGGTACACCTGTAGTGCAAGCTATTAATACTTGGGAGGCTGAGGCGGAAGGAGTCCTTGAGCCCAGGAGTTCAGGGCTGCAATGTACCATGATCACACCACTACACTCCAGCCTGGACATCAGAAGAAAAAAACTCCTTCCCTGTTCTGAGTTGCTCATAGCCATGGTCCCTAGAACATTAACTGGATAATGTGGAGAGTGTGTCTTGAGAGCCTTTGTTATAGGTGAGATACCCCCACGGAAGCTAGGGTATTTTGCAGGGTATTGTTGGAAGGTAGTCCTGCAAAGTTAGTTATCCTGCCTAGAAAAAAAGAAAAACCCGGCCGGGCGCAGTGGCTCACACCTGTAATCCCAACACTTTGGGAGGCCGAGGCGGGCGGATCACCTGAGGTCAGAAGTTCGAGACCAGCCTGACCAACATGGAGAAACTCCATCTCTACTAAAAATACACAAAAAATTAGCTGGGCGTGGTGGCGCATCCCTATGATCCCAGCTACTCGGGAGGCTGAGGCAGGAGAATCGCGTGAGCCTGGGAGGCGGAGGTTGTGGTGAGCCAAGATCGCACCATTGCACTCCAGCCTGGGCAACAAGAGTGAAACTCCTTTGCAAATAAATAAATAAGTAAATGAAAAACCTGTGTTTTACAGGTTCAACAAATCAACATCTATTTTTTAACTGCCAAGGCTATGAAACCATTTAGGTTTTATTGCTAGTTGGTTAGAGTGCCCTCCTGTGTCTCCACATTAAAATAACATGCGAGAATTTTCAAAGGACATCATGAAATTATAATTGTAGCATTAGAATGTATGATGTCAACTGTTCTGCTTCATCCTTCCCAAGAACAAGGAGATCTGAAGAGCCTCTCGCCTGGAGGAGTTCCAGCTGAGGAGTCTTGATGGAACTTCTGCTGTGTTGCAGTCAAAATTTCAAGGTCTCAGACAACACAAGGAAAGGGTTCCATCCTTATGTGGCAGCCCAGCATCTAAAGACCCTTCCAATGTTAAAGGAATAAATCTTCTGCTTATGATAAGACCCAACTCTCCACTAAAAAAAAGCTCAAAAGCAATTGCTCACCTTCCCAGCCCCAGCCTCTCTTGCAGCTAGAGTCCCCGATTCAAACTCAGTCAACTGAACTCTGAACTGGAAACTAATGAGGCTGGAAGCACATACCCACGCCACTCTGCCAATGGACAGCCAGCTCTGGTTCTCTGGGGCAGCAGTGGAGTCACCCCCAGACTAGTCTGCAGTGGGATTTGGGACATTGCTGTCTGCCTGAGTATATCCTCCAAGCCTGGTTCTTCTGCCCTGCAGATTCCAGTTGTTACCCAATATTCTCTTAATGAGGTCCTCTTTTACATACATTATCCAGAGACTGTTTATATTCTTACAACCAAGAAAATGACTTAATTGCCAGAAGCTTATTGAGCAGCTGCTAGGGAGGAAACACTGGCCTGGAGACCATGCCTGTGCTCTCACAGACACAATACAGAAAGTTACAAGTGCCAGAAGGCTGGCTGGTATGTAGGAGTTCCCAGATATCTGGACCAATGCTGTCCAACAGAAATATATAATACAAACCGCATGTCTTGGTCAGTTTGGGCTGCCAGAACAGTATACCATAGACTTAGTGGCTTTAAACAGAAATTTATTTTCTCATAGTTCTGGAGACTAGAAGTCCAAGATCAGGGTACCAGCATAGTCGGTTTCTGGTGAGGGCCCTCTTTCTGGCTTATAGATGGCTGCCTTCTCACTGTGTCCTCACATGGCAGAGAGAGAGAGAGGAGAGAGAGAGAGAGAGAGAGAGAGAGAGAGAAAGAACACGCTGATGTCTCTTCCAATAACAACTCTAATCCCATCATGGTGCCTCACCTCATAACCTCATCTAAACCAAATGATCTCCCACAGGCCCCATCTCCAAATACATCATAGGGAGTTAGGGCTTCAACATAGGAATTTGAGGGGGTCCCAATTCAGTCCATAGCGGCACATGTATAATTTTATGTTTCCTAGTGGTCCTATTATAAAGGTAAAAAGAAACACATGAAATTAAAATTAAGTGGCTGGGTGTGGTGGCTCACGCCTGTAATCCTGGCACTTTGGGAGGCCAAAGTGGAAGGATGGCTTGAGGCTAGGCATTTGAGACCAGCCAGGGCAACATAAGGAGACCTCATCTCTACCCAAATAAATAAGTAAAAACATTTTTAAAAAGAAATTAATATTAATAATATATTTTACTTAACCCAACATGTCCAAAATATTATTTCAACATGTTGCCAATATAAAAAAATTATTGAGATATTTTACATTTTTGTTTTGAAATCCAGTGTGTATTTTACACTTACAGCACATGTCAGTTCGGACTAGCCATATTCAAGGGCTCAATAGCCACATGTAGCTGGTTGCTACCATATTGGACAGCATAGATCTACAATGTTAAAACTAAAATAAACCTTAGAGATCATTTAGTACAACCATCTCACTTTACAGATAATGATCCCAAGACCCAGCCACATTCACTGACTTGCTCAAGGTCACACAGTTGGTAAAAAGTCAGGGATGGAACACAATGTTGGGTTACTAATTCCATTTCTTTCTTTTTTTTTTTTTTTTTGAGACAGCGTCTCACTCTGTCACTCAGACTGGAGTGCAGAGACAAAATTATGGCTCACTGCAGCCTCAAATTCCTGAGCTCAAGTGATCTTCCCACCTCAGCCTCCCAAGCTACTAGACTACAAGTGCCTGCCACCATGCCCAGCTATTTATTTATTTATTTATTTATTTATTTATTTATTGAGATGAAGTCTTGCTCTGTCCCCCAGGCTAGAGTACAGTGGTGTGATCTCAGCTCACTGCAACCTCCACCTCCAGGGTTCAAGCAAGTCTCCTGCCTCAGCCTCCCAAGTAGCTGGGATTACAGGTACGCACCACCACACCAAGCTAATTTTTGTATTTTTAGTAGAGGTGGGGTTTCACTGTGTTAGCCAGACTAGTGTTGAACTCCTGACCTCAGGTGATCCACCTGCCTCGGCCTCTCAAAGAGTTGGAATTACAGGCGTGAGCCACCATGCCTGACCTTATTTTCTTTTATGTTTTTGTAGAGACAGGGTCTCGCTATGTTGCTCAGGCTGGTCTCAAACTCCTGGGCAAACGATCCTCCTGACTGGGCCTCCCAAAGCACTGAGATTACAGGTGTAAGCCATGGCACCCAGCCTCTAATTCCAAGATCGGTGCTTTTCCCATGGCCTCTCCCCATTCAAATACAGAAAAGATGATGAAGGACTGAGAGGACCAGACTTAGTAGAAGACCTGAAAAAAAAAACATACCATTGCCTGAAAAAACTAATACAAACATGACCCCTTCAAATACTCACTGAATACCTACCACATTTCTGGCATTGTTCTAGGTGCTGTAGAAAACTCAAAAAGAAATGACAAATATAAATGAATGCACAGTTTACTCAACTCTGAATTCCAAGTGCAGAGAAGAGAAAAAGTATTAAGTGAAGCAAATTGATAGGACAGACCATTAGAGGCAGGTAAGACTTGGGAAGACCTTAAAGGAAGAAAAGCTCTTACTTTTTGGCTCTTGGCTAGCACTTGGATCCTCCTGAGTTATTTGCTGCCTACAAAGTTTAGAAAGGGAATGCCAAGCTTCCACCAGGCGGCATCTCTATGCTTCCCTGGTCTCATGGATAACATGTAGCCTTGGCTATCCCCTCAATAAGTTGAGAGGCCTGAAACCTCCAACTGCTTAAGGGTTTTTCAGGGGGTTTTCTGGGTGTTTGTTTTTTTTTTTTTTTGAGACAGCATCTCGTTCTGTCTCCCAGGCTGGAGTGCAGTGGTTTGACCATAGCTCACTGCAGCCTTGAACTTCTGAGCTCAAACATTCCTCCCACCTCAGCTTCCCAAGTAGCTGGAACCATAGGTGTATGCTGCCACACCCAGCTAATTTTTCTTTTTGGTTTTTTATAGAGACAGAGTCTCACTATGTTGTCCAGTCTGGTCTTGAACTCCTGGCCTCAAGCCATCCTCCTGCCTCAGCCTCCCCAGTATCTGAGACTACAAGCATAAGCCACCGTAACTGGCTCTTGCTTAAGTTTATATTAGCAGCAAGACTTCCTTTAAGTGTAGTCAAGTAGAGCAGCATTTCCCAATGTGTGGCCCTAGGACCTTGTTAGGTATTACATGGAATAAAAATGGGAACGCTGAGTTAAACAAGCAAGAACGGGCTCTTTCACTGCAGAACTTCTCAGGACTTTTAATATGTTTTATGCCATCAGTGGCTCAGCTTCAAGGTCAACATCCTTAACATGCTTACACCGCCTTCCATGGACTGGCCCAGGTGAGTGGCAGCACCTCACACTCTCGTCCCTCTGCCTTCCTGCCACACTGGCCCTGCCACCAGTTTCTCTAGATCCATGTCATTGAATGCAGCATCCACGGGCCCCCTGTGGCTACTGAGCACTTGAGACATGGCTAGTCTACATTGAGATGTGCTGTAAGCAGAAAATACCCACCAGATTTTGAAGACTTAAGACAAAAAATATGTAAATTCTTACATTAATAATTTTTATGTTGAATGCATATTGAAATAATACTTTGGACAGACTGAGTTAGGTAAAATATATTATTAAAATAATTTTCACTTTTTTTTGCTTTTTATAACGTGGTTGCTGGAGAAATTGTAATTACATATGTGGATCACAGTATATTTATATATAAATTTTTTCTAATTTTTTTTTTTTTGAGACGGAGTCTCGCTCTTGTTGCCCAGGCTGGAGTGCAATGGCATGATCTCAGCTCACTGCAACCTCCGCCTCCCGGGTTCAAGTGATTCTCCTTTCTCAGCCTCCCTAATAGCTGGGATTATAGGCGCATGCCACCATGCCCAGATAATTTTTATATTTTTAGTAGAGATGGGGTTTCATCATATTGGTCAGACTGGTCTTGAACTCCTGACCTCAGGTGATCCTCCCACCTCAGCCTCCCAAACTGCTGGGATTACAGGCGTGAGCCACCGTGCCTGGCCAATCACAGTATATTTTTATTGGACGTCCTAAAGCCTCAAGATCTGGCCGTTGGCCTCGTTAATGCTAATTCTGCAAGCTTCAGATAGCTGTTTGCATCCTTTCCTCAAAGCGACTTTCCCTCACCCCTTGCCTAGGTTTCCTATAAGCATATTCCCTTCTTTTGTAGAACTTACCTTAGTTCGTAATTATACATTATTTGTCTGGCTATTTGATTACTGTCCATCTCCCTATTAGGGTAAAAGATCCATGAAAGCAGCAATTGCATTTGCTTTCCTTTATTACCATTCTCCCAGAGCCCAGAATAAAGCCTGGCAGATAGAAAGAGCTTATTACATGATTACATAAATGAAGTGTGTTGTGAATCTTCAAGAAAGGGACAGAATTTTCAGCTTTTACTAAATTGATCCGACCACAGAACCCTTGCCCCACAAAGAGTTTAGTGAGTGTTACAGCAAACTAAACATGGCCTGAGAAGGATCTCTACTTCTTTTTTTGTTTGTTTTAGATGGAATCTCACTCTGTTGCCCAGGCTGGAGTGCAATGACGCGATCTTGGTTCACTGCAACCTCCATCTCCCAAGTTCAAGTGATTCTCCTGCCTCAGCCTCTCAAGTAGCTGGGATTACAGGTGTGCACCGCCATGCCCAGCTAATTTTTGTATTTTTAGTAGAGACAGGGTTTTACCATGTTGGTCAGGCTAATCTCGAACTCCTGACCTCGTGATCTGCTCACCTTGACCTCCCAAAGTGCCGGGATTACAGGCATGAGCCACCACACCCAGCCAGGACCCCTACTTTCTATATTTCTTACTTCTATATTTCAGTCCTTGTGGACAAACCATAACCTAACTTAGTAGGTAGACAAGATCGAATGTTGTGGGAAGTCAGGAACCCTGAACAGAGGGACCAGCTGAAGCCACGGCAGAAGAACATAAATTGTGAAGATTTCATGGACATTTATTACTTCCCCAAATTAATACTTTTATAATTTCTTATGCCTGTCTTTACTGCAATCTCTGAACATAAATTGTGAAGATTTCATGTACACTTAGCACTTCCCCAATCAATACCCTTGTGATTTCCTATGCCTGTCTTTATTTTAATCTCTTAATCCTGTAATCTTCGTAAGCTGAGGAGGATGTATGTCACCTCAGGACCCTGTGATGATTGCATTAACTGCACAAATTGTTTGTAGAGCATGTGTGTTTGAACAATATGAAATCTGGGCACCTTGAAAAAAGAACAGGATAACAGCAGTGTTCAGGGAACAAGAGAGATAACCTTCAACCCTGACTGCCGGTGAGCTGGGTGGAACAGAGCCATATTTCTCTTCTTTCAAAAGCAAATGGGAGAAATATCGCTTAATTCTTTTCCTCAGCAAGGAACATCCCTGAGAAAGAGAATGCGTCCCTGAGGGTCGGTCTCTGAAATGGCTGCTTTAGGGGTGGCTTCTTTTACGGTTGCAGCTGTAGGGATGAAATAAGCCCCAGTCTCCCTTAGCGCTCCCAGGCTTATTAGGACAAGGAAATTCCCACCTAATAAAATTTTGGTCAGACCGGTTCTCTGCTCTCAAACCCTGTCTCCTGATAAGATGTTATCAATGACAATGCCTGCCCGAAACTTCATTAGCAATTTTAATTTTGCCCTGGTCCTGTGGTCCTGTGATCTCGCCCTGCCTCCATTTACCTTGTGATATCTTATTACCTTGTGAAGCATGTGATCTCTGTGACCTACACCCTATTCGTACACTCCCTCCCCTTTTGAAAATCGCTAATAAAAACTCACTGGTTTTATGGCTCAGGGGGCATCATGGAACCTGCCAACATCTGATGTCTCCCCCAGACACCCAGCTTTAACATTTTTCTCTTTTGTACTCTTTCCCTTTATTTCTCAGACCGGCTGACACTTAGGGAAAATAAAAAAGAACCTACGTGACTATCGGGAGCAGGCTCCCACAATATTTGAAAACCTAATTTAGGAGTATGTGCCTATAACAATAGCTGAGTCTTGGCCAATCCCAGCAGCCACACTTCAACCACTCATAGGCTGCTGAGTGTTCAAACTGTTCAAATAAGGCAAACACCAACCTGTAACTAATCCAGTTGTTTCTGTACCTCCCTTCTGATTTCTGTACGTCACTTTCCTTTTTTTGCCTGTAAATTTGTTCTGACCATGAGGCATCCCTAGAGCCTCTCTGAATCTGCTGTGATTCTGAGGGCTGCCTGATTTCGCGAATCATGATTGCTCAATTAAACTCCTTTAAATTTAATTCAGCTGAAGTTTTTCTTTTAACATGAGGGATCAGAATTCTCCAGGAACACAGTCTGGGAAGCACCGGGTGACAGACTACAGAGCAAGGTGACTGAGCCTAAATTGAAATCTCTATTTGCAGTACGACCTCAGCTCTCCTGAATGCTGAAGGTAGCTTCTGATAGCTGTATTTCGGTTTATTTCTATCTTTTTTTTTTTTTTTTAGAGATGTGGTTTCACCATGTTGCCCAGGCTGATCTCGAACTCCTGAGCTCAAGGGATTCGCTCACCTCGACCCCCCAAAGTGTTGGAATTACTGGTGTGAGCCACCATGCCTTGCCTGGTTTCTTTAATTTTTATGCTTCCCCTCATTTGCAAATCATGAGCTCCAATTTCTTGAAGCCTTCCATTCAGAAGACATCTAGGGGAAACTGAATAATTTATTTTCATACAACTTCATGCATGCTACTCATGCATGGTTGTGTTTTTCTCCTGCATTTATATAGGCAAGAAGCAGGTGAAAAATTAGCTTTAACCAGCATTTGGGGGAGTTCAAAGGGATTTACTTGAGAGACCAGCCAGGCCTGGCATATTTCTTTTGGGAGAGGTTGTGCATGGTAATTGGCCACATTATGAGAGGCTCAGGGAACAGTTATCGGGTTCCACTCACCCCACCCTCCCCACTCCTATAAAAAACAAAATATACCAGAGTGGTTCAGCTCAGAGTGTTTTTTGTTGTTGTCGTTGTTTTTTGAGACAGAGTCTCACTCTGTCACCCATGCTGGAGTACAGTGGTGCGATCTTGGCTCACTGCAACCTCTGCCTCCTGGGTTCAAGCAATTCTCCCACCTCAGCCTCCCATGTAGCTGGGATTACAAGCATGTGCCACCACACCTGGCTAATTTTTGTATTGTAGAGACAGGGTTTTGCCATGTTGATCAGGCTAGTCTTGAACTCCTGACCTCAGGTGATCCGCCCAAAGTGCTGGCATTACAGGCATGAGCCACTGTGCCCAGTCCAGATTGTTATTTTAATTTACTGGATTAATATTCTTCTCCTACTTGTCCTATACACAAAAGCTAAATGACCACCTATGAGATCAGCCAAGAACTTCACAACTCTGAGCAAGCCTAGAGATCAGCAGCTCCTGTTGACAGTTGATGTGATACCTTGGTTCTTGTCTTCTTGGCTTAAAATAATTTAAACAGGGGACACACAGCAAAGGAGGTGTAACATAGAGTAATCTGTTGCAAAAGAAAAATAGTATTTTGAAAGTTAGGTGCAGAATAGACAGTTGATATGGTTTGGCCCTGTGTCCCCACCCAAATCTCACCTTGAATTACAATCTCCATAATCCCCATAATCCCCATGTGTCAAGGGCAGGACCAGGTGGAGGCAATTGAATCATGGGGGCAGTTTCCCCCACACTGTTCTCATGATAGTGAGTGTGTTCTCATGAAATCTGATGGTTTTATAAGCATCTGGCATTTCCTCTGCTGGCTGTCATTCTCTCTCCTGCCACCCTGTGAAGAGGTGCCTTCCGCCATGATTATAAGTTTTCTGAGGCCTCCCCAGCCATGTGGAACTGTGAGTCAATTAAATCTCTTCTCTTTATTAATTACCCAGTCTTGGGTATTTCTTCCTAGCAGCGTAAGAATGGACTAATACAACAGTGCACCCTGAGAGAGTTCAGGGGAGGCTGCACGTAAGGATGAGACAGCAAAAACTGGCACTAGGGGACTCCCTTTCTGGAAGTCTTACATGATTATTCATAAGGTGGGAAAAGGTGTTGCTAGTAAGCATGTCCTAGGAGGTCTTCTGGGTGCACATGTGCAGTAGCCATACATATTTGTTCATACGTCTCATGTCTCATTAGCATCTTAAATCTCCACCCAGGGGTGTGTCTTTTACTATTATAATGAGCAAAGGGTCAGTCTGAGGACAGGTAAAATCAAAATGGACATGCTTTCTAGAGGGGAAAGTCCCTACTGAAGATAGCTTTGCTTGAATGACCTCAGTTACAATGCAAATGCTGAGGATTATTGTATTGGCTGTATGGTCATTGCGGTTGCTGCCTCCCAAGAACATGGTCGCTTCCTTGACCACCTATCCTGCCTCACTCCCAGGGACAGGACTGTAGCCAGCACTGTACTGATGAAACACGGCTGAACAAACCATGCAGCCCACCTGCTGGCATGCTTCTCTCTCCCATCACTTCCACAGACTGGAAGGGAGCAAGGCAAATGGCAGACTGGAGGCCTAGATCACCAAGTGAAGTTCAATTTTAATTGCTCTGGGCATCTCCAAAGTTCTGTGGGGGAAAAAAACAAAACAAACAAAAGAAAAAAAACCTGATCCAAAATGGTCCATTTTCTAGCAAAATATGTGATAAAGAACTGATGCTAGAAGATATAGAATATCTAAATGGACCAATAAACACAAGAAAAAAAATTAATAAAAATGACTATCCTATCCAACCTCCCACCCCAAAATGTCAAGGGCATATGGTTCCTCAGGTACACTTTTTTAAACCACCAAACTCTTGATTAAATCCAATTTTTCACCTATTCTGGTACCTATACCACCAGAGCAGAACAAACTAGAAAAAAGCACTGCTAAATTCAATTAATGACCACTAACCTCAACAGGTCTTTTAATTCTGCCTAGCAATAAAATTCTATTTCCCTGGACCATGTACCCCATCTACTCCTCCTTCTAGACAACCCTCTCACATCTTCTTTCTCCTCGAACCTCCATCATCTCTCCCATCCTCACCCTCAGCTGATGACCTGAGTTCATATTGTACTAGAAAAATAAAACAACCAGAAGAGAACATCCATGAGCCCCCTCCTCTATCACACCCATCCAACTATTTGTATCTGTACCATGTCCTGAGCCTCCCTTCCTGTTCACACTGTCTGTACTTCTATCTAAACTCACACCCCCTCCATTTACACACCAGATTCCATCCCTTCTCACTTACACAAGGCCACCACTCCAACTATTTTTTGCTGTCTACTGGATCATTCCCATCAGCATGCAAGTCAGTTATAATTTCTCCCTCTTTAAAAAAATGCAATTAACTTCCCTCTCTAGACTTTTCTGCTTCCCTTTACAGTAAAATTCCTTTAAAGAGTCCTCTGTGCTCCCTGGTTCCAATTCTTCCCTATTACCTCCTATTAGGCTCCAGCCAGCTTCTCCCCCAACCCCAACCACTCTCATCAAGGTCCCCTGTGGCCTCCACTGAGCCACAATCCTCTGCTCTCACCCCCCTCTCATGAACCACTCCCTCCTCCATGAAGCCCCTTCTGGTTTCCCTCCTCTCTCCCTGGTCCCTCATCTCAGTCTCCTGTGTTCACAGACTCCTTGTTGCTGAAGAGCCTGGGGTTCAGTCCATGGACCTCTTCATTTTTGTTTACTAAAACCACTCCTTTGATAATCTCACCTACTCTCATGCTTTCAAAGCCATCTTTATGTCGTTCTCAAATCTTATTTCCAGCCTGAACCTCCTCCCTGAACCCCACACTTGCCTATTCCCTTACATACATGAAAAGCATCTCAAATGCATCATGTCCGAAACTGAATCACTGATCATCCCCAGAAATCTACCCCTGCCTCTGTCTTCCCAATCTCAATAAATGGCAAACAAATCCTTCCAGTCACTCCAGCCAAAAACTGGAGTCAAATTTGACTTCTCCCATTTTGTCTTATCCTACATCCAATAGCCAACAAATCCCAGTGGATCCACCTTCAAGATTCGATGGGAGTCTGACCACCTCTGAACACCTCCATTGCTCCCACACTGGTCCAACCACCCTGAGCTGTCACCTGAAATAAGCCACCAGAAATACTCTCCAGTGACTCCTCCATTCATTGTAAAGATGACTCTTTACTCTCAGGGTCCCCTCTACCTCTGATGTGAATTCACACTTCTTTCCCCCTGGCTTAGCCCTCCTCATTCTGATCTTTTTATTGTTCTTTGAACACCCCGGGCAGTTCCCATCTCAGGGCTTTAGGACTGCCATTCCCTCTATTGATCTCTCAGTACATACACAGCTCATTCCCTCACCTCCTTCAGGTCTTTGCCCAAATGTCACTGTCTCTGTGAGGCTTCCCTGGCCTCCCCTTTTTTTTTTTTTTTTTTTTTTTTTTTTTTTTGTGAGACCGAGTCTTGCTCTGTTGCCCAGGATGGAGTACAATGGTGCAATCTCTGCTCACTGCAACCTCCGCCTCCTGGGCTCGAGCAGTTCTCCTGCTTTAGCTTCCTGAGTAGCTGGGATTACAGGTACCCACCACCATGCTTGGCTAATTTTTAGTAGAGATGGGGTTTCACCATGCTGGCCAGGCTGGTTTCAAACTCCTGACCGTAAATGATCTGCCTGCCTTGGCCTCCCAAAGTGCTGGGATTACAGGCATGAGTCACCATGTCTGGCCTCCCCATTTAAAATGGCAACCCCTGCCCTGCCTCCTAGCACCTCTGTCTCCTTCCTCTGCTTTATTTTCTCTAGAACACTTACCACCACCTGACATATTATATATCTTAACTATTTCTTTGTTTACAGTCTGCCTTCCCCTGCTAAGATGAAAGGCATTCTTGTCTATTTTGATCATTGCTGTATTTCCAGTGCCAGTACTTAATAAATACTTGTTGAATAAATGCATGATAAATTCTGAAGCTATTTAAACTTTTTCAATTGTACTGAGCAGGGCTCAGTACAAGGAAATCTACACACATAGTTTACCACATTTACACATCAAAGGTGGATCAAAAATTTTTTCAATAGGCATTTGAAAAACATTAGAAATGAAATACTTTAATAACAAGGGTGATTATATACTTAATATACAAATGTCTCTACTTTTTTAACTCAGTGGTAAGAATTTACTTTTTCAATCTCATAAAGAAGGGCTCTCTAAGCAAGATATAAACACAGAAAATAAAAGGGAAACATAATAAACTTGGCTATACACATTTTTTTTTTTGAAACAGTCTTGTTCTGTCACCCAGGCTAGAGTGCAGTGGTGCAACCTCAGCTCACTGCAACCTCCACCTCCCAGGTTCAAGCAATTCTCATGCCTCAGTCTGAGTCATGTGCCACCCGCCCCAACCCACCCCACCCCACCCCCAGCTAATTGTTCTATTTTTAGTAGAGACAGGGTTTCACCATGTTGGCCAAATTTGTTTTTAACTCTGATGAAAATGAGTTAAACAAAGTCAAAGATAATTTAAAACTAAGTCACAAAATATTTGCAACATATAAGAACTTGTTTTCTTAGTTTTCAAAAAATTTTCACACTATTTTTTTAAAAGACAAAAATCCCGTATGTCACTTTGATGCAAATTAGAAAAAGGACCCCCTTCCTCATCATACTTTACCTCCACTTTTTGGAAAAACTATCACAATGTGCTAATTTTATTAAAGCAAGACACTTCACTGGCATCTGCCAGAAAAATGGCATAATAAATATTAAAATCTATGATTTCTATGATGTGAATAGCATCTCCTAGGTTGGACAGAACTGAACAACTGTTAACATGTATATTCTAAATTTAGAGCATAGTAAACAGGATTTTTCACTTATATGAACATCCACCAGGATTAAAACATTGTGTTGGATGCAGGTAAATTCTTTTTTTTTTTTTTTTTAGGATGATAAACATTCTTTACCACTCCCCCAATTCCGTAATACCTGCAATCATTAAAACAATCAAAAATGCTCCCCAACCTTTCCAAAGTGTCCCCAGGAGATGGCATCCCCCCTTTGAGAATCAGAGGTCTAGAAGTCGGCAGGGGAGGCGGGTATTTTAACTCTTAATTTTATGCTTTTTGATGTGGTTTGGATGTTTATCCCCTCCAAATCTCATGTTGAAATGTAATCCCCAATGTTGGAGGTGGTGCCTGGTGGGAGGTATTGGATGATGGGGGCAGATCCCTCATGAATGGCTGGGTGCTGTCCTCGCCAAAATGAATGAGTTCTCTGGAGATCTGGTTGTTTAAAAGTGTGTGGCACCTCCCCCTCTCTCTTGCTCCTACTCTGGCCTAATCCCTATTCGCCTTCCACCATGAGTGAAAGCTTCCTGAGTCCTCCCCAGAAGCTGATGTGGCACCACACTTCTTGTACAGCCTGCAGAACCATGAGCCAATTAAACCTCTTTTCTTAATAAATTACCCAGTCTCGGGTATTCCTTTAAAGCAACACAAAAAAGGCCTAATATACTTTTCTGTACAGCTTGAATTTCACCATGTGCATACATAAAAAATGAATAACTAAAATATAAAAACATAAATAAATGAAATTAGTACTCTAAGGAGGAGATCAATATCAGGGATGGAGGGGTGATTCCAATAAAAGACACATAATATTTATGCCGGTATATAATGGTAACAGAGGTCTGAAGTCTATCTCAGCAGTAACTAGTTGAAAAGCCTGGTCCAGAAAGCCAAAGGCTTGCACCTCATGGTATCTTGCACCTCTAAATAGATGGATGGCCAGGAGTACAGCAGTGCTTAGACCCATTCAGATGGGAGAGCACCTACAGGTCATGATACTTTCTGCTGAAGTGCATTAAATGTGAAATACTTCATTTTATCACATAAAAATGATCTCACAAACACCATTCATTTAGCTAATGTGCCTTGCTTTAAAATGTCAGCTTAATTAAATTTGCATGCTTTCAAAGATAATGGAAAACATGATTTTAAAATACAGAAGAAAAACCAGCTGTCTAAGCGTTATTGGCAACTCTTGAGTCTTTTCATTACAACTCCTCTGTTACTTGTTTATGTGTTCTTTTATCTTTTGAAGCATGAAAGTTGTAGAAAGTACAAAAGCTTTTCTAAAAAGTAAGGTTTAATTTTCCACAACCCTGGCCAGGCAAAGCGGCTCATGCCCTGTAATCCAGCATATTTGGAGGCCGTGGTGGGAGGATCACTTGCAGCCAGGAGCTCAAGACTAGCCTGGACAATAAAGCGAGGCCCCATTTCTACAAAAAAAAATTTTAAGTTAGCCAGGCGTGGGAGTTCAAGGCTACAGTGAACTCCTAGAATTAATAGAAAGCTATGGCCACACCGCTGTACTCCAGCATGGGCAACAGAGCGAGACTCTGCCTAAAAACATAGAAAATCAAAATAATTTTACGTAAGCCTAAAGTAAGTTCAGAATAAGTTTTTTAACATGATAACATTGGCCAGGCATGGTGGCTTATGCCTGTAATCCCAGCAATTTGGGAGGCCAAAGTGGGCAGATCACTTGAGGTCAGGAGTTCGAGACAAGCCTGGCCAACGTGGTGAAACCCCGCCTCTACTAAAAATACAAAAATTAGCCCGGTGTGGTAGTGAGTGCCTGTAATCTCAGCTATTCAGGAGGCTGAGGCAGGAGAATCGCTTGAACCCAGGAAGCAGAGGTTGCAGTGAGCCGAGATCATGCCACTGCACTCCATCCTGGGTGACAGAGCGAGACCTTTTCTAAAAAATTAATTAATTAATTAAAATAAAAGGATAAGATTCAAGTAAGTTCCGTAGTTTAGTTAGTAGTATTGTGCAAATATTGAGCTCCTAGTTCTGCTCATTTTGCAGTGATTATGTAAAATGTTAACATTAGGGGAAGCTTGTGAGGGATATACAGGGCTCATTATACAATTTTTGCAACTTTTTTGTAAGGCAAAAATTAGTTCAAAATTAAAAATTAAGAACATTATGGGAGAAAACTTGCAGTTGAAAATCATACTTACATTACATTAAGTTTTTTTGCAAATTGGGAAAAGGCAGTCATTCCATTGTAGTTAAGAATGTTTTATTCCTGCTTGAAATGTGCCAGAGGGAGTACAGTTTGGAAAACAAGGTCTGGGGCTCAGAAGAGACCTGAGACCCCAGCCTGGCTCTGCTGCTAACTCAATCAATGCAACATCTTAGTTTCCTCATTTGCAAAATGAAGGGATAAGAACAAATGGGTTCTTTACCAAGAAGCCCACACATTTGTGTGTTGCAAAAGCTCCTCAAGTGATTTGAACCCACACCCTTGGTAAGAACCGCAGGGGGAGGTGCTCTTTAAAGTCTTTTTCCAATCCCTTTGTCATGTCCTTTTGGCAATGTCCTATTTATTCTTAAAAACCTAAGTCAGAAATCACCTCCTCTATGAAGTCCTCCTGCCAAGAAAAGACCAACTGGAATTCTGGAGACGCTGTTCCCAGGCGAAGTAAATTTATATTATAAATCTGGTGGAGCTGCCTGGCTCAAGGTTATACTGCAGTGGGCATAGCAGTGCATGATTCAAATGCCCCTCTCAAGTCCAATGCACTCATTTTCTCAGTTGATAGAGTGTTGGCAGCTGAGGATTCAGAGCTGAATCCCTCCCTAGGAGTTACTCTTGGCTTGAGGGAACAAACCACCTACACATAAATCTCTTCATCAAAATCCATTTTCAGGGCCAGGCGCAGTGACTCATGCCTGTAATCCCAGCACTTTGGGAGGCCAAGGCAGGTGAATCACCTGAGGTCAGGAGCTCGAGACCAGCCTGGCCAACATGGCAAAATTCCGTCTCTACTGAAAATACAAAAATTAGCTGGATGTGGTGGCGCTCACCAGCTACTCGGGAGGCTGAGGTAGGAGGATTGCTTGAACCCAGGAGGCAAAGGTTAGTGAGCTGAGATCATGCCACTGCACTCCAGCCTGGGCAGAGTGAGACTTCAACTCAAAAAAAAAAAAAAAATTCATTTTCTGGAGAATCCACCTTAAGACTATTACAACTACCAATACCCTGCACTGTGCAAAGCCACATATGTGCAGGAAAATTTATTATAGCATGTTTGCAACAGCAAAACATTGTAAACGTTGTCCATCAGCAGGGAGCCATAAATCATGGCACATCACACAACAGAATAATATCCAGCTGCAAAAAAGAATGAGAAAGCACCTTATGTCATGACATGACACAGACTTCAATGTGTAAAGTGGCTGGACACAGTGGCTCACACCTGTAATCCTAGCAACTAGGAAGACTGAGGAGGGAGGATAACTTGAGGCCAGGAATTGGAGACCAGCCTGAGCAACATAGCAAGACCCCATCTCCAAAAAAAAATAAATAAATAAAAATAAAAAATTAAAGTGAAAAAGCAAGGTATAGAGGAGTGTAATATGCTACCTTTTTTTTTTAATGAGAAGCTTTGACAAATAGAAGTAGCTAGTTTTAAAAATGAGGAGAAGGCCGGGCGCAGTGGTTCACACCTGTAATCCCCCCACTTTGGGGGGCCGAGTGGGGCGGATTACCCGAGGTCAGGAGTTTGAGACCAGCCTGGCCAACATGGTGAAACCCCATCTCTACTAAAAATACAAAAAATTAGTTGAGCGCGGTGATTCACACCTGTAGAACCAGCTACTTGGGAGGCTGAGGCATGAGAATTGCTTGAACCCAGGAGGCAGAGGTTGCAGTAAGCCAAGACCGAGCCACCATACACTAGCCTGGGTGATGGAGTGAGACTCTGTCTCTCAAAAAAAAAAAAAAAAAAGAATTAGGAGAATATATATAGTCGTCCCTCAGCATATGTGAGAAATTGGGTCCAGACCCCCTGTGTATACCAAAATCCACACATACTCAAGTCCCACAGTCAGCCCTGCAGAACCCATAAATATGAAAAGCAGCCCTCTGTATACAGAGGTTTCCTATCCTGTGAGTACTGTATTTTCCATTTGCATCTGGTTGAAAAAATATTTATGTATAAGTGGGCCCTCCAGTTCAAACCCATATTATTTTTTTGTTTGTTTTTGAGACAGAGTCTCGCTCTGTCACCAGGCTGGAGTGCAGTGGTGCAATCTCTCCTCATTGCAACCTCCATATCCCAGGTTCAAGCAACTCTCCTGCCTCAGCATCCCGAGTAGCTGGGACTACAGGCGTGACACCATGCCCAGCTAATTTTTGTATTTTTAGTAGAGATGGGGTTTCACCATGTTGGCCAGGATGGTCTTGATCTCTTGACCTCGTGATCCACCCTCCTCAGCCTCCCAAAGTGCGGGGATTACAGGCGTGAGCCACCATGCCCGGCCTCAAACCTATATTGTTTAAGGATCAACTGTATACATGTTTATATTCATATTTCTAGGAATGTTTAGAGGAAACTAGGAACATTTGTTGCCTCTTGGGAGGGCATTTTGGATGGCTGGGGGAAGAGCTGAAAAGAGAATTTCTTTTCATTATAGAGCTTTTTGTACCTTTTAAGTTTTGAACCACGAGTACTTTCGTCAAAACTAAAGTGATTGAAGAAAGCAAAATAGAATAAATGTTGAGGACTGAAGAGAGACCTTTGGGCTTGGAGAACAGGAGCCATGGATGGTCCTCAGGAAAGTTTCAACAGAGTTATAGAAATAGAGCATTTTGGCCAGGTACAGTGGCTCACACCTGTAATCCCTGAATTCTGGGAGGCCGAGGCAGGTGGATTGCTTGAGCCCAAGAGTTTGAGACCAGCCAGTTCAATGATGCAAAACCCCGTCTCTACAAAAAATACAAAAATTAGCCAGGCATGGTGGTGTGCATGCCTGTGGTCCCAGCTACTTGGGAGGCTAAGGTGGGAGGATCACTTGAGTCCAGGAGTTCGAGGCTGCAGTAAGCCATGATCATGCTACTGCACTCCAGCCTGGGAAACAGAAAAAGACCTTGTCTCAAAAAATAATAAATAATTTTTTAAAAAACGTAAAGAAAAAAGAGAAATAGAGCTCCTCCTGGGGCAGAGTGTGTGGGGAACAGGAGGAGAGGAAGTGAGAGGATACACTCAGGTGACTCTTCCAAGATGTCTGGGAGAGCAAGGGAGGTTTCCTCTCTGTGTCCCTGGCCCCATCTTCACAGGTGGACACCTGAGCCAAACACAGCTACTTCCTGGGCTGGCCAGCAGCCTGTGAGGTAACAAGCACTCTAAACTCCGCCCTTTCAGGAACAAACTTGGCTAATCAAGTTTCTCTCTATTCAGCCTTTAAACTGGGGAATATGTAAAGCATCAAGGAAGAGCTAAGAGTGAAGCCAAAGAGATGCACAGAGATGGGCAGTTGGATGGCTGGGCGCGGTGGCTCATGCCTGTAATCCCAGCACTTTGGGAGGCCAAGGCGGTCAGATCACCTGAGGTCAGAAGTTTGAGACCAGCCTGACCAACATGGAGAAACCCTGTCTCTACTAAAAATACAAAATTAGCCAACTGTGGAGGCACAGCTTGTAATCCCAGCTACTCGGGAGGCTGAGGCAGGAGAATCACTTGAACCTGGGAGGCAGAGTTTGCAGTGAGCCAAGATCGCGCCATTGCACTCCAATTCCATCTCAAAAAAAAGAAAAAAGAGAGAGAGAGGCAGTTGGATTGAGGGACCCTGTTAGGCCATGCAGGGTCAAAACCACCAGTGAGTAAAGCAAGCGGAGATGTAAAGACACAGGGAGCAGGAGGTGTGAACAATCCTGAGAGAATAAAAGCACCAAAAATAGAGAAAATAGGCCGGGCACAGTGGCTCACGCCTGTAACTGCAGCACTTTGGGAGGCCAAGGAAGGTGGATCATCTGAGGTCAGGAGTTTGAGACCAGCCTGACCAGCATGGTGAAACCCTGTCTCTACTAAAAATACAAAAATTAGCCAGACTTGGTGGCAGGCGCCTGTAACCAGCTACTTGGGTGGCTGAGAGAGGAGAATCGCTTGAACCCAGGAGGCAGAGGTTGCAGTGAGCCGAGATCACACCACTGCCCTCCAGCCTGAGCAACAAGAGTGAAACTCCATCTCAAAAAAGAAAAAAATAGAGAAAATAGAGGAGGTAGCTACACAACCAACATGACTCCACATGGCTCGGGCCAAGATCCATGGGCGTCTGTGACTGAGATTGCCAGGCCTGCTTTAGACATGAGGAGGTCTCAAAGTGTGGGGCCTGGACCAGCAGCATCAGTATCACCTGCAAGCTTATTAGAAATGCACATTCTCTGGCCTCATTTCGGTCCTACTGAATCAAAAACCCTGGAGGTGAGAGGCCCTGAAATCTGGGCTTTCGCCAGCCCTCCAGGTGATTCTGGTGCACTTTAGTTTGCAATCCACTATCTTATACCCAGTCTCCACAAGGGCCAGCTGTAACAGGACCCCTATGCGTGGATCCCTGGCTGTGTGTCTTTACAACAAATGCCACTGCTAAAGCTAGCAAAAGCTCTCTAGCATAAGATCTCGTTTCCTTCACCAAAAGAGCCTAACACAGCCATGCCCTGCTAGTCAAGCTAACTCCTATTCTTACTCTGAGTCACCTCCTCCAAGAAGCCTTCCCTGAAGATCTATCCCAGTTTAAGTTAGACAACACTCCTCCGTGCTCCTGCAGCCATCCTTGTTGTGCGGAACCCCTATCAACACCAATGGGGATGGCATCAGGTTCAAGAGGCCAAAGAAGAGACCCAAAGCCAGCCAATGAGACATGAGGTTTTTACTGGGTACTTACATATGGGGGAGAATGTCCAGGGCAGGGGACCGAGCAGGAGAACTGCAACCACTTGCAAAAGGCACACAGTTTCAATGGCATTTTCACATAGTATCCTCCCTCTGACGACCTCCACCTGGCAACCTTCATTTAACCCCAAACAGAGGGCCTGGGTCCCCCGTACAGCCTAAATTCCATGGGATGGGGATAGGGTCGGGGGCTCAGAGGTTCTTCATAGACAAGGAATGAATCTCCGGGTAAGCCATGCCTGGATTCCTTAGCTCAGAACTCCCAACCGCATGCAGGGGCGTCCGCCATGGAAGGTCCTTCTCAGGGTATGCTTAAGTTATGCTATCAGGTGAGTTTACCATATACTGCACCCACCCCCAACCCCCTGCAACTTCTAGCATAACACTATCACCCTGTCCTGTCAGCAAGGATTTATTAGTGCACCTCTCACTAGAGTGGGACTATGTCTTCTCTGTATCTCCAGCACTGGGTACTCAATTAATACTAGCTATTAATAACTATTATTATTAAGCAGTCTATACATAGAAGAGGGAGGAGAGAATGCTTATTATTTTACATAAACCATAGCAGTTTCTTAAATGTCTAACTGCTATCTGGTGAGTTTGCCCAGCAGGACAAGCCTGCTGAGCCAAGTGATAATTATTAGTAATCCTAAGTTGAATTAAACCCATTGTTTCTGTGCAGGGAATTGCAGGTGGTTAGCAGATGATCCCTGGGCAGAAGCAACAGAAGAATGCCAGGTGGCATGCCCAGTGGACTGGGCCTATGTTCGGTGTGTATATAAAAGGTCTCTTCCCTCAAGGATCCTGCCTACCAGGGAGGCAGACACATATCAGATCACTATAACACAAATGTTAAGTTCTACAGGGATGGTACGATAATGAGATAAAGGGAGAGAGGGGCGGGGTGCAGTGGCTCGCACCAGTAATCCCAGCACCTTAGGAGGCTGCAGTGAGTGGATTGCTTGAGCCTAGGAATTCAAGACCAGCATGGGCAACATGGCAAAACCCCATTTCTACAAAAAATACAAAAATTAGCCAGGAGTGGTGATGTGCACCTGTAGTCCCAGCTACTCAGGAGGCTGAGGTAGGAGGATCACTTGAGCCTAGGAAATGGAGGATGCAGTGAGCCGAGATTGCACCAGTGCACTCCAGCCTGGGTGACAGAGAGAGTTCCTGTCTTAATGATGATAATAATAATAATGGGAGAAGGAGAGGGAGAAAATAAGAGAGTACTGAATATAGACACATAGCATATACATGTGAGTCAAAACCATGAGTGGATAAAGGGAAAATATGCATAGCTGCTACTATCTTCATTTCTTTTCTTTTTTTTCTTTTCTTTTTTGAGATGGAGTTTTGCTCTTGTTGCCCAGGCGCGATCTTGGCTCACTCCAATCTCCACGTTCCAGGATCAAGTGATTCTCCTGCTTCAGCCTCCCAAGTAGCTGGGATTGCAGGCATGCGCCACCAGGCCCAGCTAATTTTGTATTTTTTAGTAGAGATGGGGTTTTTCCATGTTGGTCAGGCTGGTTTCGAACTCCTGACCTCAGGTGATCCACACGTGCCTCAGCCTCCTAAAGTGCTGGGATTACAGGTGTAAGCCAGCGTGACCGGCCTACTATCCTCATTTCTATGCTAGTCACAAGGCTGCAGTTGATAAGCCTTTCTTCTTCCACTAGTCATTCCATGTTCCATTTCCTCAGCCAGTACCTCAGCTGCTCAAGTTCTGTGCTTGGGGGGTGACTCAAACCTTCACTCCCAAAGGGGCTGAATCCTTGGTAGGCCTACATTTTTTACTTGCTATATTTTTACATTTAAATTCTCTTATTGGGTATGGTAGTACTAAGAGGTGTTCCAGAGACTGCTCTGGGTTCCAGACATGGCCCTCCTTGCCTCTATTGTGTGACAGCCACCAAATTCCCCCTGGTAATTGGAATCAATCACTCCAGCCAGTAGTTCACGGCCAAGTGGCCATCTTATCTCCAAATCAATGGAAGCATCACGGTGTCTCCTAGTGGAAGAATTCCCAAGACCTCCAAACCAACAGAGCCCAAAGTTGC
The DNA here is from genome assembly GCF_000001405.40 of Homo sapiens. Lineage (NCBI taxonomy): Eukaryota > Metazoa > Chordata > Mammalia > Primates > Hominidae > Homo > Homo sapiens. The sequence goes on along the minus strand of NC_000018.10, from coordinate 49,538,455 downwards.
AGGAATAGCAGGCAAAAATTCTGTGAATGGGTTAAGTGTGTAAAAAGAAACATCTAAGATACAATAAAATTTTAAAGACTTTGAGTAAGAAGCAATTTACAAATTGGGGAACACCAGGCCAAAAGAGGTTTAGTATTCCAATGACAAATCATCAGGGGCAAGTATTTTGGGGGTAAATGTGGAAGAAAAATTTAAAAATTATTTGGTTGCCAGTAATCAAATTGCATTTTTTATTGGAAAGTCCCTAGTCACATTAATTGGCTGCTTATGATTGGCTGAGCTTAAGTTTTCTAACATAAGCATTCACCAAAAATGACAAAAGTTAAGTTTCGCTTACATTCATAGTTATGACCCAAGTCAAATTTTGCCTGTGTTTGCAGTTTAAGCAAGGTTAAGACTATTTTAAGGCCTAGCTGGTTTTGTTTGCTCAGGAATTTTTTAGGCTCGATCTCCATTTTAATTTTGCTTTAACAATTCCCCGCTTTTGTTCATCCAAACAGCAAGCTGAGAACGTGACCAAATAGCACAGTGTTACTCTTGGCTGTCACTACTGACATAGATAGAAGAAAAATTAGGTAGATGCTGTTATCATCAGTAGATACGCTGGGCTTTGGAGACGTATAGCTGCTGCTAGGAATTACAGAGTCAGTGTTTATTAGTTTACTCAAGTTGTCTGAGCCTGGTGGCAATTATTTGATGTATGAGTGGCTGCTGGAAAGCATTGAATACCCTCAGGAAGCATATGACACACCAGGGAGGTAAATACAATAACTGTAAGGAGAATGGTGGCCGTGGATTGAAAGATTCCTCTGAGCAAAGATTCCTGGGAAGCAAGATTTAACCAGCTGAGTCAATGCAGGAGGCAGTGCTCATCTGACGGAAAACTCCTGTTATTCTTAAAGACCTTTTAAATTTTGGTCAACAACGCCTGACTTATTAACATCAAAACAACACTTTTCACCAATTAGGTCACAAGCTCCTCCTTGTTGAGCAATCGAAGTGTTCAGAACTCTTCTAGTTTGGAGTACTACTGAGGCCAAATAATTCATCTCAGATTGCACTGCTTAGAGAGAATCCAAAATATCAGCAAAGCTTTTTTCAGGAGTTGCTGAAATATTAATAAGTCATTTTTCCAATTCAGAGATTCCCAGCTGAGGAGAAAGTACTCTTACAAAGGAATGAAGGCAAAACTCTTTTATATGATTGGGTTTGGGAGATGGGGGTGGGTGTCCTTTTATGAGGGGTCACTTCATGTACAAGTGGCCCTAAATTAAGGATTTCACTAGCATATAGGAGTCTCATTATACCCTCTTCTCTTTTGGAATTTGGGAAAAACTGACCAGCATTTAATATCAACAGACCTTAAGTCTGATAAGAAACACTACTCTCTCTGAAGCCTGCTACCTGGAGGCTTCATCTGCATAACAAAACTCTGGTCTCCACAACCCCTTATCATAACCCACATATTCCTTTCTATTAATAACAATTCTTACAACAAATTGCCAATAAGAAAATGTTTAAATCTACCTGTGATCTGGAAGCCCCTACTTCGAGTTGTCCCGCATTTCCGGATTGAATCAATGTATATCTTACATGTATTTGATTGATGTCTCATGTCTCCCTAAAATGTATAAAACTAGGCTGTGCCCCAACCACCTTGGTCACATGTTCTCGGGATCTCCTAAGGGCTGTGTCACTGGCCATTGATCATTCATATTTAGCTCAGAATAAATCTCTTCAAATATTTTAGAGCTTGACTTTTTTGTCAACCATTTTAAGACCAGAATGTTTAACAAGTGAGATTCTCAATCTAGCCCTGTAATCACGAAGCAACTAATCTTTTTTTGGCTTACACATGTAAGCAAAAAATTTATTTTGCCAAGGTTAATGACATACCCAGGAGGCAGGTGTCTGTGCCTTTCTTCAAAGATAATTTTGAGGGCTTTAATATTTAAAGGGGAAAAACAGGCTGGAGAGGAAAGAGGGAGGGTATGGTAATCCACGTGTTGCAAGAGAAAAGGAACAGGTAAGGGAATAGTCAATTATGTATTCATCTGCTCAGTAAATCGTGAGATAAGATGAATATAGAGGAGCTACCTGTTGAGATATTCAACATTTTATCTGTAGCTATCTACTTAGAAACAAAAGGAAAGGCAGTTTCTTACGTACTCAGCTTTCAGCTTGATTTTTTTTCCTTTTGTCACAGTGAATTGGGGTCCCAAGTTTTTATTTTCCTTTTATATTCCTCCTCTGTTTTCTTTTGAAAATCTTTTGGAGAAAACATTTTAGAAGAAAATGAGTCACTGGTCTTGGATTTTGCCTGATCTTTCATGGCTAAGAGAGTTTATTCATAGACAAACAGGTCCTATGTTGTTGGGAATGCTCATTTGGAACAGGTTGTGAACTCTCACATCCTATGAAGAAAAAATAGGGGAAGGAAAAGAGAAAACAGAGGGGAAAAAGGAGGCAATAACCAAAAAAAAAAAAAGGAAGAAAAATCCCGGAAAACTGATACAGGCCATATTACTCTGAAGTCCACACATCGGTAGGCAGATATGAAAATGGTTTATGTATATAAATAGGTTGCTGTCATTTTCTTCCAAAGTTTAATTTGTCTAGCTTCAGTATTTCAAATCAGGAAAAATGGGGAGCAGGAAAAACAAAGAAAGAAAAAAATTGAAAACATTATTTTAAGACTTGTGGACAGGAAACATTTCTGGATTCAGTCCAAATTGTAGAAAATAATAAAAATTGGAAAACACTGCACAAGGCTAGAATCTAATAACATGTGTACTATACATTATTTTGAAACATAATTTTTCTCTCTCCAATTTCCCAATTTTATTAAAGACAAAATCATAGTAGGACCAGTTTATTTGTAAAATAAGTTTTAGCCTTATTATACTTGGCTTGATTATTTGCATAAAGTGCAGCAAGAATAATCATTTGCCATGTAGACTCTATTTTTTTTTTAAATTGACTTTGCTGGAAGCTTTTCCTCAAGGCATCTGAGATTAGACCTTTTTAAAAACCTCAAGCTCAGCCTGGGTGACTTCCTCTTTTCAATATCCCAAGAAAACTTGGGATTCCTGGGCCTGTCAGAAACCAACATTCTTTACTTGTCACAGGTCAGAACCCTATGAAGGACAAGGTATGGGGCCAGTTTTTCTGAAGGGCTTTAATTGGCTCTATAGGTCAACCTCATTTCCTCAAGGCAATCTGAAAATATGCCATTCCAGTCAAAGACTTGGGAAAATAACCAGTGTCTCCAGGTATGGCCTGTAATAAAAGAAAGCAGGTTCCTATGGAACTTATACAAATAAGTATATTGCCATAAATTAAGAACACTCACAAATAGTTTCTGAATTTCAGAGAAATTAGGTAGAGAGAAATAAATTATGTTGAATTTTGCTTGCTAGAATACACTTTACTCAACGTTAAAAACTGTAAATAACTTAAAAGAAGAAAAAGTTTTCTTCACTCTGAAAAACAAAACAAAAAGAATCAGCAAATGTGTTAAACAAAAAGTAATGAAAGATTATTTCAGGCTTCTGTTAGTTTAATCCATGCAATTAACTTCTGTTCTTCCAATATTGGATTGACAATCCTCACGAATACATCAGCTCTCCATGAGAGTCCTGGAAGTTTTTCTCTCTATTCCAATGGCACAATCTCTAAAATTATCAGAGTACTCAGAGTTCTATAGTTGATTATAAGCCACTCTATAAAAGGATCAAAGTAAACAACAATTGTGGATGACAAAGTCTTAGAACAGCCATGGTTAAAGACACAAATGACAAGGAAATTTGGTTACTTATGTGGCATGCAACAATTTTAAATAATAATCATAATACTACCATAATGTATACTAATACATATCAGAATTATAGGAATTTCATATAGGAATTTCATATACCTTCATTTGGAAGGCATACTAATAATACATTTATATAAATATAATCCAAAGAAGGTTAAACACCATTTCATATTTAATAATGTTTTCTGTATGCTTTTGTTATACCAAATAAGCTGAAAATGTCTCTTTTGGACTTCAGAGGACCTAAATTCAAAAAATTAATGAGGTCAAAAGGATCGAACTTAGAATTTGATTTTGGAAAGTTGGTCAAACATAAAAAGTTTTAAAAACATTTGATATCACAAAATAGGATCACAAGTCATTGTAAAATAAGTCATTTATTTAGACCACATTATAACTCAAAGATTTCCCAAAAAAAAAGAGGCAGAAATCTTTATTCTTTGAGAAAGGAGACTTAATTTCCTAAATAATAAGCCTTAATAAAGACAACATGAGGCCAATTATATCTCTCTTAAATCTTATCAACAAATCTATTACATTTTAATCATCTTGACCATCAGATATAATTTTCATAAGCCTTGTTATAACTGTTTGTAATTTTTTTTTTTTTGAGACAGAGTCTTTCTCTGTCACCCAGGCTGCAGTGCAATGGTACAATCTCAGCTCACTGAAACCTCTGCCTCCTGGGTTCGAGCGATTCTCCCGCCTCAGTCTCCTGAGAAGCTGGGATTACAGGCATCTGCCACCAAGCCTGGCTAATTTTTTGTATTTTCAGTAGAGACAGGGTTTCACCATGTTGATCAAGCTGGTCTCGAACTCCTGACCTCAAGTGATCCACCCGCTTTTGCCTCCCAAAATGCTGGGATTAGAGGTATGAGCTACCACACCCAGCCTATTTCCCATTGTTATAATTTATCTATAATTTATAAAGTTGTAAAATAGGCTGGGCGCAGTGGCTCACACCTGTAATCCCAGCACTTTGGGAGGCTGTGGCAGGCGGATCACCTGAGGTCAGAAGTTCGAGACCAGCCTGGCCAAGAAGGCAAAACCCCCTCTCTACTAAAAATACAAAAATTAGTTGGGCATGGTGGCAGGAGCCTGTAATCCCAGCTACTCGGGAGGCTGAGGTGGGAGAATTGCTTGAACCCAGGTGGTGGAGGTTGTAGTGAGCCGAGATCACGCCACTGCACTCCAGCCCAGGCAACAGAGCAAGACTCTGTCTCAAAAAAAAGTGGGTTAATTCTCCAAGAAAACCTTGTTAATCCGACACAGGGACCCAGATGCTGGTATTGTATCAGTGTGCCTTTGATATTAATGTTTAATTTATAGAAAAACTCTGAACAATTTTCTCTCTCAAAATCAGCCCTTACAATCTCATGTGCCTACCTCTTCTGCAATAGTCTCTGGGCCTAGAGAAGTTGAATAGTTTTAATTTTTGGCCCAGTGTCTCATTAACACAGTTTATTTTGATTGGCATCTTCTCTGGATCTGAAGATGAGGCTTTAACTGCTGTCAGTGTTTAAGGTTTAGCAGGATTTGAAGTCCTTTTTAGACCCAAGAGTCAAAGCCCTATAACTTAACAGCACAAGGACTTTAAAAGCAATGTAGAAAGTTATGTAGATGTGATAGCCTTGGTTTTTTCATCTTAGTTTTCCTAAGCAAATCAAAACTTAATGACGATGATGTAGGAATTATTTCAAAAAATGTAAAATCTGTTTGTTAGGCCAGTTACCAAACAGCAAATGAAAAGACCTTCTGCAGTGTGATTGTTTTTCCCTACAGGGAGCACATTTAGATAACCTGCAAGTCAAAACTCGTGAAAATGGTACTTGAATTAGTTAGAATAGGAAGACTGTGTCTGGGGTCATAAGTGAAAATCTTTGATTTCATAGAACAATTTAAGGCCAACAGCACAGAATGTTACATTGGAAGAAAATATTTCCTTCAGACCTTTAAGATAAAACATTTTAGCATAAGGCCACAACAGCAGTTAGAACCTGCAGAGATTACTTATGAAAACTGCGATAGTTATCATTTAAAGTTATTTCCCTGTTAACCATTTTTACAGCCTATGAATTTCAGTTGTTTACGTAAGTAGGAACCTTGAGGTTAAATAAATGGACTTTTTTTGCCAATAACTCAGAATCTCATTGTTTTCATTAAAACAACAACATTAAAGGTAATTCTCTTTTGGGCTACATTTATAGCTTTATAGCCCTCATGCCAAATTTTGACACCTTATAATATCTAGCAGAGATAAATATAAAACCACTTGACCAATAAATCTAAACAATAATGTATGTTGATAATTCAGAAGGCATTTCTAATTTTATTTTACCAATCATTTTTAAACCAGCTTATTTATTAAAGATTTGTGAGTCATGTGAACCTGAAAACGCATTTGAGCTTAAAGTCTCTATTTTTCTGATAAAAGATTTGATTTAAGTGCCTCTTTTTTTCTTTAAGCTAATTAGAGCTCTTATATATTTTGGGTAGTGAAACCGAGAGAAGAGAGACAGACCCTCTCATATCGTTTTACATTGTTTTATACTCAGAAAAGAAAAGAAAAGTGAAACAAAAGTCAGGTAGCCTGGTGCCTAGGAACCAGACCCGAAGCCAAGGAACCAGACCCGAAACCAAGCCTGGGCCCGCCTGACCTAAGCCTGGTAGTTAAAGATCGACCCCTGACCTAACTGGTTATGTTATCTATAGATTCCAGACATTGTATAGAAAAGACATTGTGAAACTTCCTGGTTTGTCCTGTTTCACTCTGACCACTGGTGCATGCAGCCCCGTCACATACCCCCTGCTTGCTCAATCGATCACGAGCCTCTCACGCAGACCCCCTTAGAGTTGTGAGCCCTTAAAAGGGATAGGAATTGCTCACTCAGGGAGGTTGGCTCTTGAGACAGGAGTCTTGCCAATGTTCCCAGCTGAATAAACCCCTTCCTTCTTTAACTCGGTGTCTGAGGAGTTTTGTCTACAGCTCGTCCTGCTACAAAATGTATACATGACACAGATACACAGATGTATCAGACACACAGGTAGAAGTAGATTCATGAGACTCCCTTTTGGCCGGACGCAGTGGCTCACATCTGTAATCCCAGCACTTTGGGAGGCTGAGGCAGCAAATCACTTGAGGCCAGGAGCTTGAGACCAGCCTGGCCAACATGATAAAACCCCGTCTCTACTAAAAATACAAAAATTAGCCAGGCATAATGGCAGGCACCTGTAATCCCAGCTACTTGGGAGGCTGAGGCAGGAGAATCACTTGAACCTAGGAGACAGAGGTTGCAGTGAGCCAAGATCGTGCCACTGCAGCCCAGGCAACAGAGCAAGACTCCATCTAAAAAAAAAAAAAAAAAAAGATTCATAAGACCCCCTTTTTTTGAGATAAGTTCTCATACTGTGTCACCCAGGCTGGAGTGCAGTGGCACAATCATAGTTCTCTGCAGCTTTGACCACCTGGGCCCAAGTAATCCTTCTGCCTCAGCCTCCTGCGTATCTGGGACTACAGGCATGTGTCACTATACCCAGCTAATTTTTGTATTTTTCATAAAGATGGGGTCTCCTTATGTTGCCCAGGCTGGTCTCAAACTCCTAGCCTCAAGCAATCCTGTTGGGAACAAGCGCCCCAAAATCTGGCCTTAAATGGCCCAAAACTGGCCATAAACAAAATCTCTGCAGCACTGTGATATGTTCATGATGGCCATAACGCCCACGCTGGAAGGTTGTGGGTTTACTGGAATGAGGGCAAGGAACACCTGGCCCACCCAGGGCGGAAAACCACTTAAAGGCATTCTTAAGCCACAAACAATAGCATGAGCGATCTGTGCCTTAAGAACATGCTCCTCCTGCAGTTAACTAGCCCAACCTATTCCTTTATTTCGGCCCATCCCTTTGTTTCCCATAAGGGATACTTTCAGTTAATCCCATTTCCCATAAGGGACACTTTTAGTTAATCAAATATCCATAGAAACAATGCTAATGACTGGCTTGCTGTTAGTAAATACGTGGGTAAATCTCTGTTCGAGGCTCTCAGCTCTGAAGGCTGTGAGACCCCTGATTTCCCACTTCACACCTCTATATTTCTGTGTGTGTGTCCTTAATTCCTCTAGCGCCACTGGGTTAGGGTCTCCCAGACCAAGCTGGTCTCAGCACAATCCTCCCATCTCGTCCTCCCAAAGTACTAGGATTGCAGGCATGAGCCACCGCACCCAACCAAAGACCCCTTTTTTTCCTCCTACTTTAAACTTCCAATTCCCTGGGTTTTGTTTCTTTTCTTTTCTTTTTTTGTGAGACATTGTCTCGCTCAGACAGGCTGAAGTGCAGTGGCAGGATCTCAGCTCACTGCAACCTCCACCTCCTGGGTTCAAGTGATTCTCCTGTCTCAGCCTCCTGAATAGCTGGGATTACCGGCATGAGCCACCACGCCCAGCCAAGACTTCCAATTTTTTGATAACCTGTTTCATTACCCTAGGCAATTGTCAGTAAGACAGCCCTAAATGTGCAAACTAAAGCAACAACTCCTAGGTGAAAATCAGATAGCAATATTTATATCTCCAAGTAGGGAGAGAGAGAGTGTTGGTGCGTTACAGGAAGATTAAAAATGCCTGGCAAGTCAAACATAAAATTATAGAAATCTACCACAGGATTGTATAAGGAGACCATTTTTATTTAGATAAGTAGTTTTAAACTCAGTCTCTGTCTTTTAACTGGATCTCTGAGCTCTAAGCAGAGCTCACAGGGAATCCTGGGTCTCCAAAAAAAGAGCTGTCGTGGGACTAGGCCATGTAATGCTTTTACAGTGCACTTTGTTACAGAAACGTTTCTCTAAGTGTCTAAACCACACCCTTACTTATCTTAAACACCCAAGAGTAGCCCCTGTTGTAATAACCATAAACCAACAAGTATCTGAGACAAGTCTCAATCAATTTAGAAGTTTATTTTGCCAAAGTTAAGGACATTCCCGTGACACAGCCTCAGGAGGTCCTGACAACATATGCCCAAGGTAGTTGGGTTACAGCTTAGTTTTATACATTTAAGGGAGACATAAGACAGCAATCAATACATATAAGATGTGCATTGGTGGGACAACTTGAAGAAGCTGGTGGTGGGGGGTAAGATTGGGCTTCCAGGTCATAGGTAGAGGCAAAGATTTCCTGACTGGCAATTAGTTGAAATAGTTTATCTAAAGATCTAGAATCAATAGAAGGGAATGTCTGCATTAAGATAGGTAGTTTTGGAGACCAAGGTTCTTCTTATGCAGATGAAGCCTCTAAGCTTCAGAGAAAATAGACTGTGTTTCTTATCAGACTTAAAAAGTCTGTTCTGGACCGGCACCGTGGCTCACACGTGTAATCCCAGCACTTTGGGAGGCCAAGGTGGGCGGATCACCTGAGGTCAGGAGTTTGAGACCAGCCTGGCCAACATGGCGAAACCCCATCTTTACTAAAAATACAAAAATCAGCCAGGCCTGGTGGTGCATGCCTGTAATCCCAGCTACTCAGGAGGCTGAGGCAGGAGAATCACTTGAACCCAGGAGGTGGGGTTGCAGTGAGCCAAGATAGCACCCAGTGCACTGCAGCCTGGGTAACAGCAAGACTTCATCTCAAAAAAAAAAAAAAGTCTGTTCTATCAGCCTTAAGGTCTCTGCTTTAATGCTAATGCAGGGAGAAGGATATAATATCCGACCCCCACTTCCCATCATGACCTGAACTAGTTTTTCAGGTTAACTTTGGAATACCCTTGGCCAAGGGGAGGGTCCACCAGTTGATTGAGGGGCACTTAGAATTGTATTTTTGGTTTACATAACTATTTTAGTCAAAAGAAAAATCAGACAACACAATAAAAAGCAAGCAGTTTAAGATCCGAGCAGAACTTGTCTGTTCGTCCTCTTGGGATTCCATAAGGAAACACAGAGGAAAATTCCCCAAAAAGGAGTCTGGCACCTTCTCTGTTTTCTTTAAGGAATCCCAGGCTGTCAGAAATTAGTTTAGGTTCCTCATGCAGTAGAGGATGGCAAAGGAAGGAGAGACAGGCAGAAGTAAGTGGAGAGAACTGGAGAGAATAGAATTCAGTTGACTGAGAATTTAAAAAAAAAAAAAAACTTTTTCTCAAAAAACAAGATCCTGGGAGAGAAAAAAAAAGTGTAAAGTCCTTTTAAATATGCACATATACATAATGGATATCAACTTAGAAGTTTATTTTGCCAAGGTTAAGGACAATGCCTGGAAGAAATAAACATGGAATCACAGAAACAGTCTGTGGTCTGTGCCTTTGTCCAAAGATGATTTTGAGGGCTTCAGTATTTAAAGGGGAAAAGTGAGCTGGAGGGGGAAAAGGGAGGGCATGGTAATCCAGGTGTTGCAAGAGAAAAAAAGCAGGTAGGGGGACAGTCGATTATGTATTCGTCTCGCACTCAGTAACTGGACACGTTATATAAGATAAGGTCCCTGTGGAGATATTTCACCTTTTATCTGTAGCTATCTGCTTAGGAACAAAAGGCAGCTTCTTGCATGACTCAGCTTTCAGCTTGATTTTTTCCTTTGGCATGGTGAATTGGGGTCCTGAGTTTTTGATTTTCCTTTCACACCTGTTTGAATAATGGAGCAGGGAATCTTTTATGGAAAGACAACGGGGATAGCTTCTAAAGTTTTTCAGCCATTTTTCTGGCATATTTGGGCCACCCTAGAAGTACCACTTGCATGACTGGCAGTACTTCCTCAGGCGTATCCCATCCTGCTGTGGCCATCCAGTTACTTGCCTCCCCAGGTCCCATCTCATGTCTTATCCTGACACAAATTGGGAGGTCCAGAGTCACGGGCTCCTGTGAGAATTCTAAATTCCTCAGTAAATTTTTTGAGGTTTTCTCTAAGGTTTGGAAAATCTTTTGCTATGACTCTGAGTTCAATTTTTCACCAGTTTTTTTACTCCGTTTTGAGCAAAAGTAGTTATAGGAACCAGACATGGCTGTTCTGAGGGCCTAACTTCCCATCTCTCATCATCTTCAGGGTATAAGCATAACTGGGCAAAAGGATCAGTAGGTGTAAGCTGAGAAAATGGGTGTACAAATATATTGAGAATAAAGGGCGGAAATGGTCAAAGTTATGTCAGTTACCATATAATTATTTTTATTTTCGTCTTTAATTCATCTCTTAAGCTTTTCAGTTTCCTTATTTGCCTTTAGAAAGGAGTCTTTTAGAGAGGCAATTTTGTAACCAATCAACCTTTTAGAAGCCTCCCTCTACCAAACAGGAAATGCATCCCATTGTTTCTGAGACATGTGTGATCCCTCCTTTTCCAATATGCTCCATAAATGAACAGTTTTATCCAGCTCAAAACTTCTCATTGTTGTGAACCTAGGAATTAAGTTTTAGTTTAAAAAAAAAATGTTTTTAACCCATCCCACTGCCACTTTAAATGGTCTCTAGTAAGGTGCATTCATTTCTCTAGAAAACCACAGGTTTGGGGTCCATAATTTCTGAACATATTATTGGCTTGTGTTCTGGACAGAGGACTCCCAGACTCCTTAGATGCTGATGAACACATCATACCTTGTCCCTCTAAAATTTTACCTACCCGAAGCCTCCAGCTGAAGCCAGTCCAGTTCCCACTGAACACCCACTTCAACCTCTGGGTCCAGTCAAAAATAAAATTACTCCTGTAATCCCAATACTTTGAGAGGCTGAGGCAGGAGGATCACTTGAACTCAGGAGTTCAAGGCCAGTCTGGGCAACGTAGCAAGGCCCCCATCTCTACGAAAAAATACATTTTAAAAAATTACCCAGGCATGGTGGCATGTACCTGTAGTCCCAGCTACTCTGGAGGCTTGGATGGGAGGATTGCTTTGAACCCTGCTTTGTCCAAGGCTGCAGTGAGCCATGATCACACCCCTGTACTCCAGCCTGGGTGACAGAGTGAGATCCTGTCTCAAAAAATAAATTAATTAATTAAATAAAATAAAATTACTCAGCCGGACACTGTGGCTCATGCCTGTAATCCCAGCATTTTGGGAGGCAGGCAGATCACTTGAGGTCAGGAGTTCCAAACCAACCTGGCCAACATGGAGAAACCCCATCTCTACTAAAGTATAAAAATTAGCCGGGCATGCTGGCGTGTGCCTGTAATTCCAGCTACTCAGGAGGCTGAGACACGAGAACTGCTTGAACCCAGGGGATGGAGGTTGCAGTGAGCTAGATCGTGCCACTGTACTCCACCCTGAGCAACAGAGCAAGACTCCATATCAAGATAATAATAATAATAATAATAAACAAAATCACTCAAACTTGGAGAACTCAGGACACAAACTGTGGAACTCAAAATCCAAGAGATACTCACTCAGGACCTCCAGACGCAGTGAGAAAGCAGTGAGCACGGTGGGCCCAGCAGGTACCTCATGCCTGCTTCCTTGATGCTCCTGGGGCTTGCTGGGTGTCTTAGTCCATTTTGTGTTGCTAAAACAAAATTCCACAGACTGCATAATTTATAAAGAACAGAGATTTATTTCTCATAGTTCTGGAGGCTGGGAAGTCCAAAGTCAAAGGGCCTGCATCTGACAAGGGCCTTCTTAAGCTGAACTCATCCTTTTTTCAGGAACCCACTCTCTTGATAACTAGCCCACTCTGACTATAATAGCATTACCACATACATGAGGGCAAGCCCTTGTAACCTAATCACCACTCAAAGGTCTCACCTCTCAACACCACTGCTTTAGGAATTAAGTTCCCAACACACAAACTGTTGGGGACACATTCAAACTATAGCTGTAGGACAGGGGTGGTCATCACCTTTGGATCCCTCTTTTGACAGCAAACTGCAAATGAAAAACCTGAAGCACAATAAAATTGCAAACTGTTTATTTGAGTAAGAAGTAATTCATGAATTGGGGACACTGGGCCAAAACAAGTTTAGTATTCCAATGACAAATCATGAGGGGCAAGTATTTTGGGGGTAAATGCAGAAGCAAAATTTAAAAATTATTTGATTATTTTTGCAATTACAAAATTGCCTTTTTTGTTGGAAAGTCCCTAGTTACATAATCATACAAATTGGCTGGTTATGATTAGCTGAGGTTAATTTTTCTGCCTAACATAAGCATTCACCAGAAAAGACTCAAGTTAAGTTTTACCTATATTCACAGTCTTGACCCTGTTAAGTTTCACTGATGTTCACAGTCTAAGCAAGGTTAAGGCTATTTTAAGGGTTAGCTGGTTTTATTTGCTCAGGAATTTTGTTTCTTTTCTTAGAGAGGGGGTCTCCACAGCTCACTGTAACCTCGAACTCCTGGGCTCAAGACATCCTCCTGCCTGAGCCTCCTTAGCGGCTAGGACTACAAGGGCACGCCACCACACACAGCTAACTATATTGCCCAGGCTGGTTTCAAATTCCTGGCCTCAAGTGACCCTCCCAGCTTAGTCTCCCAAAGCACTGGGACTACAGGTGTGAGCCACAGCACCTGGCCTGCTCAGGAATTTTTTAGGCCCAGTCTCCATTTTAATTTTGTTTTAACAAAGGTAGTAATTGATGGAGGCTCTCCTGAATTCCAGACCCACATGTCTGGGGGAAATCAGTGTCATATTTTGGTCACTGACTCAAAGCCCATACCACATCCTATAAAAGCTACAACTTCAGTGTCTCAGGTTAGTGACACCAATTGGTATCACTGTGGGAGGCCAAGGCAGGAGGATCACTTGAGCCCAGAAGTTTGAGACCAGCCTGGGCAACATAGTGAGACTCCATCTCTATTTAAAAGAAGAAGAAAAGAAAAGAAAAAGAAGTCTGGACACCAGCTCCATGTGGCCTCTCTTCTGATGTTCTAATTCCGATGTCCCTAGCCTCTTCTTGTTCCTTCTGCCCCCCACCCTAGGGGTGGTAGCTGCTTTCTGTGCTTACTCTCTCTGGATTAGTTCAGTGTGCTATTTTTGCTCTTTCAGACAATGGGAAGTGAACTGTGGTGGTAAGAAAGGCCAGGGTGTTTGACCCCCTCCCTCTCTGTCTCCAGGGGAGACAATGGCTCCAGCATGGCTCCAATTGCTATCAGCCAGACCAGCTGTGATTCCAGCCTCCTTTGGGTGATCCCAGCCCTTGGCTCTGGTGACACCACCTCCTTCCCTTGACTCTGACCTAAGGATGGTAGGTATTCTTTCTACTGCTATTCTCTGAATGGCGTCATCAGCCCCTGTTCAGCTCCTTATCTCCTGCGTCCCCTGTGTAACTGATGCCCAGCATTGACTCTCCTCTGTTTCACATAGTTACAGTGGTATCTCTTACACTGGTTAGGCTCTGACTGATACCAGTATATTTCTTGATTGATTGAAGGCGCTTACACAAATCCGTACCCTACCTCCATTGTTGCCTGGAAAAATTGTATTTCATGCTTCAAAGTTCAGCTTAAAAATTATTTTCTTTCTGAGGATTTTCTTATCTTCAACTCCCCACCTCATCTCACCTCATTCCCACCCATGAATTCATTGCTGTAACTCTGGGATCTCCTAGTACTTGGCTTCTCCAACATGTCCCATATAATTGTTTTTATGTCTGTCTTCAGCTAGAGTAGGAGTTCCTTTGTTTTTTTTTTAAGACAGGGTCTCTCTCTGTTACCCAGGCTGGAGTGCAGTGGTACAATCATAGCTCACTGCAGTCTCGATCTCCCGGGCTCAAACAATGCTCCCACCTCAGCCTCCCAAGTAGCTGAAACTACAGGCACTCTTTAGTAGAGATGGGGTCTTGCTATGTTGTCCAGGCTGGTCTCAAACTCCTGAGTTCAAGTGATCCTCCTGCCTCAGCCCCCTAAAGTGCTGGGATTACAGGCATGAACCACCACTCCTAGCCTATTTATTTATTTATTTATTTATTTATTTATTTATTTATTTTTGAGACAAAGTCTTGCTCTGTCTCTCAGGTTGGAGTGCAGTAGCGTGATCTCAGCTCACTGCAACCTCCACCACCCGGGTTCAAGCAATTTTCCTGACTCAGCCTCCCAAGTAGCTGGGACTACAGGCATGCGCCACCACGCCCAGCTAATTTTTGTATTTTTAGTAGAGAGCGGGTTTCACCATGTTAACCAGGCTGGTCTCAAACTCCTGACCTCAGGTGATCCACCCACCTCAGCCTCCCAAAGTACTGGGATTATAAGCGTGAGCCACCAGGCCCAGCCTCTAGCCAATTTTTAAAATTGTTATTATTATTATTTTAGACGCAAGGTCTTATTCTGTTCCTCACTTTGGAGTGCAGTGGTGCAACTGGCATGATCATAGCTCAATGCATCCTCAAACTCCTGGGCTCCAACAATTAGGGTGGGAGTTTCTTGATGGCAAAAACTAAATTTTATTCATATAATTTCCTATTTATATATTTGACACATGATAGATACTCAGTAAATATTTATGGATGAATGAAGGAGTGATATTGACTTCTTCTATTAAGACAAAAACAAGAGGCTGGGGAGAGGGTTGACTAGGGACTTATTGCTTAATGGGTGTAGAGTTCCAGTTGGAGAAGAGGAAAATGTTCCAGAGATGGATGGTGGTGGCAGTTGCACAACAACGTGACTGTACTTAATGCCACCGAACTGTATACTTAAAAATGGCCAACATGGTAAATTTTTGTTATATATATTTTACCACAATTTAAAAAAATAAACTAACAACTAAAATACCCTTTATTCTCAACTATAAAATGAAGTTCCACACCCTATGGATCCTCAATTCTCCTTCAAGATCTGTGTCTTCGGAATATTCTCACACTTGCATACAGGGACGGAAGCAAGTCTGTGGGTTTCATTGCAGTCTTATTTGCAATAGCAAGAAAAGGGGTATGGGTAGGGGGAAAGGACAACCTAAATATCCAGTTAGGAAAATGGCTAAATTGTACCATTTCATACTATGGGAGAGTATATAATATTCCAAAGGAATCTATGAAAGCAACATGGATAAATCACAGATAAATCTCACAAACACAGTATTATGTAAAAAATGAAGGCTGCAAATGATATTGACAGTATGATGCCATTTTGTAAACCTTCTCTTTTTTTGAGATGGAGTCTTGCTCTGTTGCCCAGGCTAGAGTGCAGTGGCGCGATCTTGGCTCACTGTAACCTCCACCTCTCGAGTTCAAGTGATTCTCCTGCCTCAGTCTCCCGAGTAGCTGGGACTACAGGTGTGCAGCACCAAGCCTGGCTAATTTTTTGTATTTTTAGTGGAGACAGGGTTTCACCATGTTGGCCAGGCTGGTCTCGAACTCCTGACCTCAAGTGATTCACCCGCCTCAGCCTCCCAAAGTGCTGGGATTACAGGAGTGAACCACCATGCCCAGCCAGATTGCATAAATCTTTAAAATAAGCAAAGCAAAGTATTATTTATGGCAGCATTCATATATATAGTAAAAATATGAAAATCTGCAACTTCATGTTAGTAGTTTGCCCATGGAGAAGGATCTGAAAGGGATGAGTGTATTGGGTTTTAGCTGTGCCTTTAATATTTTATTTCCTACAAAAGGAAGTAGGAAGTAAATATGGCAAATATTACACATTTGTTCAATCAAGTGAATGACTGAACGATAGATGGGGGGTCAATTATATTTTTCTGTACTTTTTTGTATTCTTGAAATATTTCATAATTGAAATCTAAAAATTAAATTAAATTGATAAAATAAAGGTTGGATTCCTTTGTGACCACATACACTTTGACTAACCGGATTCTCACCACATAACAATCTGCCAGCCCAGGCCCTTGCGCACTTACCAACACACACTAGTCAATGTGAGATTCGAATACGAGGAAACACTTGCATTTGGATGATTTGGGCAATTAAAAATCTCACACTACACATGTGCATGTGCACACATGGACACACACCCGAACAAAACAACCAGCCCTACAATGCTAAATTAAAAACCCAAGTGCCCGCTGTAAGATGGCAATAGAATAGAAATGGAGTACTCTCTCTTTTGTATTAAGAAGAAAACCAATTAGGTCACAGCTTGGAAGTAAAATCCTTCCACTAATGAAAGCCTTTGCACGTAAGATGGTTCCCCTGAGGCTGGTAACAATGCTGGCAGAAGAGCGGAGAAGGATACTGATTTCACTTCATCTGGCCCAAGAGCCCTACCAGGGAGAGCCAAGCAAATGGCATTGTGGGGCTTAGTAAGAGGGTAAGATAGGAAGGGAGGGAACCACCTGCCCAGGAGTTCCTGCGACTCACAGAGGAAACTTTGCCAAGGCCTCTAGTGCATGGAATCCCTAAAAAGCTCCCGGCCTAAGTGCCTCCCTACTGCAGAAATCGCTTTCACAGCTGCTCCTGTCAAACCTCCACTTAAACATTTCCAGAGTTGGGGCCCCACTGCTTTTGAGGCAGCCCATTCCATTATTGGACCACTTTAGTTTTTGGAAGATTTGTATTATTTTTTAAGAGAAATAATCAGATCTGACGCAGGAAGCACAATATATAATCACATTGTATAAAATGACCCTGGGTGTGTGAGTGTGTGCACATGTGTTTGGGAGGTCATATGCCAAAATACTAACACTATGAGAGCTGGAATTTCTGATAATTTTTATTTTCTCTTTTTTGCCTGTCTGTATTTTCTAAAATGAACAAATTTACTTGGTAAAGTGGGAAGAGATCATATTACATATTGTTTAGGATTAGTGGGAAGAGATCATATTACATATTGTTCAGGATTAGTGGGAAGAGATCATATTACATATTGTTTAGGATTAGTGGGAAGCCAGGGGTGGTGGCTCATGCCTGTAATCCCAGCACTCTGGGAGAACAAGTTGGGAGGATTGCTTCAGCCTAGGAGTTTGAGATCAGCCTGGGCAACATCGTAGGAACCCTGTATCCATGAAAAAAAAAATTTAGCAGTGCATGGTTGTTGCATGCCTGTAGTCCTGCTACTAGGAGGCTGAGGTAGGAGGATCACTTGAGCCTGAGAGGTCAAGACTGCAGTGAGCCATGATCGCACCACTGCATTCCAGCCTGGATGACAGAGAAAGACTCTGTTTAAAAAAAAAAAAAAAAGATTGGTCACGGTGGCTCACACCTGTAATCCTAGCACTTTGGGACACCGAAGCGAGAGGATCACTTGAGATTAGGAGTTCAAAACCAGCCTGGCCAACATGGTGAAACCGCATCTCTACTAAAAATACAAAAAAAATTAGCCAGGTGTGTTGGTGGGCACCTGTAATCCCAGCTACTTGGGAGTCTGAGGCAGGAGAACTGCTTGAACCCAGGAGGCAGGGGTTGCAGTGAGCCGAGATTGTGCCACTGTACTCCAGCCTGGGCAACAGGGCGAGACTCCATCTCAAAAGAAAGGAAAGAAAAAAAAAAGATTAGTGGGAGATAAAATATTTTTCCTCCCACAAAGGGGAGATAAATCCTTTCATATTTTGCACCCATTGGTCCCAGTTCTGTTGGATCTACCCTCAAGTGGGCAGTGGTCCCAGATGGGGCAGCCAGTCAAAGGCCAGGCCAGAACTTTCTATGCTGCTGTTTCAGCCTGAAGACATGCCACCCAGTATAAGAGAAAGGAAGCTTTTCAGCAGCTGTGGTAAACTTAAGCACGTCCACACTTCAGTGGATTAAGAAAATCAATTTCTTCTCAGAAAAGGGGGTGCTCAGCTGTCATATTCTAATCAGTACTTTCCAGAAATGCAATGAATTTAAAGCCAGTTTAGGTAAAGACAGGTTAGTGGAGAAACGTTTTGGTCTGAGCGATTCAGGAGAAGAAAATTACAATCCCTGGCATTTGCATAGCCCTTTGAGAGAAAATCTTCCACAGGCATGAGCTTACGTGACTTAACCCAGAATACCCTCTCCCCACACCACCCCAACCAAAACACACAATGCATCCAAAACATTGCATGGGTATGCATATTCAGTTTACAGGGAAGAAGGGCCTCATTGCATCAGATTCTCTAAGAGGTCTGTTAAAGGGTTAGGGCCACTGGTCTGATAGATGCAGCTCATAACTGGTTTTTAGCAAACTAAGTCCGGGTCCTCATCTATTGAAAAGCAGTGTTGGGTGACATGATCTCTGTAACCTCTTCCAGCTCCTGCTGCCCCTGTCTTTGTTACACTCTCCAGGCACTTGGGAGTCAGAACTTTTTCCAGGGCCTAGAGGTGACCTGACCTTCACCATCTATCACGGCCTGCCCCAGGACCTGTCATGGAGTGATGAGGACGTCTCCCTGCCTGGTGGTGGGATTTGCAGCCAATAAAGCCCTCCACCAGGCAAGAGGATTGTGAGACCTGTCTGGCTACAATTTATTCTCCTTGGTCACTTTGACTGACTGCAGCCAAGTGCCAGGGGAAATTTGAATTTGAATGCTGCTGCCTGTGAAATTAGCTTAGAAAAATATACAGGCTCTCTTCAACAATGGGCAATTCCAGCTGAATCTAAAGAGCCACAATTGGGGTGGGATAAACAGACGCTGTCCAGTTCGGGAGAGTCTCAGGAAACCAGGGGGAGATTAACTTCTTACTGGAGGGAGCACGTTAGCCTGCAGCAGAGGCAGTCGCTCAGCTTAAAAAGGATGAATGGAGGCAGGAGAGACCAGAAGTGATGGGGGATAAGTCAGAAAAACATTATTAAGCTCATCTGAAGAATACATTCAGGAAGTCATGGGTGTAAGCAAGAAAAGGGCAGCTTCGAAAACAGATGTGCAAGCACAGTTGTTGCAGCGAGGTGTGTGTAGGAGCAAAAGGTTGGAGGCAACCTACGTGTGCATCCCTGGGAGACCGCTGAAACATACTGGGGAATACTATGTGGCCATTGAAAAGAATGTGGTAGAGGCCGGGTGCCGTGGCTCATGCCTGTAATCCCAGCACTTTGGGAGGCCAAGGTGGACGGGTCACCTGAGGTCAGGAGTTCGAGACCAGCCTGGCCAATACGGCAAAACTCTGTCTCTACTAAAAATACAAAAATTAGCCGGGTGTGGTGGCAGCCTCCTGTAGTCCCAGCTACTCAGGAGGCTGAGGGAGGGAGAATTATTTGAACCTGGGAGGTGGAGGTTGCAGTGAGCCGAGATTGGGCCACTGCACTCCAGCCTGGGCGACAGAGTGAGACTCCATCTCAAAAAAATAAGAAAAAGAAAAAAAAAGAATGTAGTAGATCAATGTGGACCGATATAGAAAAAACTCCACTTTTTCTTTGCTAAGTAAAGAAAAAAGCAAGGCATAGAAAAGCATGAAACGTATATGTGGAATATGTTATGTTTTATGCTTTTAAAGGGAAAATGCTTATAGATTTGTATTATCTCTCTGAAAGAATTCCCAAGAAACAGATCAGGAGTGGAAGGGAGACTCACTTTTCACCTTCTACCTTTCTAGACTTTTTAAATTATTTACTATGTGCCTGTATTCCTGTTTGAAAGTGTAAATAAGTGAATAATGTTAAAAAAGGAGAAGGAGGGGAAAGCAGTAGTTGCTGTCCTCCCTCCAAAGTCAGCTCTGCCACGGAGCCATCTTCCCTTTCCAGATGGGATGGTTAACTTCATGTGCCAACTTGGTGAGCCACGGTACCCAGATAGTTGGTGAAACATTATTCCAGATGTTTCTTCGAAAGTATTTTTGGGGAGTTTTTTTGTTTTGTTTTGAGATGGAATTTCACTATTGTTGCTCAGGCTGGAGTGCAGTGGTGTAATCTCGGCTCACTGCAACCTCCACCTCCCATGTTCAAGCAATTCTCCTGCCTCAGCCTCCCAAGTAGCTGGGATAACAGGCATGTGCCACCACGCACAACTAATTTTTTTTTTTTTTTTTTTTTTTTTTTAGTATTTTTAGTAGAGACAGGGCTTCACCATGTTGCCCAGGCTGGTCTCGAACTCCTGACCTCAAGTGATCCACCCACCTCCACCTCCCAAAGTGCTGGAATGAGATTAAATTTAAATCAATAGGCTTTGAGTAAATTAGATGACCCTCCATTGAATGGGTGGGCCTCATCCAATCAGTGGAAGGCCTGCATAGAAAATAATTCCTTCTTGCTCAGGGGCAAGAAGGAATTCTGCCAGCAGACTGCCTTTGGACTCAAACTGCAATTCTTCACTGGGTTTCCAGGCTGCAGGCCTACCCTGCAGATTTTGGACTTGCCAGCCTCCATCATCACGTGAGCCAATGCCTTAAAATAAACTTCTCTATAGATATATACTCTGTTGGTCCTCTTGATCTGGAGAGCACTGACACTAGGGCTTGAGAGAATCTCTGAGCCCAGGCTTGTGCATAGACACAAGTGAGGTGGCCTTTGCTACCTGCTGGGGAAAGGGTGGGGTCTGCAAATCGTTCACGTGGAAACTGGACACTGACCTCACTCTGGGGTCAGAGCTGGGAGGAAGGTGGGTCTGGCCAGGCCTCTCCCTGCATATGAAGCAACCACCCGTAGCTCTCCCATGGACACTTTGAGTACTCCCCAAGCATGAACTGGAAGCTCTATTTGCTTCCTCCTGGCCCTTCCTCACAATCTTTCTTTTCTGTTTCCTCTCTCACTCTCCAAGTCCTTTCCCTTCCATGTCTTCCTTGTGAACAAGGTTACACCAATAAGGCAAAAGTAAAAATGTTGCTATGTTGCTGTTTCCTCCCCAGCTATGAGCCTATTCGCCTCAGTTCAGTTACTCCTCATGGCTTCCAGGGCCAGCAAGTTCTGCTGAGCAGAAAAGACAGTCGATCAGCTGGTTACTTTGTCTCAAAAGACCCAAATAGTAAGTTTGACCATTGTCCTCTGCTTTCATTGACCAGATAAAACCAGGTGATTCAGGTCAAAATGATTGAAAATGACATGTATATACCGGGCGCAGTGGCTCATGCCTGTATTCCCAGCACTTTGGGAGGCTGAGGCAGGCGGATCATTTGAGGTCAGGAGTTTGAAACCAGCCTGGCCACCACGGTGAAACCCCATCTCTACTAAAAATACAAAAATTTAGCCAGGTGCGGTGGCGTGCTCCTATAATCCCAGCTACTTGCGTGGCTGAGGCAGAAGAATCGCTTGACCCCAGGAGGGAGAGGTTGCAGTGAGCCGAGATCACGCCACTACACTGCAGCCTGGGTAACAGAGCAAGACTCCATCTCAAAAAAACAAAAAAAGAAAGAAAGAAAAAATGACATGTACAAATACTCTTTTTTTTCTCCCTTCCCAACTCATGATACACTGCATTATTCATTCAGATTGTGTTATTCATTCCTTATTCCACCATGAAATATGGCATAAAATAATCTCAGACCTTGTATTGGGTGGTCCCTTTACACTAAGTCTCCTTCCCCATATTCCAAATTCAATTAAGTAGTCAATCTGGAAAGACATACTGAAATCAGTTATGATGAAGGCAGCACACTAGCCACTGAAAAGATTCAAAAGGGCAGAAAAAGAGCTTATGGACAAGACAAGTGGATAAAGCGCAACACATAAATAGATCATAATAAGCAAAGCAGTATAAGGCTAAAGAAGTGACAGATAAGAGGAGAGCAGTCACCGTGGGCTGGAGTGTCTCAGAAGGCTCTGGCCTTGAAGATACATAGGAGGGCATTAAAAATAGATAAAAGTTTAAAAAATAATCCTGCTTTACCTTCTGTTACATCATTTAATCCCTATAGCTACCCAGCAGGGGAGGTGGTTCAGGCAAATCTTCCCATTGTCAGGCGGGTTCAGTTCAAGGAAACCAAATGTTTCCTGCCACACACCAGGAAGGGATGTTCAAAGAGGCCAGTTGCTTTCACCAATGTTATGCAGCATGTCAATGCCAGAATCAGGGCTGGAGCCAGGTTTCCAAACTCCATAGTTGGTGCTCTGGTCATTGAATGAGAGAGATCGACAAGGATTTCCAGGCAAGTGCATTCAGGCAGAAAGGCCCAGAGGCACAAGGGAGAGGAGCCAAGAAAAGTGGGCACCCATTCTCATTCTTATAGGACATGTATGCACACATGTGCATGTGCACACACACACATGCACACTACATTTTCCTCAAATTACACTTCTGCCTGAGAGAGTATGAACAAGCAAAGCCTTATGCACGCATCAACGACACCAGGATTCAAGAGGACAGCTTTGACCTCTAGGCTCTTGCCCCCCCATAGGAATTGAGCTCCAAATTCATTCAGCAGGATTAGTATGATGATAGAAAAGCTTGCATTTGAGGCCGGGCATGGTGGCTCATGCCCATAATCCCAGCACTTTGGGAGACCAAATTGGGCAAATCGCTTGAGGTCAGGAGTTCGAGACCAGCCTGGCCAACATGGCGAAGCCCTGTCTCTACTAAAAAATACAAAAATTAGCCGAGCGTGGTGGTGCCCATCTGTAATCCCAGCTATGCGGGAGGCTGAGG
Organism: Homo sapiens; assembly: GCF_000001405.40. Lineage (NCBI taxonomy): Eukaryota > Metazoa > Chordata > Mammalia > Primates > Hominidae > Homo > Homo sapiens. The sequence continues at coordinate 49,515,325 of NC_000018.10, read as the reverse complement.
CAGGAGAATCACTTGAACTTGGGAGGTGGAGCTTGCAGTGAGCCGAGATTGCGCCACTGTACTCCAGCCTGGGCAACAGAGCAAGACTCAGTCTCAAAAATAAATAAATAAATAAATAAATAAATAAATAAATAAATAAATAAATAAGCTTGCATTTGAGTTTGTCTGACTTTATGTCAGAAACTCATAGAAGAAGTAATAGTGTAATAACTCTGTTTAGCCAAATAAATAAATGGAGCTTTATCAATCCATGCAAAGTTATGCACATTATCCCAGAGCTGATAGTTTCAGCCATACACAAGAGAATTATCACCAAGACAAGCAATTTGTTCTAGGAGCAGTAAATTGTGGGGTGAGTAGTTTACTTCAGTCATTGGTCTGGGCCTTCCAAATGGACAAGACTCCACCGTCGGGTGACCAGCCTGGATACGCTATCACTGGGAGCTGTTACAAGCCCAGCTGATGTGAACAGAAAAGGAATGAGTGTGACCTGCCAAGAGATACCGGACAGTGGCCTCCACTTTCTCTGCCTAGGTCGGCCAGTCTCCTTATCGGCACAGTCAGGATAATAAAACTCCAGGTTTATTTGGATCCCTCAGAGGACACTGCCACGTGGGAACAACTGAGCTGTCATCTTGGACTTTACTCCCCAGCAGACTCAGTGGGGAAAGCGGGGAACATTCTGGGGACCTCGGTAGAGGGGCTTCAGACCTGGATAGATTCCCAAGCAGGGTAAAGTTCAACTTCCTCCAGGATATTTCTTTCCGCTGCTGCTGGGTTTTGCAATGTCCTCCCTTCATATTATCTAGAAATCCAGACCCTCTGCTTTTTTTTTTTTTTTTTTTTTTTTTTTTTTTTGAGATGAAGTCTCACTCTGTTGCCCAGGCTGGAGTGCAGTGGCACCATCTCAGCTCATTGCAACTTCTGCCTCCCAGGTTCAAGCAATTCTCCCTGTCTCAGCCTCCCGAGTAGCTGGGATTACAGGTGCCAGCTACAACACCCGGCTAATTTTTGCATTTTTAGTAGAGATGGGGTTTTTTGTCATGTTGGCCAGGCTGGTCTTGAACTCCTGACCTCAGGTGATCCGCCCGCCTCGGCCTCCCAAAGTGCTAAGATTACAGGCGTGAGCCACTGTACCCAGCCTATTTTACGATTTTATAAGTTACAGACAAATTATAACAACGGAAAATAGGCTGGGCACAGTAGCTCACACCTGTAATCCCAGCATTTCGGGAGGCCAAGGCGGATGGATCAGTTGAGGTCAGGAGTTCAAGACCAGCCTGGCCAACATGGTGAAACCTCGACTGTACTAAAAATACAAAAATTAGCCGGGTGTGGTGGCAGGCACCTGTAATAACAGCTACTCAGGAGGCTGAGGCACGAGACTTGCTTGAACCTGGGAGGCAGAGGTTGCAGTGAGCTGACATCACACCATTTCACTCCAGCTTGAGTGACAGAGCAAGAGTCCATATCACAAAAAAAAAAAAGGAAAATAATTATCATTTAAACACATGCAAACAAACTCCATCCAGTGGAGTGACAATTCTCCCACTTCACCACCACCACCATTAAGGAAAAACCTGTTTTAGGCTGGATGTGGTGGCTCACGCCTGTAATCCCACCACTTTGGGAAGTTGAGGCAGGTGGATCACCTGAGGTCAGGAGTTCAACACCAGCCTGACCAACATGGTGAAACCCTGTCTCTACTAAAAATACAAAAATTACCCAGGCATGGTGGATTATGACCACGTGCCTGTAATCCCAGCTACTAGGGAGGCTGAGGCAGGATAATTGCTTGAACCCAGGAGGTGGAGGTTGCAGTGAGCCAAGATTGCACCACTGCACTCCAGCCTGTGCTACAGAGCCAGACTCCGTCTCAAAAGAAAAAAAAAGTTTCACCTCCACTACACCTTTATTTTAATATTCCCAATCTTCTTTGGATTGTCCTTTTTTTTTGAGTCTCCCTCTGTCACCCAGGCTCGAGTGCATGGCACAATCTCGGCTCACTGCAATCTCCTCCTCCTGGGTTCAAGCAATTCTCCTGCCTCAGCCTCCTGAGTAGCTGGGATGACAGGCACGCGCCACCACACCTGGCTAATTTTTATATTTTTAGTAGAGACAGGGTTTCACCATCTTGGCCAGGCTGGTCTCTAACTCTTGACCTCAGGCGATCCACGCACCTGGGCCTCCCAAAGTGCTGGAATTACAGGCATGAGCCACCGCACCTGGCCTGGATTGTCCTTTGTTTTTGTTTTGTTTTGTTTTATTGTTTTTTGAGACACAGTCTCACTCTGTCACCCCGGCTGGTATGCGGTGGCATGATCTCAGCTCACTGCAACCTCTGCTTCCCGAGTTCAGGTGATTCTCCTGCCTCAGCCTCCAAAGTAACTGGGATTACAAGTGCATGCCACCATGCCTGGCTAATTTTATATTTTTAGTAGAGACAGGATTTCACCAGCCTTGGCCTCCCAAAGTGCTGGTATTACAAGCATGAGCCACCACACCTGGCCTGGATTGTCCAGTTTTCTTCTTAACTAGTTAAATATAATCTTTTTTTTTTTGAGACAGGGTCTCGCTCTGGTGCCCAGGCTGGAGTGCAGTGGTGTGATCGTGGCTCACTGTAGCGTTGATTTCCAGGCTCAGCGATTCTCTCACCTCGGCCTCCAGAGCAGTTGGAACCATAAACACGGGCCAACAAACCTGGCTATTTTTATTATTATTATTTTTTGTAATGATGGGATCTCGCTACATTGCCCAGGCTAGTCTCCAACTCCTGGGCTTAAGCGATCCTCCTGCCTCAGCCTCCCAAAGTGCTGGGGTTACAGGCATAAACCACCATGCCCAGCAAAATCTTATCATGTATTAACTTTTTAAAAAAATCTACTCCTGGCCAGGTGCAGTGGCTCACGTCTGTAATCCCAGTGCTTTGGGAGGCTGAGGCAGGTGGATCAGTTAAGAGTTCAAGACCAGCCTGGCCAACATGGTGAAACCCTGTCTCTACTAAAAATACAAAATTTAGCTGGGCGTGGTGGCAGGCGCCTATAATCCCAGCTACTCGGGAGGCTGAGGCAGGAGAATCTCTTGAACCCAGGAGGTGGAAGTTGCAGTGAGCTGGGATCATGCCACTGCACTTCAGCCTGGGAGACAGAGTGAGACTTCGTTTAAAAAAAGAAAAAGAAAAATCTACCCCTGATAATTCCCACCTATTGGATTTAGTTCTGCACCCTCATCCATGCTGTGATCCAAGTCCCAGAAGACTGTCAACGTGGATCCCACTCCAGGGTCTTTTCTGTTCCAGGCCAAACATTCCCAATCTACCTAGTAATACACTAATTACAAGCTGCAAATCGGACAGGCCTGGTTTGAAATCCCTTGTCTACAACTTTATGCCTAAGTACCCTTGGCAAGTTACTCAGTATTGCTTATCTTCATTTCCCTCACCTGTGTAAAGGGAATAGAAATGCCCACTCCAGGCCAGCCGTGGTGGCTCACGCCTGTAATCCCAGCACTTCGGGTGGCTGGGGCAAGCAGATCACTTGAGGTTAGGAGTTCAAGATCAACCTGGCCAACATGGAGAAACCCCCTCTCTACCAAAAAATACAAAAACTGGGCTGGGCGCAGTGGCTCAGGCCTGTAATCCCAGCACTTTGGGAGGCCGAGGTGGGAAGATCATTTGAGGTCAGGAATTAAAGACCAGCCTGGCCAACATGGTGAAACCCCATCTCTACTAAAAAATACAAAAATTAGGTCGGGCGCAGTGGCTCATGCCTATAATCCCAGCACTTTGGGAGGCTGAGGCAGGCAAATCATGAGATCAAGAGATCAAGACCATGCTGGCCAACATGGTGAAACCTCGTCTCTACAAAAAATACAAAAATTAGCTGGGTGTGGTGGCACGCATCTATAGTCCCAGCTTCTTGGGAAGCTGAGGCAGGAGAATCACTTGAACCCAAGAAGCAGAGGTTGCAGTGAGCCGAGGTCATGCCGCTGCACTCCAGCCTGGTGACTGAGCGAGACTTCGTCTCATAAATAAATAAATACAAAAATTAACCAGCGTGGTGGCGGGCTCCTTTAATCCCAACTACTTGGGACATTGAGGCAGGAGAATCGCTTGAACCCATGGAGGCAGAGGTTGCAGTGAGCCGAGATCATGCCACTGCACTCCAGCCTGCACGACAGAGTGAGACTCCGTCTCAAAAAAAATTTTTTTATATATATATACAAAAAATTAGCCGGGCATGGTGGCACATGCCTGTAATCCCAGCTACTTAGGAGGCCGAGGCAAAAGAATCACTTGCACCTGGGTCTTAAAAGAAAAAAAAATTGCCCACCTCAGAGACGTATGTCAGACAGACTCCAAGATGGCCCCTGCGGCATTCACCTGCTGGTACTCATTCTCTTGTGCCACCCTGGGGAGCAGGGACAGGGTGCTCCACGCACCCTTTGCCCACAAAAATGATGGGGGAAAGCTTCTTCCGACGCTGAACTGGTGCCATCTAGTGGCCCATGGTGTCCCTCAGCCACTCCACCACAGAAATGAAGTTTTTGTGAATAGTAGTATTTAGGGCTTCTTTCCGGACTAACCCTTGGCAATATCCAAGACAAGTTTTCCCATAATTTTGGTATCCCTTTTCTGAAATTCTCTCCCATGACAGGCAGGTGTAATGGAAAGAAAGCAAACAGTGTCAGGCTCACCTAGCTCTATGCATAATGCATCCCCAACCACTTACTGCCTGTAGGGCCTTGGGCAAACTACCAAACTTCCCTGAGCCCCAAGTTCATCCTCTGTAAAACGTGGGTCGTACAATCCTCCTTACAAAGTGATTCTGGGAAATATGTGGGAGGAACCATACCCAGTGCTCAACATGCAAGTAGATGCTCACTAAATAATTAGCTGTATTTTCGTGTCTTCCCCTTTATCATCGTTCCATCCTATCTTCTCTCTGGGCTCCAGAATTACTTTCCATTACCTAAAATATTCATTGACACTAAGAAGCGTGAGACTGAATGTATTCCTCTCCCCAGGAACACAAAGGATTCATGCCAGGAGGCCTGGGGTTCCGTCCTGCTCCAGGTCTGCCATTTACTGGGTTAGTTAACCTTTCTCGTAACACAAAAATTGCGTTGTAAAGATTATTTGATTTAACAAATGCGAAGTAACTCACATAAAATAAGCATTCAGGCCGGGTGCAGTGGCTCATGCCTGTAATCCCAGCACTTTGGGAGGCCAAGGAGGGCGAATCACTTGAAGTCAGGAGTTCGAAACCAGTCTGGCCAACATGGCGAAACCCTGTTTCTACTTAAAAAAAAAAAATACAAAAATTAGCCGGGCATGCTGGCGTGCACTTGTAATTCCAGCTACTTGGGAGGCTGAGGCACTTGAATCTCTTGAGCCTGGGAGGCGAAGTTTGCAGTGAGCCGAGATCATGCCACTGCACTCCAGACTGGGAGATAGAGTGAGACTCTGTCTCAAAAAAAAAAAAAAGCATTCAATAAATATTAATATTCATTCCAGAAATAGATGAATTTTACAAGAGGAAAGATGGAAGGAGGCAACTCTAACATAATTAGTCACTGGTGGAATTTTAGAAATGAAGTCAGATATCCAGGCACGAATCGTATCTAACTGCATTGCCGACTCTACATAGGTATGTTAATCCCAGTCTCATTGTCCCCTTCAAGTTTTTAGAAGAGTATTTGTCACTGGGTATGTAGAGCAAATCAACTCTTTAATAATTGTTAGTACAAAGGAGTTAGCACGTTGAAAAGAAATGGAACATGGTGAAGAGGAGGACGGGGAAGCGGCTGACTGCACATATAGACAATGCTCACGCAGCTGAACCATCATTTATTGCCAGGGCATGGTGGTTACTCCTGACTCTGTCCATCACCCAGGGTCCCAGCTGGAAACAGAATTCGCCAAGTGTAGCTCAAGTGAAAAAAACCCTAATGAAGGGACTCCCAGTAGAGGCATAGATAGAGTTAAGGGAGCAAACAAACAAAGACTGGTCACCTTCCCTTGGATAGAGGAGGAAAGGAGAAGATGGAGCTACTAGAGCCCGGTGAGACCTGAAATCATAGAAGAAGACCACCATCGGGAGCAGGGATCATGGAGGAAACAACTAGTGTCAGATTCTCCATTGCAAGCAAGAGACAGCCCTGGACTTTGGAGATTTTTGTCTGTAGAATTTTCCCTTGTGTGTGTGATTAATTTGACTATTTTAAAAATTTTTTTAATTAACACATAATAATTATACATATTTATGGGGTACATAATGATGTTTTGATACACATCATGTATAGTGATCGGATAGATCAAGGTAATTCACATACCCATGATCTCAAACATTTATCATTTCTTTGTGTTGGGAACATTCAATATCCTCCCTCTAGCTATTTGAAACTATATATTATTGTTAACTATAGTCATCCTACAGTGGTAGAGAACATTAAACCTTATTCCTCTTATCTAGCTGTAATTTTGTATCCTTTAGCAAATCTCTCCCTATCCCTTTCCCTACCCTTCCAGCTTCTAGTATCCTCTGTTCTACTTTTTACTTCTATGAGATAAACTTTTTAGCTTCCACACATGAATGAGAATGTGCAGGATTTAACCTGCTGTTCTGGTTGGTTTTTTTTTGTTTTTTTTTTTTTTTTGGAGATGGAGTTTTGCTCGTCACCCAGGCTGGAGTGCAATGGTGCGATCTCAGCCCACCGCAACCTCTCACTCCTGGATTCAAGCAATTCTCCTGCCTCAGCCTCCTGAGTAGCTGGGATTACAGGCGACCGCCATCATGACCAGCTACTTTTTGTATTTTTAGTAGAGATGGGGTTTCAACATGTTGGCCAGGCTGGTCTTGAACTCCTGACCTCAGGTGATCTGCCCACCTCAGCCTCCCAAAGTGCTGGGATTACAGGCGTGAGCCACCGCGCCTGGCATCTGGCTTATTTCACTTAACATAATGTCCTCCAGTTCCAGCCATGTTGCCGCAAATGACAGAATTTCATTCACTTTTATGGCCGAATAGTATTCCATTTTGTATTTATATCACGATTTCTTTATACATTCATCTGTTGTTAAACACCTATGTCATTTCCATATCTTGGCTAGTGCAAATATTGCTGCAATAAACATGAGGATGCAGAGGTTTCTTCAATATACTGATCTCCTTTCCTTTGGGTAAATGCCCAGTAGTGGAATTGCTGGATCATATGATAGTTCTATTTGTAGTTTTTTAAGGATCCTCCATACAGTTCTCCATAGTGGCCATACTAGTTTACATTCCCAGCAGCAGTGCATAAGAATTCTCTTTTCTCTACATACTTGCTAGCATTTGTTAGCTTTTGTCTTTTTGATAATAGCAGTTCTAACTGGGAAGAGATGATACCTCGTTGTGGTTTTAATTTGCATTTCCCTGATGATTAGTGATGTTGAGCATTTTTTCATCTATTTATTTGCCATATGTACATCTTCTTTTAAGAAATGTCTGTTCAGGTCATTCACCCACTTTTTAATTAGATTGTTTGATTTTTTGCTGTTGAGATGTTTGAGTTCCTTGCGTATTCTAGATATTAATTCCCTGTTAGATAAATAGTTTGAAAATACTTTCTCCCATTCTTTAAGTTGTCTTTTCACTGTGTTGACTGTTTTCTTTGCTGTGCTGAAGCTTTTTAGTTTGATATCATCCCATTTGTTTATTTTTGCTTTTTCTGCTTTTGTTGCTTTTGAGGTCTTACTCATAAAATATTTTCCCAAGCCAATGTCCTCAAGTGTTTGTCCTATGTTTTCTCCTAGTAGTTTTGTTTTTTGTTTGTTTCTGTTTTTGTTTTTGTTTGTTTTGAGATGCAGTTTTGCTTTTTTGCCCAGGCTGGAGTGAAGTGGTGCAATCTCGGCTCACTGCAACCTCCGCCCCCCAGGTTCAAGTGATTCTCCTGCCTCAGCCTCCCAAGTAGCTGGGATTACAGGAGCCCACCACCACACCTGGCTAATTTTTTGTATTTGGTAGAAATGGGGTTTCACCATGTTGGCCAGGCTGGTCTTGAACTCCTGACCTCACGTGTGATCCACCTGCCTCGGCCTCCCAAAGTGCTAGGATTACAAGCGTGAGCCACTGCACCTGACCGTCTCCTAGTAGTTTTATAGTTTTAAATCTTACATTTAGGTCTTTGATGCATTTTCAGTTGATTTTTGTATAGCGTGAGAGGTGGGGTTCTAGTTTAATTTTTCTGCATAAAAATAACCAGAATCATTTATTGAAGTGATCACCCTTTGCTCAATGAGTGTTCTTGGCATCTTGGTCAAAAATCAGTTGGCTATAGTTACATGAATTTACTTCTGGGTTCTCTATTCTGTTCCATTGGTTTATGTGTCTGTTTTTATGCCAGTACCATGCTGTTACTATAGCTTTGTAGTATATTTTAAAGTCTTGTAGCATCATGCCTCCAGCTTTGTACTTTTTGCTCATGCCTCCAGCTTTGTACTTTTTGCACAGGATTCCTTTGGCTATACAGTCCTTTGTGGTTTGGTACAAATTTTAGGATTGTTTTTCTGTGAAGAATGTCATCAGTATTTTGATAGAGATTTTAGTTGAATCTGTAGATTGCTTTGGGTAGTATGGTTATTTTAACAATATTAGTTATTCCGACCCATGAGCATGGGATGTCTTTCAATTTATTTATTTATATATTTTATTTATTTATTTATTTATTTATTTTCTTTTTTGAGATGGAGTCTCGCTCCATCGTCCCAGGCTGGAGTGCAGTGGCATGATCTTAGCTCACTGCAACGTCTGCCTCCTGGATTCAAGCAATTCTCCTGCCTCAGCCTCCTGAGTAGCTGGGATTAACAGGCATGCACAACCATGCCCGGGTAATCTTTTTGTATTTTTAGTAGAGACAGTTTCACCATGTTGGCCAGGCTGGTCTTGAACTCCTGACCTCAGGTGATCCACGCCCCCTTGGCTTCCCAAAGTGCTGGGATTGCAGGCGTGAGCCACCGCGCCCGGCATCTTCCAATTCATGTTCTCTTCCATTTCTTTCATTGGTGTTCTTTAGTTTGCCTTGCAGATATTTTCTTACTTCCTTGGTTAAATTTATTCTTAGGGGCCAGGCTTGGTGGCTCACACCTGTAATCCTAGCACTTTGGGAGGCCGAGGTGGGCGGATCACCTGAGGTCAGGAGTTAGAGACCAGCCTGGCCAACATGGTGAAACTCCATCTCTACTAAAACATACAAAAATTGGCCTGGTGCAGTGGCTCTCGCCTGTAATCTCAGCACTTTGGGAGGCCGAGGCGGGCAGATCACGAGGTCAGGAGATCAAGACCATCCTGGCCAACATGGTGAAACCCTGTCTCTACTAAAAATACAAAAAAAAAAAAAAAAAATTAGCTGGGCATCATGTGGGCGCCTGTAGTCCCAGCTACTTGGGAGGCTGAGGCAGGAGAATGGCGTGAACCCGGGAGGCGGAGCTTGCAGTGAGCCAAGATCATGCCACAGCACTCCAGCCTGGGCAAAGAGCAAGACTCCATCTCAAAATAAATAAATAAATAAATACAAAAATTAGGTCGAGCGCAGCGGTTCACGCCTGATATCCCAGCATTTTGGGAGGCCAAGGCAGGCGAATCATGAGGTAAAGAGATCAAGACCATCCTGGCCAACATGGTGAAACCCTGTCTCCAGTAAAAATACAAAAATTAGCCAGGCATGGTGGCAGGTATAATCCCAGCTACTTGGGAGACTGAGGCAGGAGAATCACTTGAACCCAGGAGGCGGAGGTTGCAGTGAGCTGAGATTGCACCATTGCACTCCAGCCTGGGCAACAATTGCAAAACTCCATCTCAAAAAAAAAAAAATATTCTTAGGGTTTGGGGCTTTTTTGGGGGGGGTTGGGGTGTAACTATGGTAAATGGGATTACCTTTTAAATTTTTTTTCTTTTTTTTGAGATGGGAGTCTTGCTATGTTGCCCAAGCTGGTCTGAACTACTGGGCTCAAGCAATCTGCCTGCCTCAGCCTCCCGAGTAGCTGGGATTACAGACGTACACCATTGTGCCATCTTGATTTCTTTTCTTGTTTGTGTCTAGAAATGCTACTTGTTTTTGAATACTGATTTTGTATCCTGCAACTTTACTAAATTCACTTATTAGTTCTGAGACTTATTGAGTAGAGTCTTTATATTTTTCTCGTTTTTTGAGACAGAGTCTTGCTCTGTTGCCCAGGCTGGAGTGTGGTGGTGTGATCTCGGCTCTCTGCAACCCCCACCTCCCAGGTTCAAGTGATTTTCCTACCTCAGCCTCCTGAGTAACTGGGATTACAGGCATGCACCACCACGCCCAGCTAATTTTTTTGTATTTTTAGTAGAGACAGGGTTTCGCGATGTTGACCAGTCTAGTCTCAAACTCCTGACCTCAAGTGATCCACCATCCTCTACCACCCAAAGTGCTGGGATTACAGGCATGAGCCACTGCGTCCGGCCTGATTTTTCTATATATAAAATCATGTCATCTGTAAACAGGGACTATTTTACTTCCTTCTTTTCAAATTGAATGTCCTTTTTTCTTTCTTTTGCCTAATTGCTCTGGCTAGGACTTCCAGTATTATGTTGTAATTCAAGAAATATTTGTTGAGAACTTATCATAAACAAAAAAATTATTCTAGGCACTAGAGGAAAAAAAAACAGACAAGAACTATGTCTTCTGCCAGGCACAGTTGCTCATGCCTGTAATCCCAGCACTTTGGAAGGTCGAGGTGGGCGGATCACCTGAGCTCAGGAGTTCGAGACCAGCCTGGCCAAAATGGCGAAACCCCCTCTCTACTAAAAATACAAAAATTAGCCGTGGTGGCATGCGCCGGTAATCCCAGCTACTGGGGAACCTGAGGCAGGAGAATCATCGAAACCCGGGAGTCGGAGGTTGCAGTGGGCCAAGATCACGCCACTATACTCCAGCCTGGGCGACAGAGCAAGGCTCTGTCTCAGAAAAAAAAAAAAAAAAAAAAAAGAACCATGTCTTCATGAAGCTTACATTTTTTGAAAAGGAGATAGAAATTTAAGAAGAAAACTAATAAATGTGATAATTTCATTCAGTGAGATATGTTGTGAAGACAATAAAACAAGATTATGTCAGAGAGGAGCTCCATAGACTGAGTGTCAGGGAAGGAGTTAAGGCTTCAGTGACTGGAAGAAGCCAACACGTGAAGACCTAGTTGTAAATCATTGGAAGGAAGGGCAAAAGCAAAGGCATCAAGACAGGAATGAGTTGACTGTATCCCTGAAGCAGCAAGGAGCCAATGTGGCTGGAGCAAAGTCAGTGCAGAGGAAAAGTATAGGAAATGAGGGCCTGGAGCTAGATCAGCCTGCACAGCACAGTAAGCAGTTTGGACTTTATTGGGTGTGAAATGTGAAGTCTTTCAAGGGTTTTAACCTGGGAAGTGCTTTGGAGAGAAGTGGGGAGTGTTATATTATATAGTTTATATTTTTTAAAGATTACATTTTCTGGTTATAGTTATCATAGTTCTAGAAACTGTATTTTAGGACAACCAAATCACCCCAGTTAATAAGAGAAAGCTCTTTTTACAAAGAATGCCAAGCTATTCAGATTAAAGAAAAATAAAGAGACATGGCAACCAAACACAATGCCTTATTCTGAATTTGGCTCTTCGTCCAAAAAAAATTCTATAAAAGATATTGTTGGGAAAATTGGCGGCAATTAAATATGGTCTCTAGGTTAGATAATATTATTATAGTAAATGTTAAATTTTCTGATTCTAAAACTGATTATGAAAGAGAACAACCTGGCCAGGCACGGTGGCTCATGCCTGTAATCCCAACACTTTGGAAAGCCGAGACGGGCAGATCACCTGAGGTCAGGAGTTCAAGACCAACCTGGCCAACATAGTGAAACCCAGTCTGTACTAAAAATACAAAAATTAGCCAGGCGTGATGGTGGGCGACTGTAATCCCAGCTACTCAGGAGGCTGAGGCAGGAGAATCACTTGAACCCCGGAGGCAGAGGTTGCAGTGAGCCGAGATCGCGCCAATACACTCTAGCTTGGGTGACAGCAAGCCTCTGTCTCAAAAATAAAATAAAAAGAAACAACAACCAGATGTCATGTGGGACCTAGATTGGGTCTTGCTTTGTTTCTGGTTTTTTTGTGTGTGTGTGGCTGCTTTGGTTGGTTGGTTTGTTTGTTTGTTTGTTTGTTTGAGACAGAGCCTTGCTCTGTCACCCAGGCTGGAGTGTAGTGACATGATCTCAACTCACTGCAACCTCTGTCTCCCAGCTTCAAGCAATTCACATGCCTCAGCCTCCAGAGTAGCTGGGACTACAGGTGTGTGCCACCACACCCTGCTAATTTTTTCTATTTTTAGTAGAGACAGGGATTCACCATGTTGGCCAAGCTGGTTTCGAACTCCTGGCCTCAAGTGATCTGCCTGCCTCAGCTTCCCAAAGTGCTGGGATTACAGGTGTGAGTCAGTGTGCCTGGCGGGTCTTGCTTTGAACAAACCAACTGGAAAGGACATTTGGGGAACAACTGGGATAACTGAAATTGAGGTTAGGTATTAGAAGAGATGAAAATGTATCAACATGGTAAAATTGAGATTAACTGGAAAAAAATCTGATTATGAAATAGCATGTACAGTATAATTTCACCTGGTAAGTATATATGTATATACATACACACATGAAGTATATATCTCACACTATACTAGAAGGATATATTAAAGCTTAATCTTTTGGAAATATAAGGATTTTATTTTCTTAATCTGCTTACCTGCTATATCTGACTTTCTATAAAACACATATAAATAATCTTAAATTTTTGAATAATTTTAAAATTTTACTTATTATTTATTTATTTATTGAGATGGAGTCACTCTGTCACCCAGGCTGGAGTGCAATGGTGCGATCTTGGCTCACTGCAACATCTGCCTCCCGGGTTCAAGAGATTCTCCTGCCTCAGCCTCCCGAGTACCTGGGATTACAGGCACGCACCACCATGCCCGGCTAATTTTTTCTTTTCTTTTCTTTTTTCTTTTTCTTTTTTTTTTTTGAGACAGAGACTCGCTCTGTCACCCAGACTGGAGTGCAGTGGTGCGATCTCGGCTCACTGCAACCTCCGCCTCCCAGGTTCAAGCCATGCTCCTGCCTCAGCCTCCCAAGTAGCTGGGACTACAGGCGTGTGCCACCATGCCCGGCTAATTTTTTGTATTTTTAGTAGAGAGAGATGGGGTTTCACCGTGTTAGCCAAGATAATCTCCATCTCCTGACCTCGTGATCCACCTGCCTTGGCCTCCCAAAGTGCTGGGATTACAGGCGTAAGGCATCTTGCCTGGCAACTTTTTCTATTTTTAGTAAAGACAGGGTTTCACCATGTTGGCCGGGCTGATCTTAACTCCTGGCCTCAAGTGATCTGCCACCCCGGCCTCCCAAAGTGCTGGGGATACAAGCGTGAGCCACCGCACCTGGCCAATTTTAAATTTTTTAATAAATAAATTGCTCTGGCTGTTCTAGATGGATTACAGGGGCAATCAAGAGTGGAAGTAGGTTGTCTAGTTGATCAGCAATATGCTTTTCAGTATCTGTTTCCCAAGTCTAGGTGGAAGCCAGATTCTTGCTGGAAATGAAGCTTCTCCTTCATGGGAATCCCACATACATGGCCAAAGAGATCTTACGTCTGGGAGCACAAACTGGGTATGTTAAAGGGCTTGATATTCTCCAGGGTATTTTGTTGTCCAACAAAGCTGGGTAGAGATTTGCACAGGTCCACGGAGCTGCTCAGCAAAGGGAGGGTCTGGAGGAGTGCTATCCAGCAGACTAAAGGCAAGGCACCAGCCCTCTTTGAAGTTATACACTGGTCCAGCCAGGGAAATCACAAGCACACACACATACCCAACATCAGTTAATGACAAGATAAGAAAGAAAATGTACTTTTAAATTTGATCTTAAAACAATTCACAACTCTTAAAAATTATGCAGAATAAGCCAGGCGTGGTGGCTCACGCCTGTAATCCCAGCACTTTGGGAGGCTGAGGCAGGTGGATCACAAGGTCAGGAGTTCGAGACCAGCCTGGCCAATATGATGAAACCTCGTCTCTACTAAAAATACAAAACTTAGCTGGGCGTGGTAGCACGTGCCTGTAGTCCCAGCTGCTCAGGAGACTGAGGAAGGAGAATTGCTTGAACCCAGGAGGCAGAGGTTGCAGTGAGCTGAGATGGCGCCACTGCACTCCAGCCTGGGCAACACAGCGAGACTCTGTCTCAAAAAATAAATACATAAACAAATAATAAATAAAATTATGCAGAATAAGTAGAGCTATAGTAATAAAAAGCAAACTTTGCAGCTTCAGGAATTAAAGTGTCTCACAAATGGAATGAAATCCCTTAGGAAAGCCTAGTGAAGAAAAATGTCAGCTATTACCCTAACTCTGGGAGGTAAGGGAGAGACAGCCAGGCGGCAGAGAGGAGCAGCCAGCAGCCCAAGGTCCGGAGAGGTGAATTAAAGGACTCCAGCCGCCTGACTAAGGGATTACATTTTCCGATTGTTGTGAAAAGAATTCCCCTTTCCTAGCTAATAAAGCCAATTTCTAAGTGAAGCTCAAAACAGCATTGTACGGGAGGCTCCGACTGAGAAGAACAAAGTAAATCCCTGGCAAGGGATTAAGACTTTCCTCTCCTCCCACCACCCTACCCTACTGCCCGCTCTCCTGGAGGCCCAGGAGCCAATCCTCTAAAGAGAATTCTATGAGGGGCAGGGGAAGTGGATGATAATGCTAAAAGACAGAGCATTGAATATTCACTCATCTGAAAATCCCCAAAGACGTTGCTTTCTAAGAAGATGGTCAGAGTAATGCATACTGGCCAACTGATTTAATGTGCCACACTGACAAACCCTTTCCTAAGAATTTATAGCCTCAACTAAAAACAGTTGTTTGGACAAACTGTCAAACTCCTGCAGGGCCCACTTGACATCCGTCTTTGTCAGGTCAGTGAGGAGAATGGCTATTACTTTGAAAAGGCTAAGGGTTTCTTGTTTCCTGCTGCTCCCGGGAGATCTACAGAGTAAGCGAAGCCTCGGCGGTTACCACTAGGCAGAACCCAATAGAAGTCCTCAGGAGAGCCGTGTTTAAATTCAGCACTTGCCCAAGGCCGGCCAATCACTTGAGGTCAGGAGTTCCAGACCAGCCTGGCCAACATGGCGAAACCTCGTCTCTACTAAAAATACAAAAAATTAGCCGAGCATGGTGGCGGGCACCTGTAATCCTAGCTACTTGGGAGGCTGAGGCAGGAGAATCGCTTGAACCCCGGAGGGGGAGGTTGCAGTGAGCCAACATTACACCACTGCACTCCAGCCTGGGCGACAGAGCAAGACTCCATCTCAAAAAATTAATTAATTAATTAATTAATTCAGCGCTTGCTATTCCGTTCCCATCTTCTTGGCTCTTGCCTGGATTTCTGCTACAGGTATCCTGGTGCTCTGCTTGGAATTCAATCCCGTGTTCCTGGCCTCATGAATGTACCCAGCCTCAGCACCAGAATAGTCCTCCTCAACACAGCTTTCACTGGGTCCACTTTGATGAGTTCAGGCAGCAGCGAGCGCGGAATGTGATGTGGTGGATCAAGCCCTGAGAACAGAGCCAAAGCTGGGGTGAAGAGAGACAGCTGACCAAGAGACAGACTGCCCGGGGCAGGACAGGAGAGCAAGACTAGAACAGAGAGTACAAGATTACCCAGAAACATGGCGGTCCCGGTAAGAAGTGGGGAAGGCATGAAAATGTGCGGAAATGGCAGCAAGGACGGTGGGAAAGAGCACAGGATTCAAAGGTATTAATAGATCTAGGCTGACATCCTGGCTCTGTCCCTTCTGAACCTCAGTTTTCTTATCTGTAAAATGACACATTAATACCTGCTGCGGTGCACACTGCGATGTGCTTCCCAGACACCTCCCAGGAATGAAGGACTCAGTCTCCCTCTGCTGAGAGTGCTGTTAGTCCTTTCTGAGGATTGGCTGAAGAAGACTGCCCCACCCAAGGTCACACCTTCTTCCTGGGGCCGCCCACAGCCAATGACTGAACAATAGGGGAGGAACAAATGCCCAGCCTTACCCCCAACGTGGGGCAGCTGCGGGAATCTCCAGCTACTGAATCCCCCCTGAGGTCGGGGAGAAGTGTTGGGGCTGCGTCAGTACCCTCTGCAGTTCGGCTTCCTGACGCTCCCTTCCAGTGTGGAAGGCAGGCGCACGGTTTGCTCTCTGAGTCCGCTTCCTGGGCAGCCCAGCTTCCCACAGCCATCTCATCCAATCATGAGGTTCCGTTAACCTTGTTTTTTGTTTTGTTTTGTTTTGTTTTTGTTTATTGTTTTTTGTTTTACTGGTTTTTTTTTTGTTTTCTTTTGAGACAAGGTCTCACTCTTACTCAGGCTGGAGTGCAGTGGCACGATCTCAGCTCACTGCAACCTCCACCTCCTGGGTTCAAGTGATTGTCATGCCTCAGCCTCCAAAGAAGCTGGAATTACAGGCATGTGCCACCACTCCTGTCAAATTTTAAATTTTTTGGTAGAGACGGTTTCACCATGTTGGTCAGGCTGGTCTGGAACTCCTGACCTCAGGTGATCCGCCCACCTCGGCCTTCCAAAGTACTGGGATTACAGGCGTGAGCCACCAAGCCTGGTCCATGATTAATAGTAAATGTGAAGCATCCGGCCACAACACGTGGTATAGGCTGAGTATCCCTAACCCGAAAATCTGAAATCCGAAATGTTCCAAAATCGAAAACTTTTTGAGAACCAACATAACACCACAAGTGGAAAATTCCACACCTGACTTCACATGACAGGTCACAGTGAAAATGCAGGTGCACAACCCAGTTTATTTAACATACCCAAGGAACAAAGGCCCTCCCAGTGCCCTTCAGCTGCACTAGGTGCAGGCTGGACACACCAAGGGCAGGTTCCCCTGGATGATGTCCCACATGGATCCAAGACCTACGGGCATTACTTATTGCAACTTTTTTGCTTATTCTCTGCTCTGTGGTATAAAAATATTGAAAGATAACCAAATTATTGAAAGAGGGAAAGTTCTTTTTTACACAAGTCCAATATTAAAAATGCTATGGAATAACAGAATTACAAAGTCATTATTTTTCAACACCTGATGACATAATGAATGTAAGCTCTGAACTTAATAGCTCCTAAAGCCATTAGATGAAAAGCTGATGAGAAACTTCATAAGGAAGGGGTCACAGCAACAACTCCTGAACTCATTTGCCCATTTTTTTTTTTTTTTGGTTCTGGAAACGGTGTCTCTGTTACCCAGGGTACAGTGAAGTGGCATGATCATGGCTCACTGCAGCTTCAAACTCCAAGGCTCAAGCAATCCTCCCACCTTGGCCTCCCAAAGAGCTGGGATTATAGGCACGAGCCACTGTGCCCGGCCAACTGCCCAGTGTTAATATCAGTAAAAGTGAGACAATCAGATGACATTATGTACACACAAGGCAAAAACAGAGTCAAAAGTAATATAAGTAGTTTATCTGGGCCAAGTTTGAAGATTGCAACCTGGAAGCATAAATTCAAATTGCCCTAAATGTATGCTCTGGTTCACAGCAATTACAAGTGAATTTTTAAAGGAAAAAAAGAAGAGGCAGTTTCTAAATTGTTTACCAAGAATTTACAGTAAAATAACATAAGCTAACCAGGCGCGGTGGCTCATGCCTGTAATCCCAGCACTTTGGGAGGCCAAGGCGGGTGGATCACGAGGTCAGGAGATCGAGACCAACCTAGCTAACACGGTGCAACCCCATCTCTACTAAAAATACAAAAAATTAGCTGGGCGTGGTGGCACACGCCTGTAGTTTCAGCTACTCGGGAGGCTGAGGCAGAAGAATGGCTTGAATCCGGGAGGTGGAAGTTGCAATGAGCCGAGATCGCACCACTGCACTCCAGCCTGGGCGACAGAGTGAGACTCCGTCTCAAAACAAACAAACAAACAAAAACAACAACAACAAAAAAAAAACAAAATATAAGCTATTCCTCGGCAGTACATTGTTTTTGTATCACAAATTCCAGGAACACGAGAATAATGGGTAAGCCACTAGTCAGGAAACTACAGGAAAGAAAAGAAAGAACAAAATAAACAATAGGCCGGGCTGGGCATGGTGACTCACACCTGTAATCCCAGCACTTTGGGAGGCCAAGGCAGGCGGATCACGAGGTCAGGAATTTGAGACCAGCCTTGCCAACGTGGCGAAACCTCGTCTCTACTAAAAATACAAAAATTAGCCGGGCGTAGTGGTGGGCGCCTGTAATCCCAGCTACTCCGGAGGCTGAAGCAGAAGAATTTCACTTGAACCCAGGAGGCAGAGGTTGCAGTGAGCTGAGATTGTGCCATTGCATTCCAGCCGGGCAACATAGCGAGACTCCATCTCGAAAAAAAAGAAAAGGAATATTGCAACTACAACTGAACAGAATTAAGAATGCCTTGAAGACAATAGAAAGTGCCAACCAGCAGACAGACAAACTGAAGGAGTTTTATGGACAAGCATTACGCCGCTTGGAACGCTATGATAAATACTTAGAGTATACAGAGATCTCGCCTGAAACTCCCAAGATGATTATGATAAGGAGACGAAAACAAACCTTTCAGCAGTTGTTACTCCTCAAAGCAATTGGGAAAAAGTGGTTCCAGAGAACTTGGGCCTCCAAGAAGGTGCACATGAGCTGTGCTACAACACTGCACATGCGCTGATTGGACAAGGCCAGCTGAACCAGGTCACGACAATCCTACGAAAAGCTGAAGATCTTTGCCGCTGTTCATGATCAGAAGACTGTGATAGGACTGAGAAAGACCCACAGGCAGGACTGGCCATCATTCATGGTCAGATGGCCTATACTCTGCAGCTTCAGGGTCGAATAGAGGAGGCTTTGCAACTTTACAATCAAATAATAAAACTGAAACCAACAGATGTGGGATTACTAGCTGTAATTGCAAACAACATCATTACCATTAACAAGGACCAAAATGTCTTTGACTCCAAGAAGAAGGTGAAATTAATCAATGCAGAAAGAGTGGAGTTTGAGCTTTCCAAGAAACAACTACAAGCTATAGAATTTAACAAAGCTTTACTTGCTACGTACACAAACCAGGCCAATTAATGCCGCAAAATATCCACCAATTTATAGTCCCAAAGTCCCGAGCATCTCCCACCTATGTTAATCCAAGCTGCTCAGGTTTGCCTGGAAAGCAGCACACAAAAACAACAGAGCTGCTTCAGGAATTTTCAGATCAACATCCAGAAAATGCAGCTGAAATTAAGCTGACCATGGCACAGTTGAAAATTTCTCAAGGTAATATTTATAAGCATGTCTAATATTGAGAAGCATAGAAGAGTTAAAGCAGAAACCAGGCATGGTGTCTGCATTCGTGATCATGTATAGCCATGAAGAAGATATTGATAGTGCCATTGAGGTCTTCACACATACTATCCAGTGGTGTCAAAACCATTGGCCCAAATCTCCTGCTCATTTGTCCTTGATAAGAGAAGCTGCGAACTTCAAACTCAAATATAGACAGAAGAAGGAGGCAATTAGTGACCTAGAACAACAATGGAAACAAAATCCAAAAGATTTTCACACCCTGACACAGCTTATTTCTGCTTACTCACTTGTAGATCCAGAGAAAGACAAAGCTCTTTGTGAACACTTGTCATTATCAGATAGCATGTCTCTAAAAGTAGATGTCAAGGCTCTTGAAAATTCTCCTGGTGCTACGTACATTTGGAAGAAGGGTGGCAAAGTTACTGGAGATAGTCAACAAAAGGAGCAAGGGTGGGGAAATTTGAAAAAGAAGAAAAAGATGGGAAAATTGCCTGAGAATTATGACCCAAAAGTTACCCCAGATCCAGAAAGATGGCTACCAATGCAAGAACATTCTTATTACTGGGGAAGAAAGAAAGGTAAAAAGGATCAGGTTGGAAAAGGGATCCAGGGAGCAACTGCAGGAGCTTCATCAGAACTGGATGCCAGAAAAACTGTGAGCAGCCCGCCCCCTCCCCAAGACCTGGCAGTGCAGCGACACTATCTGCCTCTGCAAGTAACATCATACCCCCAAGACACAGAAACCTGCAGGCGCTCCAGCAACAAAAAAGAAACAGCAACAGAAAAAGAAGAAAGGTGGAAAAGGTAGCTGGTGATGAGAATACTCTTGTTGCAGGCTGTTTTTTAAACTAGTCTCAGAAATATAATTTTAAACTAGTCTAGGAATATAATAAAGGTAACACACCAAGAAGCAAAAAAAAAAAAAAAAAAAAGAGAGAGGCCGCAGTGCGCTCTGAATGAGCCACTGCACTCCAGCCTGGGCAACAGAGAGATTCCATCTAAGAAAAAAGTTCATTTAAGTTTTATAGGAAAATCACTGAAGGTTCAAAAGACAAACTATTCACTCAAAAGGAAATGATCTCACAAGGCTTAAATGTCTTCTAATCTAACCCAATGCTGGCTGACAGACTCAAATGTGGTGTGACTGTTTTTAATTATAGGCTTGATTTCTCCCTAAAATCAGAGAAAATATGGTTGGAGTCCATAGGGGATGGAGAAAGAAGGGATAAAAGATGAGGAAGGCAAAGGCCAGATCATGGAAGGCTCTTATATCATCCCCAAATATTTGGAACAGGGGCCACAGGAAAAAAAAAACCCAAAAAATGACATGATCATTCTGACAGCCATTTTAGAAAAATGACTCTGTCAGGGCCAGGCGTGGTGGCTCACGTCTGTAATCCCAGCACTTTGGGAGGCTGAGGTGGGCGGATCACATGAGGTCAGGAGTTCAAGACCAGCCTGGCCAACATGACAAAATCCTATCTCTATTAAAAATACAAAAATTAGCTGGGCATCATGGTGGGTGCCTGTAATCCCAGCTGCTTGGGAGGCTGAGGCAGGAGAATCGCTTGAACCTGGAGGCGGAGGTTGCAGTGAGCTGAGATCACACCACTGCACTCCAGCCTGGGGCCACAGAGTGAGACCTTGTCTCAAAAAAAAAAAAAAAAAAAAGAAAGAAAGAAAGAAAGAAAGAAAGAAAAAGAAGAGAAAAGAAAAATGACTGTCAGGAATATGGAGGATATATTAAAGTGCAGAAATAATTAGGGCAAGAAGACCACTTAAAAGAATAATCCAGATTTTGTTAAATAATTGTATGTGCAAAGACAAGAAGAGGGGAGTCTCTCATCTTTCTGGTTTAAGATCCTAGGTGTATGGGGAAGTCGCCAAACAAGGAAGGGAGAAAGGCAGGGTCGCCTAGGGATGCAGAGCTTGGTTACAGAAGGCTGCCTTGGATCCCAGGGCTGCCACTCCCAGCTGCCGGACCTTGGATTTGCCGGGGAGTTCCTTTTTTTTCTTCTTCACATTGTAGCAGCCAGATCAACTTCATCATTTACAAATAGTTGTCCTAAGGATTACTTGAGGAAATGCATGTAAAAACACTGAAAATACTGCCTAGAATCTAGTAAGCTTATAGAATCATTGTCTGTTACTCTTTTTTTTTTTTTTTTTTTTTTTTTTGAGACGGAGTCTCGCTCTGTCGCCCAGGCTGGAGTGCAGTGGCGGGATCTCGGCTCACTGCAAGCTCCGCCTCCCGGGTTCACGCCATTCTCCTGCCTCAGCCTCCCGAGTAGCTGGGACTACAGGCGCCCGCCACTACGCCCGGCTAATTTTTTGTATTTTTAGTAGAGACGGGGTTTCACCGTTTTAGCCGGGATGGTCTCGATCTCCTGACCTCGTGATCCGCCCGCCTCGGCCTCCCAAAGTGCTGGGATTACAGGCGTGAGCCACCGCGCCCGGCCCATTGTCTGTTACTCTTGTCACCATGCAACATAAAAGAGGAACCCGGAGGAGAAGACAAAGAGTTCTGTTTAAGGGCATGTTAGGTTTCAAATAACCTCAGGTCTTCAGGGACCTCCCAGAAAGGATGTCCAGGGAGTAGTTTGCTATCAGGGTCTAGCTCAGGAGACAGATGTGGCGCTGGGGTATTAATCTGGGAGTTAGCATGCAGTTGAAAGCTCATGTGAGGGGAGGGAATTACCGAGGAAACACCATGGAATCCAGCATCAGCAATGGAAGTGGAGTCGAGGGGAGAGACTTAGGGCTGAGGTCTCCTACACTGAGGTCAAGGAAGCAAGTGAGCCTAGCCTGGAGTCTACTCTCCTAGAGTTTGAGCTGCCTAGAAGGGTGGTGCCATGAAATAGAAGCCCTAACAAAAGCTAAGTGCATCACTGACTATGAGGGAATAACCAGAGAGATGACCTGGGGAAGGAAAAAAGGGAAGAAAATGCCAAAAGGTTTTCTCCTCCAGATGAAGATCTAGAAGCAGCGGGGAAAACGAGGATATTGAACCAGACCCTTCAGTTAGCGCATTTTTCACACAGGTTATAATACAATTGATTGGATGACATTCCCATCCTGAGAATTTCCTGATTACCATAATTACGTCTCATCCTTTCATCTTTTTAATTGGCCATTTACAAACCACTTTCAGGAGTACAGGGCCACATAATCAAACCTAACTAATGTTGACGAATAAATAAAATGTTTCTTTCATATCTAATAATACGTAGCCTGTCCTAGAACTACAACCCTGTTTTTAATTGACTGACATTTAAAACCCTGAATTTTTATTTCTGTATACAAAAAAGAGAACTTTGAGACAGTCCCTAAGTAGGCAATTCGTTTTCACACGTTCTTAAAACATATTCTACACTCCCTTCGCTTTCCGCCTTCCTGCCTCCTCAGATCTCGTTTCTTCGGCTACGAATCTCGCGAGAAGTCAAGTTCTCATGAGTTCTCCCAAAATCCACCGCTCTTCCTCTTTCCCTAAGCAGCCTGAGGTGAGTGTTTCTCCTGCGTTGCTCCGAGGGCCCAATCCTCCTGCCATCGCCGCCATCCTGGCTTCGGGGGCGCCGGCCTCCAGGCCCCCGGGAGGAGAACTCCTAGGGCTACTAAATCCTCGCTGGAGGCGGTGGCTTCTTATGCGGGAGGACGTGGCGGAGGGCCTGACTTTGGGAGCCGGGGTCAGTCGGCCTCTGAGGTCCGCAGAGGGACGTGATGGGCGGGAATGGGGACTACCGGGCTCCTCCACTGGTGGGGGCGCCGGCCCGCCGTGGGGTGCGGGCCGCCTGGGGTCCGTGCGGACTCCGGAGGTCCGGTGTCTAGTGGTGAGTGGTGGCCGCAACGAGGAAAAAGTTTTGGGGGAAAGAAAAGTCGGGTGGAGGCGTAACACGTTACTACAAGAGTGTTGCGTACAGGAGGGCTCTTAAAGTGGGTCATAGCCCGAAGGTGTTGAGAGAGACGGCACTCACTACCTGCAGCCCTGACAGCAAAGGGGTTTCTGTAGAGCGGGAGGGAGGAGGTGTAGAGGGTTACGGTTGAGTTGTGCCCTGCGGATGCGTCGAGTCATTTTACGCCTGGAAGATCCAGCATTGGATTGAAACAGGCTGTATTTTCTTCCAAAGGGTTGACTGGATTGGTGAGGCCCGTGTGGCTACTTCTGTGGAAGCAGTGCTGTAGTTACTGGAAGATAAAAGGGAAAGCAAGCCCTTGGTGGGGGAAAGTATGGCTGCGATGATGGCATTTCTTAGGACACCTTTGGATTAATAATGAAAACAACTACTCTCTGAGCAGCTGTTCGAATCATCTGATATTTATACTGAATGAGTTACTGTAAGTACGTATTGACAGAATTACACTGTACTTTCCTCTAGGTGATCTGTGAAAATGGTTCGCTATTCACTTGACCCGGAGAACCCCACGAAATGTAAGTGGACAGGAGGTAGATACCCATTTCCTACTTGGGGCTTGGCATAAGATACCAAAAATTAACCAAAACGTTTTATTTTCTAGCATGCAAATCAAGAGGTTCCAATCTTCGTGTTCACTTTAAGGTATGCGATTCATAGTTGTGATCCAACAGTTCCTCATGTTCCACTCAAAAAAGGTAGCTGCAGTGATGACTTTCTTAGGACACCTTTGGATTTACCGTGAAAATTAATAAATTCTGAGCAGCCACCTTATATTTAGGCATTGATGATCAGGGTGTAAGGATGTAGCGTTTGTGAAATTGAGAAGTAGTACCAGAAAACCATTTGAAAACCTAGTGTGCAGATCAAGATGGGGCATTTTAATTGTAATTACATGATGATGGAATTTAAACGTTTTATAGTGAATAAATGGAGTTTTGGAGTTTTCTCTAGCTTCAACGAAGTTTACCTGGCTTTTAGTCACAAGTTTTTTTAATTGCCTTGCCCCCAAAGAATAGAAATAACTCGACATTTTGAAAAGCTGAAAATTGAAAATTTAACGTTTACTTTAAAAATTAAAGCTTTGATCTAGTTAACCAACACTTTATTCTTCATACTTAGAACACTCGTGAAACTGCTCAGGCCATCAAGGGTATGCATATACGAAAAGCCACGAAGTATCTGAAAGATGTCACTTTACAGAAACAGTGTGTACCATTCCGACGTTACAATGGTGGAGTTGGCAGGTGTGCGCAGGTGAGAATTCTTAGTTGCCATTTGAAAAGACAGATTTTAATGGAAAAGTGATGGGATAGGATAAGAATGGCTAAGATCTGTGCTGATGAACCTATTTCTGGTTGCTGTAATGACAGGACACCTTGGATTGATGGTGAAATAAACCATATCCTAAGAAACCGTGATATCAGATAAATTCATCTTGGCTGTAATGTTAATTTAAATCAAGGAAAATGACTCATCATCTCCATTTTCTTTCAGGCCAAGCAATGGGGCTGGACACAAGGTCGGTGGCCCAAAAAGAGTGCTGAATTTTTGCTGCACATGCTTAAAAACGCAGAGAGTAATGCTGAACTTAAGGTACCCAAACCACTAACATCCTGTGCAACTTGGGTGGTTGTTTAATTAATGTTGGCTGTTCAGATTTATGTCCTTGATTTTCTTGTTTTCAGTAATTAACTCTTAGGATTTTTTAAATTTCTACCTGCAGTTTCCACAGAATGAAACTATTTCCTTTTATTTTTTTTGAGTCCCTTTATGGCAAAATTCTGTGAAGATCCAGAAGCGTGCTCTGTGGTCTCTTTAAGCCTAACACTTAGTATTTCTAGTTTTCTGCTGTCTTTTTACACTGGAGGTACTTTACCAGGGGCTTTTACCCCTTTTTGTGACATACACCTTTGGTAGTATGATTAATTATCAAAATGATTGCCTTAGCAGTGATTAATGTGGTTTGTGGCCTACCTTCATAATGGAGAGTCATGTTGCATTTCAGAAAGAAATTGTTTAAAATTTCAAAAAGTTTAAACAATGACAAACTTGTGTTGACAAAACACAAATTTCTCCATTTTGTATATTACCCATTAGCCTTTTGCATTTGAAGGTCTGGGCCAGAACTGGAATTAGTTTAGGTCTGTATGGCTCCAAACCTTCTAAGCCATGCTGAGAAATTTTATCATCAAGACTTCGAATTGGGTTCTTCCTTACCCCTCAGCTCTCCACCCGTCTAAGGATCTTTGGGAAGGCCACTCATAGACAAAATGTATAGCACACTGAGTTTGGTGGCAATTTAGACATGTAAAGGTGAAGGCAGACAACTGGTTAAAAAAATGCTATTTGCAGAATAAAAGGATTGCCTTTTAAAAATGATTTCATTGAGGCAGGACTCTGGAGCAAGCCTGGGAATTCATATTTAGCAATGATAGTTTGTGGTGTTTTACTAATTAAGGATGTTCCTGGTTTCATTCTCCTTCCTTTCTTCCCCAGGGTTTAGATGTAGATTCTCTGGTCATTGAGCATATCCAAGTGAACAAAGCACCTAAGATGCGCCGCCGGACCTACAGAGCTCATGGTCGGATTAACCCATACATGAGCTCTCCCTGCCACATTGAGATGATCCTTACGGAAAAGGAACAGATTGTTCCTAAACCAGAAGAGGAGGTTGCCCAGAAGAAAAAGGTAAATAAGTAGTTGCTCGGTTTTGTTTGTGATAGTAGAAAGATTTGTGGTTGCTGTGATGACTATCTTAGGACACCTTTGGAATAACTATGAAAGAAAACTATTCTGAGCAACCCTTTCACCTGTCTTATTTTGGCTTTTGTAAGTTTGTTTCTTGACTAATAATAAATGGTAAGTTTTCTGTAATCCCAGCACTTTGGGAGGCTGAGGTGGGTGGATCACAAGGTCAGGAGATCGAGACCATCCTGGCTAACACAGTGAAACCCCGTCTCTACTAAAAATGCAAAAAAAAATTAGCTGGGCGTGGTGGCGGGTATCTGTAGTCCCAGCTACTCAGGAGGCTGAGGCAGGAGAATGGCATGAACCCGGGAGGAGGAACTAGGAGTGAGCCGAGATCGCGCCACTGCACTCCAGCCTGGGTGACAGAGCGAGACGCTGTCTCAAAAAAAAAAAAACTGGTAGTTTTATATTCAGTACCTCAGGCCCGTATGATTATCTGCTGATGGCCCCACTTAGATGTACATAGCCACTTCAAAATGGGCCCTCTCCCCAAATCTAAGAAGCTTGTTTTCAGTAATTGATCACATTTAGTTCTTTTAAGTCAAGAACCTGAGTGATTCTGTACACTTCTTTTTACATCTAATGAACTTAAGTTCTGTTGATTTCTACCATTTAAGTATTTTTCCCCCTTAGTCCTTAACGACTAGGTTTCCTGCCTCCAGAATAAGCTGAAGTCCTCCAAGATGTACTGTGGTTTTCTCTAAGAAACTTAACACATTTTTCTTTCCCCAGATATCCCAGAAGAAACTGAAGAAACAAAAACTTATGGCACGGGAGTAAATTCAGCATTAAAATAAATGTAATTAAAAGGAAAAGAATGTTGGTTGTCTTTATTAGTGAACATATTTCAAGTGTCCTTACAAGATGGATCAAATGAGGATTTTTTAGGATTAGAACTAGAAACACAAGATTGTTTACCCTGCACCATTAAAAACCATTTTCATGGCTGGGCACAGTGGCTCATTTCTGTAGTCCCAGCACTTTGGGAGGTGGAGGCTGACTGCTTAAGCCCAGCCAGGGCAACATGTCAGAACCCTGTCTGTTAAAAAAAAGTAAGTGTGGTGTCACTTGCATGTAGTCCCAGCTAATTGGGGGGCTGAGGTGGGAGGCTGCAGTGAGCACTACTGCACCCCAGCGTGGGCAAGACAGAACAAGACCCTGTCTCAAAAAAAGTTTCATTATCCCAAAAGGAATTTGCAGTGGTTTTCTTTGCAGAACAATCCAGTATGTGAATATACCAGTTGATCATCCCCAGTTGGAAATGGCTCCATTGAGCATTGCCTTTGAGTATGATAACAGCACTCAGGCTCAGGTTTTGAAGCTTTTTAGGTTGATGCTCAACCTGTATCATTTCGTCAATTGATAAAGGGGTTTTGTTTTTGCTATTAGGAACGATGGTACTGTGAACGTTTGTGTGCAGATTTTTGTGTTTTCATTTATTGAGTATATACTAGAGTGGAATTGCTAGATCATAAGGTTACCTGAGTAAACATCTGAGGAACTTCCAAATATTTCCAAAAAGGCTGCACGCTACATTTCCACCAACGGTTTATGAGGGTCCCAGTTTTCACACAACTTCGCCAACACGTACTGACATCCTAGCGAGCGTCAGTACTTTTCGTTTATAAAGTGATGTAACTGCTTCTTTTAAGCAACTGACGTTTGTAAAGTTGGCCTTAATGTTAGTTTGCTCTGCCCTTGAATTTAAGAAACCAGCAAAACTAATAGCTTATCCACAGTTGCCTCAACGGCCTAGCTGCCACCTTCCGTGTGGGTGCCGCGCCGTTTGCACAGGCATCATCCTTTACCGAGATCCTGCGTTCTGGGTCTGGGTGTAGTCAGGTCAGGCTTTCTTCCCGCAGCGAAGCTTTTAGTTGGGCATCTGGGACGCGCAGGACTTTCGCGCTACCTGCAGGCCGCAGAGCCGGAAGCCTCGCCGCGCCCCTTGGGCAACACTGCTGCGTGCTGTGCGACCCCGGGTTGACGCAAGCGCGCCTTTGTCGTCCCCGTTGAAGGCGCCCATTGGCTCGGCTGCGGATCGTCCCTCCCTCCGGAAGTGCGGACATTGTCAGCTGCGTTTCCGCGGTCGCGGGTGAGTGTGCCCGGGCTAGCGGCCTGGGTTGGGCTTTGTAGCTGCTCCGCAGGCCCAGCCCGGGCCGCGCTCGCAGAGTCCTAGGCGGTGCGCGGCCTCCTGCCTCCTCCCTCCTCGGCGGTCGCGGCCCGCCGGCCTCCGCGGTGCCTGCCTTCGCTCTCAGGGTACCTTCCTTCCGCGAGCGCGCTCCTCCGCCCTCCGCCCCGCCCTCCCCTCCCCTCTGTCTGTATTCTTTGTCCACCACCGGCGCCCTCGGAGCTTGCATTTGCCTCTCCGATACTTTATATTGATTTTGTTCTTTTCCGTGGCCAAGTATCGGTTTCACATCCTTTCTATGACCTTCACCGTTAGGCCTCTGTTCTCGTCTCTTTTCAATCATTGTCATTGACTCAACCTGTCCCCGCTCCCTCTGTCTCCACTAAGATGACATGCTCAACTGGATGACTTGGAGGAAGGTGACTTTCCCTGTTATGCCTTCCCTATTTCGGATGGAGCCTCAGACTTTAACTGTCTACTCTGTTGTCTGGACTTAAGTTGAGTGAAAGAAGATTCCTCTGCAACAGCTTTAATCCGTTTTGCTCGCTTTGTTGGCTTGGAGCGAATAATTAAAATAATAATATCTCGTAGCCACCTTCTAGACTTTTCTGACCCAGTTTCCATATGTGTGAAGTAAAATATCTTACCGAAGTATTATTATGAAGATTAAAAGATAAGATACAAATAGGCTTCATTCCGAAGAGAGCTAAAAAGTCTCTTAAAAGCCGTAATTGTGGCGTAAGTGATTAGTAGTATTTGTCCTCGAGAGTTTATGTACATCGTACTGTGTGCGAACTTACTTAAAACACAATTGCAGAAGTAAAAATGAATCTTTATGATGGAGGGCCTGTCAGTCACTAAACTAGTACTGGTAGCATTGTCAGTTGTTTTGAAGGGGTTTCGTTGGTTTGGAAAGTTTGGTAAAAGTTTGGTAAAAACATGACCATTGTGTTTTTGGAAGAGGAAAAGGCAAGAGCATTGAGGAAAACCAGAACTGGAAATAATGGTCTTAGAAGCTCTAGTTACCAGTTACCTCTGTGAGAACTTTGGACAGGTTACAACTTTTGGATTTTTTTTTTTTTTTAATCTTGAGACAGGGTCTGCCTCTGTGGCCCAGGCTGGAGTCCAGTGGGCCATCATAGCTCACGGCAGTTTCGGCTTTCCTGGGCGCAAGCGGTTCTCTCCTTCCTCAGCTCCCCAAATACCTGGGACTACAGGCGCGTGCCATCACACCTTGCTAATTATTTAAAAAAAAAAATTAGGCCAGGTTCCAGTAATCCCAGCACTTTGGGAGGCCTAGGCGGGAGGATCATTTGAGCTTAGGACTTTAAGATCAGCATGGGCAACACAGTGAGACCTCATCTCTACTAAGAATTAAAAAATCTGTCGGGCATCGTGGCGCAGGGCTGTGGTCCTACCTACTCAGGAGGCTGAGGAAGGGGGATAGCTTGATTCTGGGAAGTCAAGGCTGCAGTGAACTCTGAACACAGGTGGTATGTTTGAGCCACTGCACTTTAGCCTGAGCAACAGAGCAAGACCCTGTCTCAAAAAAAAAAAAATCACTATTGCCCCAGCAATTGATTTTATTTTATTTTATTTTTATTTTTTTTTTTTCTGACACGGAGTTTTGCTCTTGTCACGCAGGCTGGAGTGCAATGGCGCAATCTCAGCTCACTGCGACTTCCGCCTCCCAGGTTCAAGCAATTCTCCTGCCTCAGCCTCCCCAGTAGCTGGGATTACAGGTGCCCACCACCACGCCCAGCTAATTTTTGTATTTTTAGTAGAGACAGGGTTTTGCCATGTTGGCCAGGCTGGTTTCGAACTCCTTACCTAAGATGATCCACCCCCTCGGCCTCCCAAGGTGCTTGGATTACAGGCGTGAGCCACCGCGCCCAGCCTCAATTTACATTTTTGTTTATAGCTCTTGCTTGTAATTCATTTCAAAGACATTCAGATTTGATTCTCTATGCCACCGTTTACCTGTATTGTGAATAATTTTTAAATGTCTAAGCATAGTGATGGTGCTGACTCAGTTGCCAGCAGATGCTACTTAATTTGCAGTATTTTGAAAATAAGAAATCTTTTTTTTGAGACGGAGTTTTGCTCTGTCACCCAGGCTGGAATGCAGTGGCATGATCTTGGCTCACCGCAACCTCTACCTCCCGGGTTCAAGCAATTCTTCCCCCTCAGCCTCCCGAGTAGCTGGGATTACAGGCCTGCTCCACCATGGCTGGCTAATTTTGTGTTTTTAGTAGAGACGGGGTTTCACCATGTTGGTTAGGCTGGTCTCGAACTCCTGACCTCAGGTGATCTGCCCGCCTTGGCCTCCCAAAGTGCTGGGATTACAGGTGTGAGCCACCACACCCGGCTCATTTTTTAAACTCTAAATAGACATAGTAGCAAGGGTACCCAACCTCACTGATTGAGGATTAAATGAGTTGTTATATGTAAACTGTCTAGCACCTACCAAATGTTGTTGTTTTTCCTTTATAATCAAATTCATGATTAAGGAGCAGTGACTGGAAGTTTGGAAGCAGGCACCTCATTATTATTCATGCCTACCACCTATTATTTCTTTATTTTGAGATGGAGTCTTGCTCTGTCACCTAGGCTGGAGTGCAGTGGTGGGATCTCGGCTCACTGCAGCCTCTGCCTCCTGGGTTCAAGCAATTCTGCCTCAGCCTTCCGAGTAGCTGGGATTACAGGCGCATGCCACAACACCCCGCTGATTTTTGTATTTTTAGTAGAGACAGGGTTTCACCATGTTGGCCAGGCTGGTCTCGAACTCCTCACCTCATGATCCACCCGCCTTGGCCTCCCAAAGTGCTGGGATTACAGCCATGAGCCACTGCACCTGGCCTATTTCTTTACCTTGTAGATAGCAGCTTTTTATTTAATAAAGTCTTTTTTTTTTAGCAAATATAATAGTATGTTTTAAGTTTTTCCTACACTGTAGAAATAGTCCTTTCGTGTGTGTGTGTGTGTGTGTGTGTGTGTGTGTGTATATATATATATATATATATTTTTTTTTTTTCTTTTTTTGAGACAAAGTGTCTCTGTGTCATCCAGGCTGGAGAGCAGTGGCATGAACACGGCTCACTGCAGCCTCAACCTCCTGGGCTCTAGTGATCCTCTTGTCCCAGCCACTTATGTAGCTGGGACCACAGGAGTATGCCACCATGCCCAGCTAATTTTTTGATCTTGTAGAGACAAGGTCTCACTTTGTTGTGCAAGTTGGTTTCAAACTCCTGGGCTCAAGCTATCCTCTTGCCTCCCAAAGTGCTGGGATTACAGGCGTGAGCCACCACATCTATCCCCTTTCAGATATCTTAATCTTGGTAAATTCTTTCAGTTACTAATCTGTGATGAACTAATTTTTTTCTTCACATATATCAACAGTTGAGGAGCTCAAGCTTGGGAAAATGGTGTGCATTCCTTGTATCGTCATTCCAGTTCTGCTCTGGATCTACAAAAAATTCCTGGAGCCATATATATACCCTCTGGTTTCCCCCTTCGTTAGTCGTATATGGCCTAAGAAAGCAATACAAGAATCCAATGATACAAACAAAGGCAAAGTAAACTTTAAGGTAAGAACATTCACATGCCTTGAATAAGAGCAGTGAAAGGGGGTGGTACTTGGGTGAAACACTAGATTTTGGAAGGACAAGTTTTAGAACCAGAAGCTTCAATAGTTTGTGTAACATTTGGCTTAAATTAAAGTTTTAAAGTAGGCCTCTGATTAATGCATTTGTCCTTTGGCCAAAATGATAACCATATTTTCTGACTGGTAAGTGCAATGGTAAATAGCTAATGGATGAGGAGAGATTATGCTGATACAAACCAGTTTCACTGATTGATGACTTTGATAAGAGATTTAATTAGAAGGATCATAGAGATTTAAAAAAAAAACAATTTTTTTAAAAATGAGTGGACAACTCTGTTGTCTTTAGAATTGGTGCTTTTTTAGATTCAGCTTTGTACTCAGCTGCACTAATTTAGCCATCCGGCCCGTTTCTGGAAGCAAAATGTTTTCACTCTGGAGCTTGTCTGTTTTTAAAGAGAATGTTTCTTGAGCTGGGCGCGGTAGCTCACGCCTGTAATCCCAGCACTTGGGGAGGTCAAGATGGGTTGATCACCTGAGGTCAGGAGTTTGAGACCAGCCTGACCAACATGGTGAAATCCTGTTTCTACTAAAAATACCAAAATTAGTGAGGCGCGGTGGTGGGCACCTGTAATCTCAGCTACTCAGGAGGCTGAGGTGGGAGAATTGCTTGAACCTGGGTGGCAGAGGTTTCAGTGAGCCGAGATCACATCATTGCACTCCAGCCTGGGTGACAAGAATGAAACTCCATCTCAAAAAAAAAAAAAAAGAGAGAGACAGAATGTCTCTTAATATCTTTTTGTTGTAATAATTTCTTTCTTTTTTTTTTTTTGTTTTTGTTTTTGTGATGAAGTCTCGCTTTGTCACCAGGCTAGAGTGCAGTGGCATAATCTTGGCTCACCACAACTTCCGTCTCCCAGGTTCAAACGATTCTCCTGCCTCAGCCTCCTGAGTAGCTGGGATTATAGGCACATGCTACCATACCCAGCTAATTTTTGTATTTTTAGTAGGGACGGGGTTTCACCATGTCAGCCAGGATGGTCTCGATCTTCTGACCTCGTGATCTGCCTGCCTCAGCCTCCCAAAGTGCTGGGATTACAGGCATAAGCCACCGCACCCGGCTTGTTATGATAATTTCTAAAATGTTTTTTCATTTTAGGGTGCAGACATGAATGGATTACCAACAAAAGGACCAACAGAAATCTGTGATAAAAAGAAAGACTAAAGAAATTTTCCTAAAGGACCCCATCATTTAAAAAATGGACCTGATAATATGAAGCATCTTCCTTGTAATTGTCTCTGACCTTTTTATCTGAGACCGGAATTCAGGATAGGAGTCTAGATATTTACCTGATACTAATCAGGAAATATATGATATCCGTATTTAAAATGTAGTTAGTTATATTTAATGACCTCATTCCTAAGTTCCTTTTTCGTTAATGTAGCTTTCATTTCTGTTATTGCTGTTTGAATAATATGATTAAATAGAAGGTTTGTGCCAGTAGACATTATGTTACTAAATCAGCACTTTAAAATCTTTGGTTCTCTAATTCATATGAATTTGCTGTTTGCTCTAATTTCTTTGGGCTCTTCTAATTTGAGTGGAGTACAATTTTGTTGTGAAACAGTCCAGTGAAACTGTGCAGGGAAATGAAGGTAGAATTTTGGGAGGTAATAATGATGTGAAACATAAAGATTTAATAATTACTGTCCAACACAGTGGAGCAGCTTGTCCACAAATATAGTAATTACTATTTATTGCTCTAAGGAAGATTAAAAAAAGATAGGGAAAAGGGGGAAACTTCTTTGAAAAATGAAACATCTGTTACATTAATGTCTAATTATAAAATTTTAATCCTTACTGCATTTCTTCTGTTCCTACAAATGTATTAAACATTCAGTTTAACTGGTAGTTCATTTTCTTTTAAAGTCTATTGAAATATTCAAAAGGGAAATTTTTCACCACGTCAGAAGGCAGAATTTGGATGTTGTGATGGCATCTGTGTAGTGGTGGGACAACAATTACTATTGTTGCGTAACAAGACACTCCAAAATTTAGTGGTTTTCAGCAGCAGTGACTCGACTGGGCAGTTCTTTGCTGTTCTGGGCTCACTCATATGGCTGGCTGGGCCTGGGTCTGGACCTGGGCCGCTATGTGATTTTTATCTTGGGCTTTGAAAATTCAGTGTAGGGACCTATAAATATTCAAAGATGATGAGATGCATCCTTATATATTTTTTGTATTCACTCTGAAGCTGGGAAAGATTAAAAGGAACTCCTGCCCTTGGGTCCCTAATGAAGTCTGGGTCCTAACTCAGGCTCTATTAAGTTCTGTGGCTGGTCAAGTCACTGATTTACCTTGGGCTTTATTTGATATAAATCATGTAAATCAGCAGGTCTCAGCTTTTCTGTCCAAAGCCACCTGAGGGATAAGATAAATTCTCATTAGCAAATAAACTTTTTTAAGGTATAAATACTATTATAAAAATAACAGATATTTACAGTACAACAATGCAAGAGGATCCTAAATGAAAAGCGAATGTTTTTTCTCAACTCTCATTCCCTTATTCCAGCTCCACAGAGGTAACCAATTGTTTTTTTGTTGTTGTTGTTGTATGGTTTGTTTTTGTTAGACAGTAGTCTTTTCCTGAACAGTGCTGCTCCTTGTGGAGCAAGGCTAATTCATAGGCAGTGCATCCAGAGTCCGCCCCAGTTGATTTTGTGTGTAACCTTCTAGCAACTTTTTGAAAATTAATTTGTTCTTAAATATGCACATCATTTTTATTTATTTATGTTTTTGAGACAGGGTCTCACTCTGTCACTCAAGCTGGAGTGCAGCAGCATGATCACGGCTCTCTATGGCCTCGACCTGCAGTCCTGAAGTGATCCTCTCACCTTAGCCTCTCAAGTAGCTGGGACTACAGGTGCACACCACCATGCCCAGCTAATGTTTTTTGTAATTTTTTTTATAGAGACAGGGTTTCGTCATGTTGCCTGGGCTGATCTCGATCTCCTGGGCTCAAGCGATCCTCCACTTTGGCTTCCCAAAGTGCTGGGATTACAGGCATGAGCTACTACTGCACCTGGCCCACACATCATCTTTTAAAAATTAAGTAATATTGCAACGTTTCTAATTGTCCCTACTTCTTTGCTCCTCAAAGGTTTTACCTACTGAGCTGTGGGCTTTTTAAATTTATCTCCATATTTATAAATAAATTATAAAAATATAAAAATATAAACATTTTATTTTTTGAGACAGGGTCTCACTGTCACCCAGGTGCTGGAGTGCAGCGGCATCATCATAGCTCACTACAGCCTCCAACTCCTGGGCTCAAGTGATCCTCCCACCTCAGCCTCCTGAATTGCTAGGACTACAGGTGTGTGCCACCACGCCTGGCTAATTTTTTGTAGAGACGGGGTCTTGCTCTGTTGCCCAAGCGAGTCTCAAACTCCTGGCCTCAAAGTGATCCTCTTGCCTCAGCCTCCCAAAGTGTCGGGATTACAGGCATGAGCCACTGCCTGGCTATACTGTTATATTTTGAGCCATCAACTTCAGACATTGTTTCCCATAATGGTTGAGATGCCGCTATCTTACACTGCCTCTGCTCCTCCCACACATCCTCCCAAGTGCTTTTGTAAATTTTGCTTACATCATCAGTGTTCATAGCATGAGTGTGCCAGGTGTCTTTCATTTGCCCCTCCCAAGTCTCTGCTCCCCTCATCCTGCTTTCAGCCCAAGGAAGCTGTATAGACATCAACAGACTTCCCATGTCTCTGGGTTCTGCTGGGTTTGGCCAATAGCGATCCATAGCAGGAGATGGCTGGAGGGAGGAGAATGAAGGCAGAGTGTTTATTCCCTTGGCCCTCTCTCTGCAAGGTCACCTCAGGCCAACTGTTCCTCAGCCAGAAGTCACTGTGCCTCAAGGAACACTCCAGGCAGCCAACTCCACCTGACTTCTTTTATTTTTCCTAACCTGTCCTTCACCCTGCCCTTTTGGGCCCAGGGGTGGTGGTATTTCTGTTACTGGCTCTGGGCTACTGCTTCCTCTCAAGAGTGCTATCTGGCTTGCTGGGACACTGCCTGGGAGAATACTATTGCTCACTGCACAGGTTAATGCACTGTGATTGCGTCCCTTTTAATATACAGGTGGTGTCTTCCTGGAGTGACCAGTTTACCTTCTCCCCATACACCTCTCCTGCCTAGTTGTTGCCTAGACCTGGTGCACACTGCAGTCCTCGGGACTTTCTGTTGCCACCCTCCTGTATTGGACGTCTTGTTTCTGGATTTCCTATCCTCTTCCTTCTTGGTTTATCCCTCATTTTTTCTGTAGCACAGCAGTTTTCTAATTCAATACTTTTAGGAGGTTGAGTATGGATAATTTTGGAAAGTGTCCCCGGGATGATTCCAATTTATTTAAGCCTGTTTTCCAGAGAGCTGCGGGTCTCCTAAGGCCTTTCTCATTTCTAACAAGTCTCCCTCTCTAGAACACTGGTTCCCAGTCGTTGTTTTCATACTAGCAACATTTTAAAAGCAGGATAGGGGTGGCTAGTATGCAATTGCCAACTTTTGATTTTTCCAAGCAGGAGTATATCAAAAAGCTACAATTTATTACCAGTATTTCGTAAAAGACAGTTTGACACCAGAAGAGTGAAAAAGAACATGGGAATAGTGGACAAAAATAGCCATCAGTTTGAATAAGCGTATGAAAAGTGTTAATTTTATGAAAAATTCACTATTTTGTTCATATTTTTCTTATTTTGGAGGCTAATTGTTAAAAGCTTTTATCAGTTATCCATGGGCTGGAGTTGGTAGCCACTGTTTGATACCACACAAATGTTTCTTTGCCCTAAAATATCAACATCTGTCTGTGTAAAGGTCAGGGCTGCCTTTTTAGTAAGAGCTACCCTTTGTTAAACACATTGTACCTGCACTGTTCATGGGTGTTTCACACACACAAACCTACCTGGTCTGCATAAACCTGAAATACAGTCAAGAAAACAGGATCCACCGGAGGCGGTGACTCAAGCCTATAATCCCAGCACTTTGGGAGGCCGAGGTGGGAGGATCACTTGAGGCCGGGAGTTCAAGACCAGCCTGGCCAACATGGTGAAACCCTGTCTCTACTAAAAATACAAAAATTAGTCGGGCATAGTGGTACACACCTGTAATCCCAGCTACTCCAGAGGCTGAGGCATGAGAATCGTTTGAAACCAGGAGGCAGAGGTTGCAGTGAGCTGAAATTGTACCACTGCACTCCAGCCTAGGTGACAGAGCAAGACTGTCTCAAAAGAAAAGAAAAAGAAAAACAGGATCCCAGCCTGGGCAACATAGGGAGACCTCGCCTCCACCAAAAATTAAAAAATTTAGCTAGGCATATGGTGATGTGCACCTGTGGTCCCAGCTACTCTGGAGGCTGAGGTGGGAGGATTGCTTGAACCCAGGAGGTTAAAGGCTACAGTGAGCTGTGATCAAGCCACTGCACTCTAGCTTGGACAACAGAGCAAGACCCTGTCTTAAAAAAAGAAAAAAAGAATAATGGAGTTTAAATATGTAAATGACAAGTCTAAGATTTCAAGGTCATACTTTCATGCTAAGGAGCCATCACAGCTACATATATATATAGTGTATATATATATATAGTGTGTATATATATATAGTGTATATACATATAGTGTATATATATATAGTGTATATATATAGTGTGTATATATATAGTGTGTGTATATATATATATGTGTATATATATATAGTGTGTGTATATATATATATTTTTGTTTGTTTGTTTGTTTTTGGAAGATGGAGTTTCGCTCTTGTTGCCCAGGCTGCAGTGCAATGGTGCAATCTCTGCTCACCACAACCTCCTCCTCCCAGGTTCAAGCGATTCTGCCTCAGCCTCCCAAGTAGCTGGGATTACAGGTGCGTGCTACCACACCCGGCTAATTTTGTACTTTAGTAGAGACGGGGTTTCACCACGTTGGTCAGGCTGGTCTCAAACTCCCAACCTCCAGTGATCTGCCTGCCTTGGCCTCCCAAAGTGCTGGGATCACAGGCATAAGCACTGGGCCCGGCTGCCACAGCTACTAATATCTTAATTGTTAGTAATACCTTATTGGGAATAATTAGGCAGAAATGGAGAGGGTGAGTTTAGATTAATCAGTATGTGTGAACTTGTTTTAAAGTTTCTGGAGGCTGAGGTGAGAGGATCGCTTAAGTCCAGGAGGCGGAAGTTGCAGTGAGCCAAGATCACACCACTGTACTCCAGCCAGGACAACAGAGCAATACCCCGTTTCAAATAAATAATAATAAAGTTAATTTTGCTAACCTTGTATCTTGAGTTTTTAATTTACCTACTTTTCAACAACTTATTTTTGCTTTATGAATTTTAACTGCATTTCCCGTCTCATTTTATGAGTTAGACTCATTTTCTCAGGTAATTACTTGAGGCTAAAACTTGGGTTTCATCACTTTTTTTTTTTTTTTTCCATTACTAGGCTGCCTTCTTAGGAAACATAGGTGACTCAGCACTTCCTTAAAGTGACCATTCAGAACTGGCATGTTGACAGAATGCCTGGATTAAAAAGAAACTCCAACCGCTGATCTTTTCATTTGTTATTATTTTTTAGAGACAGAGTCTCACTCTGTTGCCCAGGCTGGAGTGCAGTGGCGCAATCATAGCTCACTGCAGGCTCAAACTCCTGGGCTGAAGTGATCTTCTTGTCTCAGCCTCCCGAGTAGCTGGGACTACAGGCATGAACCACTGCGCCTGGCGCAGAGACTGATCTTAAGTCTAGTTCAGTCGTAATCAAAGAGGAAATGGAAGTTTTCTTATGGTTTCCTCCACAGGGAGCTACTTGCTTGTTCTAACCTCAAAGCTAAATTTATTGACATGGCGACAGCTCCTTAATAAAGAAGCAAAGACTATGGGTTCTTTGGTTTGAATGTCCGCTCCAAAACTCATGTTGAAATTTAATCCCCAATGTGGCAGTAGTGAGAGGTAGGGCCTTTAAAAGGTAATTGGGTCATGAGGGCCCTGCCCTCATGAATAGATTCATTCACTCATGGATTAATGGATTAGTGGGTTAATAGATTTAACGGGTTATCATAGGAGTAGAACTGGAAGCTTTTATAAGAAGAGGAAAAGGCGCCGGGCACGGTGGCTCACGCCTGTAATCTCAGCACTTTGGGAGGCCGAGGCAGGCGGATTGTCTGAGCTCAGGAGTTCAAGACCAGCCTGGGCAACACGGTGAAACCCCGTCTCTACTAAAATACAAAAAAAAAATCAGCCAGGTGTGGTGGCATGCACCTGTACTGCCAGCTACTCGGGAGGCGGAGGCAGGAGAATTGCTTGAACCCGGGAGGCAGAGGTTGCAGTGAACCTAGATTGCACCAGTGCACTCCAGCCTAGGTGACAGAGTGAGATACCGTCTCAAAAAAAAAAAAAAAAGAGGAAAAGGCTGGGCACCGTGGTTCACGCCTATAATTAAAGCCCTTTGGGAGGCCAAGGAAGGAGGAGTGCTTGAGGCCAGGAGTTTGAAACCAGCCTGGGCAACATAGTGAGACCCTCATCTCTGCAAAACATAAAAATGAAACAATTAGCCTGGCATAGTGGTGCATGCCTGTGGTCCCAGCTACTTGGAAGGCTGAGGCAAGGGGATCACTGGAACCTGGGAATTTGAGGCTGCAGTGAGCTATGATTACGCCACTGCACTTCAGCCTGGGCAATAGAAGGAAACCCTGTCTCAGAATAATAAAATAAATAAAAATTAAAAGACCCTGTCTCAGCAGGGCGCAGTGGCTCATGCCTGTAATCCTAGCACTTTGGGAGGCTGAGGCGGACGGATCACAAGGTCCAGGAAATCGAGACCATCCTGGCCAACACAGTGAAACCCCATCTCTGCTAAAAATACAAAAAAATTAGCTGGGTGGGGTGGCATGTGCCTATAGTCCCAGCTACTCAGGAGGCTGAGGCAGGAGAATTGCTTGAACTGGGGAGCTGGAGGTTGCAGTGAGCCGAGATTACGTGACTGCATTCCAGCCTGGTGACAGAGTAAGACTCCTTCTCATTAAAAAAAAAAAAAAAAAAAAGTGTCTCTACAAAAAATTAAGAATAAATTATCGCCAGGCACGGTGGCTCACGCCTGTAATCCCAGCACTTTGAGAGGCCAAGGCAGGCGGATCACCTGAGGTTGGGAGTTCAAGACCAGCCTGACCAACATGGAAAAACCTGTCTCTGCTAAAAATACAAAACTAGCCGGGCATGGTGATGCATGCCTATAATCCCACCTGCTAGAGAGGCTGAGGCAGGAGAATTGCTTGAACCAGGGAGGCGGAGGTTGCGGTGAGCCGAGATCATGCCATTGCACTCCAGTCTGGGCAACAAGAGCGAAACTCCGTCTCAAAAAATAAATAAATAAATAAATAAATAAATAAATAAATAAATAAATAAATAATCTAGGTGTAGTGGGACCCTCCTGTAAACCCAGCTACTCAGGAGACTAAAGTGGGAGGATCACTTGAGCCTAGAAGTTTGAGGCTACAGTGACCTGTGATCATGGCACTCTAGTCCAGCCTGGGTGACAAAATAGGAAAAAATTTGAGCTAGCACACTTGGCCATGTGATGTCCTGCACTGCCTTGGGACTCTGCAGAGTCCTTACCAGCAAGAGGGCTCTCACCAGATGCAGCCCCTTGACCTGGGACTTCTTAGCCTCCGTAATTCTAAGAAATAAATTTGATTTATAAACTACCCAGTTTCAGATACTCAGTTCTAATAACAGAAAACAGAAGACAATGGGCAAACTTGTTCTTATGAACTGACAGCATGGAAGGTTTGAAGAAAAAGAGCAGAAGGCATTTGGGCAGAGAGTTGAATATCGGTAAGTTTAAATTGAGGATGTAAAGAAATTTCAGATTTTTCAAGTGAAAGGAGAGGGTGAAATTGAGAAAGTAACAACTATAGATGAACTGTGAAGGGCTGGCATGTGGTAGACGATTCACAAAATATACCAAATGCTCAAACGTTGAGCTGGTCTGGACCTTAGGGTACGTTCAAACCAATCCTGTCATTTTTACTAAGGGCTAAAAAGGTTAAAAGCGGTAGCCCAGATGCTGTAACAGGGCATGAGCCAAGTTTCCTGCAAGGGTGCTGTGTACAGTGGGGCTAAGCGTGCGCTGCCCAATTTCAGAAGGCACCATACACATTGACAGCAATGTCAAAGATTCCCCTAGGTCTATACTTTACACAAGGGTCTTATTCCTGACTTGATAATTCAGCAGGTGTAGTTCCGGAATTCCTTGGTACATTGGTTTTCTATAGCTGCATAACAAATTGCCACAAATGTAGGGGCTTAAAGCAACCCAAATCTATTACCTCCCAGTTTTAGGGGTCAGATGTCCTGGTATGGTCTAGTTGGATTCTCTGCTCAGGGTTTCACCAGGCTAAAATCAGGATGCAGGCCAGGTCCGCAGTTCTCATCTGGGCTCAGGGGTCTTCCAAGCTCACAGCTTGTCAGCAGAATTTATTTCCTTGTAGTCCTGTTTTCCTCCTAGTCAGCCAGGCCCTGCTCTTAGCTCCCAGAAGCTGCTCGCAGTTCCTTAGCACGTGTCCTCCAAGGTCAGCTCCCCACATCGATGTTCCCTTTCTTCCAACTCATCTGGAGCATATTTTTCTGCCTTCTAATCTTCTGGGATCAGCCAGAAAATCCTCTGCTTTTAAAGGGCAGAGTGATTAAATCAGGCATGACTGGATAACCTCCCAAGGTCAACTAATTTGGGACCTTAATTATACAGTATCTGCAAAATCACTTCACAGCAGCAACCAGGTGAGTATTTTCCTTCTGCTTCTGCTGCTTCCTCTTCCTTTTCCTCTTCCTCCTCCTCCTCCTCCTTCTTCTTCATTTTTTGTTTGTTTTTTTGAGACGGAGTCTGTCCAGCCTATCGCCCAGGCTTGAGTGCAGTGGCACAATCTCAGTTCACTGCAACTTCCGCCTCCCAGGTTCAAGTGATTCTCCTGCCTCAGCCTCCCAAGTAGCTGGGACTACAGGCACGTGCCACCATGCCCGACTAATTTTTGTATTTTTATTTTTTATTTTATTTAATTATGTATTTGAGACAGAATCTTGCTCTGTCACCGAGGCTGGAGTGCAGTTGCAAGATCTCGGCTCACTGCAACCTCTGCCTCCCGGTTCAAGAGATTCTCTTGCCTAAGCCTCCCGAGTAGCTGGGACTACAGGCGTGCCCCACCATGCCCTGCTAATTTTTGTATTTTTTGCAAAGACGGGGTTTCACCATGTTTGCCAGGCTGGTCTCGAACTCCCGAACTCAGGTGATCCACCTGCTTCAGCCTTCCAAAGCGCTGGGATTACAGGCATGAGCCACTGCGCCCAGCCTAGATGAGTATTTGATTGGTGTTTGGGAGAAAGTGCCTGTACTTCAAGGTCCAGGAATCTAGGGGCCTATCTTAGAAGTCTGCCCACCAAACTTGACCCCTTTGCTGACAAACTATTCCAGTCCTTCAATTACTTGGGAACCCGCTGAGGATTGGAATCTCATAGTTCCCATCTATTAATGCCCCTAGGCTTTATTGATTTTAAACTCTGGAGATTTTATTTTCTTGTCATTTAGACAGCCACTCAGCATAGTCTTTTCTGACCCTAAATTGGATGACTAGAAATCATTTCAGATGGAGGGGGCATGAGGAAGACAGTTAAATAAATAGTGTATTTCACATAGGAGAGGAAAGAAGACAGGTGCATAAATATGAAGACACAGGTTTCATCAGAAAAATGCAAATTAGAACCCTAATGAGAAACCACCAGAATGGTTAAGATTAAATATCAAAGGTTGGGAGGATGAAGAGCAGAGGCAGTTCTCGTGTACTGCTGGTGGGAGTGCAAATTGGTACAACTGCTTTGTCAGCATTATCTGGTAAAGTTAAACATGCACAGCAGGGCGCAGTGGCTTATGCCTGTAATTCCAGCACTTTGGGAGGCTCAGTGGGTGAATCAATTGAGGTCAGGAGTTCGAGACCAGCCTGGCCCACATGTTGAAACCCCATCTCTACTGAAAATACAAAAAACACAAAAATTAGCCAGATGTGGTGGCAGGTGCCTGTAATCCCAGCTACTCAGGAGGTTGAGGCAGGAGAATCGCTTGAACCAGGGAGGCAGAGGTTGCAGTGAGCTGAGACAGTGCCACTGCACTCCAGCCTGGATGACAGAGTGAGACTCCGTCTCAAAAACAAAAACAAAAACACACTGTGATCCAGCCATTCCTTCCTAGAGTGTGGATCCCAGTGAAAATAATGTACCTGTATACCTGGAGACAGGTGGAAGAATATTCTTGGAAGCACTGTTTGTGTTAGCCCCAAAAAAACAACATCCCCAAAAAAGTCCTTCTAAAGTAGGAAGGATTAAATAAACTGGTGTAATAAATCTCTGTTATGATGTTTTAAGTGAGTTTCAAAAAATACCATTGTGTAAACTGTAGACTTATGTCATTTTAGGTTAATCAAATAATGGAGGTAAGCTTGCTTCGCTAACCTCATCCAGAGATCCAAGAGCCAATCAGCAATCACTTTATGACCAAATTTACAAAATATAGCCAGGAATGGTGGTTTGTGCCTGGAGTCCTAGCTACTCAGAAGGCTAAGGTGGGAGATCACTTGAGCCCAGGAGTTCAAGGCTACAGTGAGCCATGATTGTGCCACTGCACTCCAGCCTGAGTGACAGAGCAAGACTCTGGCTTAGAAAAATATATATATACATATATATGTATGTATGTATGTATGTATAAAATATGCATATACTGGAATACTATGCAGCAGTGAAAAATGAAAGAACTCAAAACTAATGTTTGTTGCTTAGGTATGAATGGTGGTTACTTCTGTGGGATAGTAATTGGAAAGAAGAACAAGCGAGCTTTCTAGGGTGCTAAAAATGTTCTCTATCTTGATGTCAGTGGTGGTTACACAAATAAATACATACAAATGTTAGATATACCCTTAACATTCATCAGCTTACCAAAGCAAGTGAATAAAACATAAATTAATTTAAAAACTGAATTATTAGATGCATGCATGCATCCACATGGGTGAATCTCAAAAAGAATTTTGAGAGGAAAAAAGGAAGTCATAGAATAATACATACTGAATGATTCTGTTTTTATATAGTTCAAAAACAGACAAAGCTAAATAATACATTATTTAGAGATACATAGAAAGGTAGCAAAATAATTTCTAAAATCTAGAGAGTTATTAGAGAAGTCAAGATGGTGGTTATCTCTGGGGAGAGAGAGAAGATCCCAGGATCAGCACAGAGGGGGCTTCTAGGATATTGTTCCTATTTTATTTCTTAGTTGGGTAATTGTTTTTAGCCTCAGAATGTTAGAGGGTATTATCCTTTAAACTGTGTGTCTGACATGCACACCCACGTTTATAGCAGCACAATTCACAATTG
The DNA here is from genome assembly GCF_000001405.40 of Homo sapiens. NCBI lineage: Eukaryota > Metazoa > Chordata > Mammalia > Primates > Hominidae > Homo > Homo sapiens. The sequence goes on along the minus strand of NC_000018.10, from coordinate 49,471,114 downwards.
CAAAGATATGGAACCAACTTACGTGCCCATCAACCAATGAGTACATAAAGAAAACTTGGTATATATACACCATGGAATACTACTCAGCCATAAAAAGGAATGAAATAATGTCTTTTGCAGCAACGTGGATGGAGGTGGAGGCTGTTTTTCTAAGTGAAGTAACTCAGGAATGGAAAAACAAATATTGTAAGTTCTCACTTTTAAGTGGGAGCTAAGCTAGGAGGATGTAAAGGCATAAGAATGATATAATGGACTTTGGGGACTTGGTGGGGAAGGTTGGGAGGGGGTGAGGAATAAAAGACTATACATTGGGCACAGTGTACATTCGGGTGATGGGTGCACTAAAATCCCAGAAATCACCACTAAAGAACTTATCCATGTATCCCTAAACCACCTGAACCCCTAAAACTACTGAAATTTAAAAAAAAAATTTAAATTGTGCATCTGTTATATATGTCTTTTCATTTATGGTATGTTTCATAATTAAAAAAAGAAACAACAGCAGCATAATCAGCTCTCTAAAACTTAACTTACCAACACATCTTTCCTAAATTTTAATTTTATTCTGCAAGTAATACATTAATATATTCGTACTGTAGAAGATTTATTTTAACTTGTCTTCAACATTTAGTTCATCATCTTCAAAAAATGGCTCCCCTGCTAAACTCATTAGCTATGTGATCTATCCAAGCAGCAAGAAGATGGCCATGCCATGGCAATCCTCTTCCCATTTTCCCTCGCCACTCAGGGCTCAACAGCAGGGTGAGGCTTGCGGGGTGGTGGTGGGGGGAGCACAAGGGCTACTTTCCCCCAGTACAACATGGCATCTGATGCTTGATGGGAGAGCAGAACTGGTGAGACTTGAGGGAAGGGTCCAGGGCCTGTATTCAGTCAGGGTCACTGCTGGAAGAGGAGGAGGAAGAGGAGGAGGAGGAATGCTTGCCATGCTTGTGGTGCTTGTGCATCTTTTTATGAGCTTTCTTCATTTTCTTCTACATCTTCTTGTCCACTATCACTCCTGGTCCAACCAAGCCAGGGGCCAAGGGATTCACAGGAGGCATTCCAGGGGCAGGTGGTGGGTATGGAGGAAGGTAGGGACCCGAAGGTTGGACACCCTGGCTGTGGCACAGGATGAGGGCGTCCACCTGGGGGGAAAGCTGGATTGCCCTGGGGAGCTCCTGAGGGAGGAGGAAAGGGGCCTGGGGGAAAGGGTAGATTGACAGGTGGTGGGTGGGCAGGATTGGAACCTCCAGGGTACCCGATGTTGGGGGGATATGGATTTGGCCCTGGCTGCCTGGCATTGGGATTCCACATGTTTAGGTGTGTCCTTCAACCCCATCACCTTTCCACCACTGCCTGGGCTTGATGTGTTCTCTGTAGAAGATTTTTTAAAATACAGATAGTATAAAAATCCTTCCTGACCCCTCATTTGGATATTTTTTAATGGTGCCTTTTTTTTAATTGTTGACGTTCAAGATAGACTTTAAACAATCTGAAGGAAAATAAATCAATATCAATGACAGTCATGCACACTCAAGCAATCTGTTTCAAAGCCTAATCATTTGTCATCTATTCTCAGTGTTTCTATTATAATTTTTATTATAATAATAGTACAGGCTGAATCCCCAGCACCTATAGCAGTGCCTGGTTCAGAGTCGATACTTAAATATTTATGGAATGAACACTAAATGTTCTCTCAAAAAATGATAATTCAGAAATATCTGTATATTGCAAAAAGTAAAAGGTCTTCCTTACCCTCCTCTGCTCCATTCTGATGATTATGTGAAAGGAAAAGCCTCTATCCTTGGTGAATCTCTCATTTAGCTTTTCTTTTTTAAGAAGTTGTGTATTCTGGTGGTCTTTAACAGAAGAGGGCTATGTGTTATTGGGGGTTCATTGCCACCTGTAGGAGGCAAAATAACCTGTGATGAGTTGGCCCCATTGAAGTACCACACCTCTAGGAAGCCTTCCCTTCCTCCCCTTCTCTTGCCCTTGTTTCTGCAAGCTCTGTACAACACTTCTTATCCGGGTGACCTTGCCCTACAGGTAGCTGGCTACCTGCTGTGTCTTTCACAGGATGGTGAGCTCCTTGTAGACAGTGCTGTCTTTATCTTGCCACCTCCCACAGTGCCTTGGAGGGTACAGTTGCTAAACGTTTTGGAACTAAACAGAAAAAAACACAGTACAATAAGAAATTACCATAATGCTAAATCAACAAATTACTCGAATCTCTTCCCCTGACACTTTAGTAGCTCTTGAAAGGGCAATTTCAGTGATCTTGTCAAACAGCTAAGTCACATGGTGACCTAGAAGAGGGCTTGGAAGTTTGAGTCATTGCCGTTCAATACTCTTTCCTCTAGACATCCTGACCCCCATCCTCTGCAAAACCATGGGCAGTGCAGAGTAGGTCACAAGTATTGTGTTTTTATTTGTTTGTTTGTTTTTAGAGACGGGATCTTGCTGTGTTGCCCAGGCTGGTCTTGAACTCCTGGGCTCAAGTGATCCCCCCACCCTGGCCTCCCAAAGTCCTGGGATTATAGGTGTGAGCCAACATGCCTGGCCTGAGTTGTAAATCTTCCAGGCTCGTGCCACTGGCTTCTGGGAGACTATAAGATATGACCTAGTGTAAATGGAAATAATTTTTACCTATTTGGGTTCAAAGACACCAATAAATCTGTTCTTGGCCACCGAGGTCAGTTCTATTTCTTCAAATCTTGCCTAGAGTAGTGTTTGCACCTCATGTTATGGGTTGAATTGTGTCCCTCCAAAATTCATTTGTTCAAGTCCTAACCCCCAGTACCTCAGAATTTGATCTTTCAAAAGACAAAATTAGGATTGGGTGTGGTAGCTCATGCCTGTAATCCCAGCTACTCAGGAGGCTGAGGCATGAGAACTGATTGAACCTGGGAGGTGGAGGTTGCAGTAAGCCCAGATCGCACCACTGCACTCCAGCTTGGGCAACAGAGCGAGAAAAAAAAAACAAAACAAAATTACAACAAATTTAAATATCTTAACTGCTTTTATTTACAATTCTAGAATCAAGCAACACCTCATCCTATAAAATAAAACGGGTGTTCCCAAGAGCTGAGCAGAGGAGTTTGGTCCAATGGAGAGAAAAAGGCTAAGGAAAGCGGAAACAGAAAACAAAAAGTGGATTGGTTGTTTCAGAGTTACTTTCTTGTTAAGGCTGAAGCAGAGGGGATTTCCTTATCATGCCGGCTAAAACTGGCTTCTTTGGGGATTTGGCTATTATCCCTCACTCTCTTCATTTCTCAGATGGTCAGATAAACAAATTAGTTTCAATTTGGTGACATGGAACCTTAGCATGAATGACTCCATTTTGGTTGGGCCTAGTGCAGGAGCTCAGTCCAAGCCAATGGCCGCCTATAAATTTTATTTAACAGGCTTTATTTGGAAATAGGTACATTGTAGATAGAATTAGGTTATAATGAAGTCACCAGGGTGGGCCCTAACCCAATATGACTGGCGTCCTTATATAAAGAGGAAATTTCTATGTAAACACACACACAGAGGAACATGTGAAGATGAAGGTGGATATAAGGGTGTTCCTTCTACAAGCCAAGGAATGCCAAGAATTGTCAGTAGACCAGCAGAAAGTAGGGGAGAGCATGAAACAGTTTCTTCCTCGCAGCCCTCAGAAGGAACCAACTCTGACAATGCCTTGATTTTGGACTTTTGGCCTCCAGGCCTATGAGACAATAAATGTCCACTGTTTGTGGTACTTTGGTATGGCACCCTAGTAAACCAATATACCCAGGTATTACAGTCAGATATTACAGTCCATGTTAGCTGGAAACACAAGCTAACTCTGAGGAAGCCAAGTGTGAGTCTTCCAACACTGGCAGTGTTGGCAAAAGGAGCTCTGGGACAGCCTTTTCCAGTGAGTGACAGTGTGGGCTGTGCAGCTAGACTGCTGGTGTGTGAGCCTCCACTGGCTAGCTTTGCAATGTTGGGAATTGTATTTAACTTGTTGCGGCTGTACAATGGGGGACAATAAATAAGTACCTTGTCTTAGTCCTTTTGAGCTGCTATAACAAAATACCACAGACTGGGTAATTTACAAAGAGCAAAAATTGGACAGGCACAGTGGCTCATGCCTGTAATCCCAGCATTTTGGGGTGCCGAGGCAGGCGGTTCACGAGGACAGGAGTTCCAGACCAGCCTGGCCAAAAAACTCCGCCTTAAAAAAAAAAAAAAAAAAAAGCAGAAATTTATTTCACACAGTTATGGAAGCTGGGAAGTCCAAGATCAAGGCACCAGCATATTTGGTGTCTGGTGAGAGCCTTCTTGCTATGTCCTCACATGGAGGAAGGGCAGAGGGGAAAAAAGGCCTAGGTAGTTCTCTCAAGCCCCCTGCTTTTTTTTTTTTTTTTTTTTTAGATGGAGTTTTCACTCTCGTTGCCCAGGCTGGAGTGTAATGGTGCAGTCTCAGCTCACTGCAACATCCACCTCCCAGGTTCAAGTGATTCTCCTGCCTCAGCCTCCTAAGTAGCTGGGATTACGGGTATGCATCACCAAGCCTGGCTAATTTTTTGTATTTAGTAGAGATGGGGTTTCACCATGTTGGTCAGGCTGGTCTCGAGCCCTCTTATAAGGCTAGTGATCCCACTTGTGAGGAGGGAGGAGCCCTCACTCCACTCAATCACCTCCCCAAAGACCTCACCTCTTTTTTTTTTTTTTTGAGACAGAGTTTCACTCTTGTTGTCCAATCTGGAGTGCAATGGCACTATCTCAGCTCACAGCAATCTCTGTTTCCCGGGTTCAAGCGATTCTCCTGCCTCAGCCTCCTGAGTAGCTGGGACTACAGGCGCACGCCACCACGCCCAGCTAATTTTTGTATTTTTAGTAGAGACGGGGTTTCACCATGTTGGCCAGGATGGTCTCGGTCTCTTGACCTTGTGATCTGCCTGCCTCGGCCTCCCAAAGTGCTGGGATTACGGGCGTGAGCCACCGCGCCTAGCCCTGGTTTGGTTTTTTTTTTTAGAGACAGGGTCTCGCTCAGTTGCCCAGATTGGAGTGCAGTGGCATGATCATGGCTCACTGCAGCTGCGATCTCTTGGGCTCAAGCAATCCTCCTGCTCCAGACTCCCAAGTAGCTAGGACTACAGCTGTGCACCATTACGCCCAGCTATTTTTTTGGTAGAGATGGGGGTCTCACTATGTTGCTTAGGCTGAGCTGGAACTCCTGACCTCAAGTATTCCTCCCTTCTCAGCCTCCAAAACTATTGGAATTGCAGGCATGAGCCACTGCACCTAGCCCCCATGTTAACTATTATTAGTTTGTGACTTTTCCTAATTTGTCCCAGACAGGAAGGAGACAGTGACAGCTGCACTGTGCCCCCTCCCTAAGTTCTGCCATCAGAACTGCTCCTCTGACATCTTTTCTGATGGCCAGAAGGCCACCAGGACCCATAGTGATCAGGCTGTCTCAACCTCTTTCCCCAGGCTAGGCTAAGGGCTCAGGAAAAGGAAGAATGAATGGGGGCTCTGTAGAGTGCATCTAAGCTCTCCTGCATGCAGGAGGGACTGGAGAACGAACTGTGTAGCTTCTTACCTTATCAGGCAGGCAATACCCAGGAATGCTGGAGTCACTGCTTTTGGAGCATTCAAACTCTCTGCAGCACTTTCTGAGTCTTGCTGCTAACAGCTGGCCTTGCAAGGAATTCATTACCATAGCACCACAGGAGGCCTTAGAGGACGCCGGTTCAGGAGCTTGCTCAGTCATTTGTGCAGCTCACTGGCTGTGCATCTCTGTCGGAATCCTCTCATGTCCCTAGAACTCAAATCACTAACATTCCCTACGCTGTTGTAACTTTATTTTACTACCTGTTCAGCCAGCCTCTGCTTGAACACATGCAGTGATTGGGATCTCATTTCTCTTCCACATAGACCATTTCACTACTAGTAAGCTTAATTTCACTGAACCACCTATGGTGAAGTGATTCCTGAGTCATTAAATAACTTTCTACTGCACCCTTTCTCATAGGGTTATTTGGAGACTTAAATAAGATAACAGTGCCTTGCTCACAGAAAACAGCCTGTAATGTGAATTGACAATTATTGCTGCTGATATTGTTTTCAGAAAGTTCTTATATGGAGCTGAAATCTGCATTCTGTAACTTCGAAAACTTGGTCTTAATTTGGCTCATTGGCATAACAGAAAATAAGTCTAATCATGCCCCCCTGAGGATGGTTCTACTTATCACAAGTCTCCTCTTAGTCTAGTTCTTCATACTCAGTTCCTTCAGCCCTTCCACATGGGACGTAATTTCCAGATCTCTCACCATCCTGACTGCCCTTCCCTGGACAGGTTCTGTTTGACCTTCATCCCTCCTTGGAGGAGTGGCCAGGTGCTGGCAACTAAGACATGCGAGCTGTCCACCATCTGGATTATGCAGATGAACTAACATTGAAAATGACACGCTACATGCATTACTTAATTTCGTTCTCACAGCACCTTCATGAGGAGAAAACTGAGGCTCAGAGATGTTAAGTAGCTTTCCCCAAATCGTTTAGCTCAGAAATTGTGGAACCAGAATTCAACCCAGATCTGTCTGACTCCAAAGTCTGCTCTTCTTTCTTGGGGAAGTGGAAGCCTGAGTGCTGTTCTTGGAACAGCCTCAAGACAATAATCTGGGGACTGTCTTGGTCCTGCTTGCAGAGGGTCCTTCTGTTACGTATGGGTCCTTTCTGGCCCTTTAGCTTCTACAAAGAAAGTCAGTCCCCCTCCAGCTCTAAAGACACATGAAGTCTGTTTGCAGTCCAGACCTTGCAAACTTGTAGTTATAGAAACCTCAGAGGCCTACCAGGGCTTGAAGGATATTTGGCTCCACTTTACATCTCCATTCTTCTTTTCCTCCTGTTTTTAATGTAACCTGTAATCCTAGCAATTTGGGAGGCTGAGGCAGGTGGATCACCTGAGGTCAGGAGTTCAAGATCAGCCTGGCCAACATGGTGAAACTCCGTCTCTACTAAAAATATAAAAATTAGCTGGGCTAATTTTTAATTAGTGTGGTGGCCCGCGCCTTTATTCCCAGCTACTCAGGAGGCTGAGGCAGGAGAATTGCTTGAACCTGGAAGGCGGAGATTGCAGTGAGCTGAGATTGTGCCATTGCACTCCAGCCTTGGCAACAAGAGTGAAACTCCGTCTCAAAAAAAAAAAGTATTCTGTCCACCACGTGGAATAATGTAATATTTAGTAATAAGAACAGCTGCAAGGTGTAGAGAGTTACCGTATATCCATCACCCAGCTTTCCTTAACGTTAACATTTTATATAACCACAGCATCATTTTGTCAAAACTAGATAATCAGCATTGGTACAATACTGTTAACTAAACTCTAAACTTCATTTAGGTTTCATCAGGCTTTCCACTATTGCCTTTTTCAATTCCAGGATGCAGTCCAGGATATCCTATTGGATTTAGTGGAAGGATTTCATACATTTTCTATTGCTGTTCCTGCACTAACTAGACACTGAAGTTGTCAAGTCAGCCAAAGTTATCATAATACTTTTTTTTTTTTTTTTTTTTTGAGATGCAGTCTCACTCTGTCACCCAGGCTGGAGTGCAGTGGGGCGATCTTAGCTCACTGCACCCTCTGCCTCCCAGGTTCAAGCAATTCTCCTGCCTCAGCCTCCTGAGTAGCTGGGACTGCAGGCCTGCACCACCACAACTGGCTAATTTTTTTTTTTTTTTTTTTTGGATTTTTAGTAGAGACGGGGTTTCACCATGTTGGCCAGGCTGATCTTGAACTCCGGAACTCAGGTGATCCGCCCACCTCGGCCTCCCAAAGTGCTGGGATTTACAGGCTTGAGCTACCACGCCCGGCCATCATACTTCTGCAGGCAGTTTTGAAAGTTGGTGTCCAAGGATAATAATTTGCACATTACATGTACAAAAAAGGTGCATAAGGACTGCTACTCTAACTCAACACTTCCTACGTAGTAAAAAATATTCCTAATCTTATCTTCCGATTTATGATATTTGCCTAGCAACATTATAACATTTGCCTAGGAACACAGGCAAGACTGTTTATTTCAAGTCATCCAAAAATGACCAAAGGGAGACGATGTAAAATTTCACTAATAGGATCCCCTTGAAATAAAATATTTTGCTTCTTAGGTCTATAAAGCCAGTTTTGAGGAGATGCTCACAACTGTTGCTGAGTCAGTCTGGGGAAAGTAGACTGTGTGCCAGGCAATATTAAAAAATATTTTGAGTTAGGTTTTCATGCCTGAGTCTCTTTTTTTATTTTTTATTTTTTTGAGACAGAGTCTGGCTCTGTCACCCAGGCTGGAGTACAGGGGTATGATCTCGGCTCGTGGCAACCTCCACCGTCTGGGTTCAAGTGATTCTCCTGCATCAGCCTCCTGAGTAGTTGGGGCTACAGGCGCATGCCTGGCTAATTTTGTATTTTTCGTAGAGACGGGGTTTCGCCATGATGGGCAGGCTGGTCTCAAACTGCTGACCTCAGGTGATCTGCCTGCTTCGGCCTCCCAAAGTGTTGGGATCACAGGCATGAGTCACCACGCCCAGCCCTGAGTCTCTTTTTGCTGTAATTTTAAAATAAAATTGTACATGTACTTCATATTCCTTGCAGAAAAATTAGAAAACATAGGGAAAAACTAATTTTAACCACACAGGATCTCATTACCCAAAGTTGCAATATTGTTAATATTATTTGTCTTTTTTCCAACAGCACATATACATAGGTATTATAAATATTATAGTAAACATATATTACATATGTTATATTAATATATCATTTAATATATTAATATAAATATTATATTAAGTGGCAAAACCACAATTAGTTTTGCACCAACCTAATATAATTCACTTATGAAAATTTGATACTATATATGTTTCCACTCAGTGTATCATGAAAATGTTTTCAAATAAATATGCATCCATAGCATTCTTTACAATGACTGCATAGTAGTGTCTATGGCTTTTTAGTTAGGTAGTTTGGGGTTTTTTTTTTTTTTTGAGACAGTGTCTCGTTCTGTTGCCCAGGGTAGAGTGCAATGGTGAGATTATGGCTCCCTGAAGCCTCAACCTCCCGGGCTCAAGCGATTTTCCCACATCAGCCTCCCGAGTAGCCGGGACCGAGGGTGTGCCAACCACTCCCAGCTAATTTTTGTATTTTTTGTTGAGACAGTGTATCGCTATGTTGCTCAGGCTGGTCCTTCCGAACTCCTGGGCTCAAGTGATCCTCCCACCTTAGCCTCCCAAAGTATTGGGATTACAGGCATAAGCCACAGGGCCCAGTCTACTTTGGGTTTTAATATGTTTTCCTGTCATAATTCTGCAAGCTCAGTGAATTTACTGGCAGTCTATGCTAGAAAAGAATACCTAATATTTGTATAGTACTTTACAGAGTACACTGGCACATATTGACTATATAATGGGAATAACGGTGCTATCTGTTCCATAGGGTCATTTTGCGAAATAATAGTGCATGGCAAATAGAAAATAATCCATAATGTGAATTGTTATTACTACAGTCATGTCAACATTTCCTGTAATGGCAGAATCATCATCATGCATATATTTTAGGTGAGGAAACTGGCTGAGAGAGGTGAAGTAATTGCTCAAAGACGTCAGTGTGGAAACCTCAGCTCATTTGACTTCAAATTCCATAGTTTTGGCACTATCTCATATTGCTACTCTTTCCCGTGGGACCTGTCCTTTCCGACAACTTTGCAGGCAGGGCTAGCCCTGCCAGCTGCCTCCATCAAAAATTATTTTGCTATTTCTCAATTCTCCAGAATCCCACACAATATTGCTTGACTTTGGGATGGTTATTCAGCTGCAATTAACAGAGGCCTTAATAAGGTTAAGCCGCCAGAACGAGCGGTGTAGCATGAGCGAGGACTCTAGCACCTGGCAGGTGAGGTTGACTCTAGCACCCGGCAGGTGAGGTTTTTGCGCTTCTCTCTCTCTCTCTTTTTTTTTTTTTGAGAAGAGTCGAGCTCTGTCGCAAGGCTGGAGTGCAGTGGCCCGATCTCGACTCACTGCAATCTCCGCCTCTCGGGTTCAAACGATTCTCCTGCCTCAGACAGCTACTTTTTGACTCACTGCAATCTCCGCCTCTCGGGTTCAAACGATTATCCTGTCTCAAACAGCTACTTTTTGTATTTTTAGTGGAGACGGGGTTTCACCATGCTGGCCAGGATGGTCTCGATCTCCTGACCTCGTGATCCGTCCACCTCGGCCTCCTAAAGTGCTGGGATTACAGGCGTGAGCCACCGCGCACGGCTGTTTTTGCGCTTCTCGATTTCGCCACGTGGCTTTGCGGTAGCCCAGGAGGTACTAGGAGGGCGGAGGCACGAATAACACCCAAAGGACTACAGTTTCCAGAAGCCCGCGCGCGCCGCGTGCCACGTGACCACCTGGCTGGCGCGCGCGCCTGGGGGTCTGGTCCCTAGCCGCGTTCTCGGTCGCTTCCCTCTTCTCTCGCCGCCTCCTGGCCTCCGCACCGACGCGGCCCGGGCTGGAGCCGAGCCGGGGCCGAGCTGCAGGCCGGACCGGAGCCGGATCTGTACCCGCTGAGACGTGGAAACATGGAGGCCTGAGCCGGTGTGCGCCACCTGGGCTGCGGCGGCGACAGCGACTTCTCCTGACCCCTCTGCCACCCTCCCATCCGTCCGCGGGTCCGTGGAGCTGGAGCAGATCCCCCAGCCGGCTGAGACAGGTGGGCTGTAGCGCCGCCCCCCTCAGCGCGGCCGGGCCCGAAAGCCTGGCTGTCCCCGGCCTCCTGTCAGAGGGGGTCAGGGGCCACCCTCCGCAACCCGGCCAGCGCCCCGGGGCGGCGGCGAAGGGACCCTCCCTTCCCTGCCCGCGGGCGCCTGGGCCACCCGGAGGGGCTGTGCTGACAGCGGACGGACCTCTGTCCGAGTCCGCTGTTGGGAGTTGGGGGATACCGAAGGCCAAGTCGGTGCTTCCGGAGATGGGGCGGTGTTGGTCTGACAAATGGGCGTGTGATGGGCAGGGTGAGCAATAGCTGTTGGGTTTTTCTTTCTTCTTTTTACATTCATAGTTTATCGAGGTATAACTAACATATCAGAAAATTAACCCTTTAAAAGTACAACTCAGTGGTTTTTAGTATATTCACAGGGTTGAGCAGCCATCACCACCCTTAACTCCAGAGCATTTTTAATCACCGCCCCCCCCGCCCCAAAGAAGCTCGTACCCATTAGCAGTCACTCCTCCTTCTCTCCCCTACACTATTGATCTACTTTCAGTCGCCGTGGATTTGCCTGAGCAATTGTGTTTTGACTGAAAAGTGAAAGGGTGGGTGTTTGTGAACTGGGGGCAGTAGTGGGGTTTGAGGGTATTGGTGTGGTAAAGCTGATTGGATAAAGCTGTTCTCTACTGAACAGGGGTAGAGAAGTGATGGGATGATTGTAATCGGCCAGCAAAGCGGGTACCCAGGATAGACTGATTAGGGGGCACAGATGGAGTGAGTTCCTTGAAAGAGGAGAGGGGAAGTTGGAGAGAGGGGTGTGTAGAGCAAGGGTGATGTGCTGAAGGATGAAAACCTGGAGGGTGGAGGCCGTGGAGAGGAATGTAGCGTCCACCAGAGGAACTCAGGTGCTTAGGCTGATGAGTTGAGGGCTCAAGAGAAGAACGAGGTGGAAGGGAAGAGAATCTATAGGAATGGGTGAATGGTTGTTGCAGAGGATGAAATTTATGAATATATGGATTTCTGGAGTGATTATCCTGCTTTGAAGTTTTATTTTAGATAATCCTCTCAGCAACTTGGAGATAGACCGGACAAGTATGAATATTCCCATTCTGTAAATGAAGAACTAGTCTTTTAGAGGTTAGGTGTCTGCCTTAAGCTCATAAACTGAGTACATAGGGCAAAATGAGTTGGAATAATTGATGAAACTATCAGTCGCAAGTGGATTAAATGGCAGAGAACTGAGTTGGGGCAATGTTAATAGGAAGGAGATTCAGCTATTAAGAAGTCTGTGTTGTTACGACATATAGGTCAAGGAGTTTTTATGTTTTTGCACCTTTTAACCATAGAAAAGTTCACACAGTGAAATAATAAAGGGTACTCCCATGTACCCATTACCCAGCTTCAGCAGTTAACTCATGCCAATTTAATTTCATCTATGTCCCTATGCATTCCTATCCCCACTCACAATTATTTTAAAGCAAATCATAGACATTCAATTTCATCTGTAAATATTTCAATATATATCTGTAGAAGATTGAATTGCTTTTTTTTGTTGGTGGTGGTGGGAGGCAGAGTCTCGCTCTGTCATTCAGGCTGGAGTACAGTGGCGTGATCCCGGCTCACGGCAACGTCTGCCTCCTGGGTTCAAGCAATTCTCCTGCCTCAGCCTCCTGAGTAGCTGGGATTACAGGCACGTGCTACCATGCCTGGCTAATTTTTTGTATTTTTAGTAGAGACGGGGGTCTCATCATGTTGCTCAGGCTGGTCACGAACTCCTGAGTTCAGGCATTTCACCCACCTCAGCCTCTGAAAGTGCTGGGATTACAGGGGTGAGCCACTGCACCTGGCCTGCTCTTTTTAATAGGCCCAGAATACCATTATCACACATAAAAATTAATAGTTTTTAATATCTAGAAAGATTTACTGTACTTTAAAAAAGTGTGGTAATCCATTTGATACAAAGAGGATAAACAGTGCAAACGCTTTTATGTTTGACTCTGAAAAATGTGGCATAATTATCTCCTGATTTTTCCATTAGATCCTGCCATCCTGATTGTTCCTTTTTTTTTTATTAATATGGCTCATTTTTCTACAGAAAGTTTGAAGAATTGTCACTTTGGTAGGCTTTTTAATGAATGGAGGGCAGGAGAGAAATAGAAGTGAAATATGTTACAACATGTACAAATGGCTCTTTCTTATATTGCTCCAAATATTTGGGCAATTTGGTTATGCTTTTCTAGATAATTTCACATATTATTAGAAGTTGTTTAATGTTATGTATCAGTTTTCTATGATTGCTGTAACATGTTACCACAAATTTAGTGGCTTAAAACAATGCATTTATTATTTTACAGTTCTGTAGGTTAGAAGTCAAAGTGGGTCTCACTGGCTGTCAACAAGGCTGTGTTCTTCTCTGGAGGTTTCTAGGGGGCATCTATGCCTCTTCCAGCTTCTAGAGGCTGCCACTTTCCTTGGCTTGTGGCGTACCTCCTCTGTCTTCAAAGCCACCAGTGTTGCATCTCTCTGATCATACTTCCATCCTCAAGTCTCTGACCACAAGTGGGAAAGGTTCTCTGCTTTTAAGGACCCATGTAATTAAATCAGGCCCACTTAGCTAATTCAGGATAAATCCCCCCTCGAGGTTCTTAATTTAATCACGCCTGCAAAGTCTCTTTTCCCAGCAACATAATCAGAGCTTCCATGGATTAGTATGTGGACATCTTTGGAGGCTATTATTCTACCTACCACAGTGTATTTTGGAATATTTTGCCGAGACTTAAGAAAGTAGGTGATTTCTTTTGCTGCTGTACATGCAACGAGAGGGCCGTCTTTTACTTAGGATTGTAGATAATGGGAATGGTTAGATCTAGAGAAGACTGTTCATTTTTCCTTTTAGTGAAATATGGGAAATACCTGTGACACTTGTAGTATAGGCTTTGGTAAAATGAGACCTTTAAAAATGATTTAAGTATAAAAGCAATACAGCTCCATGTAAAGTTTTTCTATATTTCGTTTTGGTCTCTTTTTCATATTCATGTCTTAAAACATAGTATATATGTGTAATCAGAGGGCTAACCTGATACTTGACACAGGACACGCTGGGGGCAATGATGGTTCCCATGCCCAGGATGAGAAGGCAGGGACTCTCTGTCCAAGTGGGAGATAAAGGCACCCCCATTTCAGCAGCAAAAGAAGACTCCTAATGAAAGTGAGAGAATATCTTCAGGCAGAATGAACTACTGTGAGATTTGGACTTGAAGCAGCCTCTTCTCAGGTTCTTCTGTGACTCAGCTGGGAATGGTAGAGTGCTGTGAGCCTAGAAGAGCAGAGTGATAAGATGCCCATTGCTGCTTTTCCTTTCTTCGGACAGAGAGAGGACTAATCTTAAAGATTGAAAGGATTTCTGGGAGTCCTCCAGTTTGGTATCCTGTTTCCTAGTGGGTTTCACTTTCCTACTTAGCTGTCAAAGTCCTTACTGTCTCTAGGTGTGAAGGTTCTGGCTTTCTGGTGGTGGTGCACCATTTATCAGGAAATGTGATGGGACTTATTAAATATCTGCTCTTGCCTTTAAGCATTTTTTTTTCTAGTAAGGTTTTTAGCAGAGCTTTATGCTTTGAACTTTGCTTGTAAACAGTTTGTAAGTTATCCTCACATTACTTAATTCTAGACAAAATGAACTAGTGGGGCTGGGAACAACTTTACATATAGGTCTTATTTAGTAAAAGTTTTTGTTTTTTTCATTTCTTAAGGAAGTTTGGTTAGTGATTTTGGTATCTTCTCTGATTTTTATCACATTCTTTAAAAATGCAGGCAATGAAAGTGGCTGAAACTTTCCAATAAGGACATTGGAATAATTATTTTTAAAAAGCTTATCTTTTCTTTTATTGCTCAGTCTTTTGGGCATTTAAAACCTTTTGTCCATCATATGATCGATGACAAATTTCTTTGTTAGGTTGAGTCAGTCACTGAATCTTGACAATTATTCCTTCAAAATATGTCATGCAACCCTCCACCCAGAATACTTTGAAAACCCTACCTGTATCAGTTAGGCTTAGGTTTGGCTATGAATAACAGAGACCTGAAAAATAATAGCTTAAACATATGACTAGTTTGTTTCTTTTGTAAAAGAAGTCCAGAGGTGGACGATTAAAGGCTGGTTTGGCAGCTCTGCTGTCATCAGGAACCCAGCCTCCTTGTAGTTTCTTACACTGTTAACCCTAAAGTATGGCCCTTGATTTCTGGGTCCAAGATGGCTGCTGGAGTTCTAGCTAAAATTTCCATGTTCCTAACAGCAGGATGGAGGAAGGGATAAAGAAGTGACTGTCCACTCTTAGAGACTTAAATATATCTTAGTTGAACAGGAATATGCCTGGTCAAAAAAATGGAGTTCTGTTACTAAAAGGAAGAGAGGACTGGAGATTGGGTAGGGAATTAGCATTTTTTGCTTTTTTTTTTTTGAGACAGTCTGACTCTGTTGCTCAGGCTGGAGTGCAGTGGTGGGATCTCGGCTCACTGCAACCTCTGCCTCCCAGGTTCAAGTGATTCTCCTGCCTCAGCCTCCTGAATAGCTGGGATTACAGGCATGCGCCACCATGCCCGGCTAATTTTTGTACTGTTTTTAGTAGAGTTTTCACCATTTTGCCCAGGCTGTCTCGAACTCCTGACCTCAGGTGATCCACCCACCTCGGCCTCCCAAAGTGCTGGGATTACAGACAGGAGCCACTGCGCCTGGCCTCTGCTCCTTTATAATTAATTTCTCTGAACCCAGACTAACCTACATACTTTTTGAAACTCTAGGTTTGAGTCCTAGTTCTATCATTTATTTGCTTTGGCATGTTACTCAACCTTTTTGAACTTCAGTTTTCTTATCTGTATAATGGGACTAATATATACTTTATATGTTTGTTAGAGAATTAAATGAAAATACCTCTATGTACCTAGCAATATATACACTATAACTATTAGTTGTTTTTCATTCTCTTCCTTTAGATTTCTCGACTTGGATATCTGAATGAGTGGTGTAAAAAGATGAGAATTAGAGATGGACAAGGAGAAGGATGTATATTCAGTTCAGTATTGAGCATGTGGAGTTTGAGGTGCCCTTGGGACATCAGATGGTGATAGATGTTAGGCAGTTAGATAAACGGGACTGACACTCAAAAGACAGTTCTGACTAGACATAGATATTTTGGATTGTAAGTGTATAGGGGTAGAATTCATCAATCTGGAAGTCTTAGGGAGGATGTATGCAGTTGTACGGTTACTATGTGCGGAGTAAGAAGGCATGCCCTTTAGTGAGTCTCTCTGTAAAGCGTCAAGCCTCAGCTTACTTTCTGGCCTTTTCTTTATTATTTTTATTTTTTTGTGGGTTAAGGAGTGGAAAGTCTAATAGAAGAAAGGAGAGAGGAGAGCAGCTCCTTGAGAGAGAGAGAGAGAGGTCCAAAAAAGGAGGAGGCCATGGACCGCAGCAGATTTTTTTTTTTTTTTTTTTTTTTTGAGACAGAGTCTCGCTCTATCACCCAGGCTGGAGTGCAGTGGCGCGATCTCGGCTCACTGCAAACTCTGCCTCCTGGGTCTACGCCATTCTCCTGCCTCAGCCTCCTGAGTAGCTGGGACTACAGGCGCCGGCCACAATGCCTGGCTAATTTTTTTTTTTTTTGGTATTTTTAGTAGAGACGGGGTTTCACTGTGTTAGCCAGGATGGTCTCGATCTCCTGACCTCGTGATCCACCGGCCTCGGCCTCCCAAAGTGTTGGGATTACAGGCCTGAGCCACCGCACCCGGCCTGCAGCAGATTTTTATATGGAGAAGGCAGTGTCTGATTTACATAGGGCTCACAGATTGGTTCGATCATGCATGACGTCTACAGAGTGTGTGGGGAAGGCTGGTTGCCTCAACCTAATCTTATGCAAATGGGCTTTCCAGTTGATTGGCACCATCCTGTCTGCTCCTTTACAGTACATGTGGCTGGCAGAGAAGGGAAGATGGAGCCGCCATTTTGAAAATGTCTAGTCCTTAGTTTCTGCAGGCATTATCGTGTGCAAGCTCCCAGCTTGCAGGCTGCTCTTTGTTAGAAAATGATTTGGGGCTGCTTTTCATTAAAAAGAACAGCCTTACTGAGGACTCCCATGCCCTTGCTATCTGCCTAAGTAATTCCTTGTTAACTCCTATATCATCATTCCCTGCTCTGGAGTGGCAACCCTAACTGCTGTTAGGGGGTGTTGGGTGATGACTCTTTCTGGCTACTTCCTGCTGAAAAGGGGCATCATGTGGGGATCAGCAGCTAGGGCTCCTCCTGGGGTCAATCTAAGGGTCCTTGGAAGAAAGGCATGTCCGTGTGTGGTTCTGTCTGCAGCATCATTTGGAGTTTGATTCTGTTGCTATTCTGATGGGTTGTAACACTGGTTTGCCTCCACCAGATGTTGTTGAAATGTTAATATAAAAGTAACATTCCTTTTAGGATAAGTGGCATTGGATTTGGGTGGCTGGAGTAACTTTAGTGTTAACCTTGGCTAGATCTTTCCTGCAGTTATCAATCCCTTCATGACTTCCACAGAAAATCTCTTTCCTTTATAACCTTCTTTGCATAGCCAGGGTGTGACATATTACCAAACCCAATAAGAAGTTCTAGCAAACTCGGTGTTAGTAAAACTTTCGTGCTTCCTTTTTGTTGGTAATTATCCCTGCTATCAGGATAATAATTAAGCAAATTCTACAACAATGAAAACTCTCTTTCCAGTATTTCAGTTAGAAGGTGCTATTGTGTCCAGAATTGGTGGGTTCTTGGTCTCATTGACTTCAAGAATGAAGCCACGGACCCTCACGGTGAGTGTTACAGTTCTTAAAGGCGGCGTGTGTGGAGTTTGTTCCTTCTGATTTTCGGATGTGTTCGGAGTTTCTTCCTTCTGGTGGGTTCGTGCTCTCGCTGGCTTCAGGAGTGAAGCTGCAGACCTTCGCAGTGAGTGTTACAGCTCATAAAGGCAGTGTGGACCCAAAGAGTGAGCAGCAACAAGATTTATTGCAAAGAGCGAAAGAACAAAGCTCCCGCAGTGTGGAAGGGGACCTGAGCCGGTTGCCACTGCTGGTTGGGGCAGCCTGCTTTTATTCCCTTATCTGGCCCCACCCACATCCTGCTGATTGGTCCATTTTACAGGGTGCTGATTGGTGCGTGTACAATCCCTGAGCTCGACACAAAAGTTCTCCAAGTCCCCCCTAGATTAGCTAGATACAGAGTACTGATTGGTATATTTACAAACCCTGAGCTAGATACAGAGTGCTGATTGGTGCATTTACAAACCTTGAGCTAGACACAGGGTGTGGATTGGTACATTTACAAACCTTGAGCTAGACACAGAGTGCTGATTGGTGTATTTACAATCCCTTAGCTAGACATAAAGATTCTCCAAGTCCCCACCAGATTAGCTAGATACAGAGTGCCGATTGGTGCATCCTCAAACCCTGAGCCTAGACACAGGGTGCTGATTGGTCTGTTCACAAACCTTGAGCTAGACACAGAGTGCTGATTGGTGTATCTGCAATCCCTTAGCTAGACATAAAGGTTCTCCAAGTCCCCACTAGACTCAGGAGCCCAGCTGGCTTCACCTGGTGGATCCTGCACCAGGGCCGCAGGCAGAGCTGCCTGCCAGTCCCGCGCTGTGCGCCTGCACTCCTCAGCCCTTGGGCGGTTGATGGGACCAGGCGCTGGGGAGCAGGGAGCGGCGCTCGTCAGGGAGGCTCAGGCCACGCAGGAGCCCACGGCAGTGACTTGGAGAACCTTTATGTCTAGCTGAGGGATTGTAGATACGCCAGTCAGCACTCTGTGTCTAGCTCAAGGTTTGTAAATGCACCAATCAGCACTCTGTATCTAGCTAATCTGGTGGGGACTTGGAGAATCTTTATATCTAGCTCAGGGATTGTAAACGCACCAATCAGCACCCTGTCAAAACAGACCAATCAGCTCTCTGTAAAATGGACCAAATCAGCAGGATGTGGGTGGGGCCAGATAAGGGAATAAAAGCAGGCTGCCTGAACCAGCAATGGCAACCCGCTCAGGTCCCCTTCCACACTGCGGGAGCTTTGTTCTTTCACTCTTTGCAATAAATCTTGCTGCTGCTCACTCTTTGGGTCCACACTGCCTTTATGAGCTGTAACACTCACCGCGAAGGTCTGCCGCTTCACTCCTAAGCCAGCGAGAGCACGAACCCACCAGAAGGAAGAAACTCCGAACACATCCGAACATCAGAAGGAACAAACTCTGGACATGCCGCCTTGAAGAACTGTAACACTCACTGTGAGGGTCTGTGGCTTCATTCTTGAAGTCAATGAGACCAAGAATCCACCAATTCCAGACACACTGCCATGTATAACCCTACTGCAAATAGTAGAGTGAGTATAGCAATTCCCACAAGTGTGGTGTAGTAGATACTTTCCATCTAAAATTTTATTTGCCAAGGTATCCAGATTTTTGTGTTACCCATCTCTTTTTGTTTCTTGTAAGCTTCAGGAGATCACCACTTGATTCACAGGAATAAGCAGTGTTAGTCTAAAATGTAGGCACACAACTTAAAAACAATTAATGTGACTAGGATTTAATGACAAATGTATGATAAGCTTTGGAGCATATTTTCTCTCTCTAGTCCTGATTTTGGTAAAAACAAATTATGATAGGACCGTGTTGTTTGTAGAATAAACCTTAGTCTTATATTTGGCCTTGTTATTTGCATAAAGTTCAGCAAGAGTAATTATTTCTGCATAGTCCTTTTGGATTGGCTTCGATGGAACTCTGTTCCACAAGAAATCTCAGATAAGACTTCTTAAAGCTGAGCCCAGCATGGGTTTGTATCTTCAAATACCTGTGAGTTGGGTGATCCTTTTCTCTTAAGGTCCCAAGATAAACTTGGAGCTCCTGGACCTGTTAGAAAGTGACATTCTTTACTGACCAAAGGTTAGGAACCCTGTGCGGGGACTGTGTAGACAAGGTATGAGGCCAGTTCTTCCCATGGGGCTTTTTCAGCTCTGCAAGTGGAGGTTGACTCCTTAAAGGGAAGCATACACTTCCAGTCAAAGCCTTGATAAAATAGCCAGTTTTTCCATTTGTGTCCTGTTGAAAAAGAAAAATGGATTCTTATTTCACTGATGCAAACAACTATATTGCCATAAGTTAAGAGTTCTCACAGATTAGAGGAACCAGGCAGAGAGAAACAATCATGCTTCAAGTTTTGTTCACAGGAGTATACCTTACTCAATTATTAAAGGCTGTAAATAGTTCAAAATAAGTTTCCTTGACTCTGAAAAACAAACCAAGGATCAGCAATATTCCAAGCAAAAGTCAAAAAGATTGCTTTAGCTTTCTGAGTGTAGTCCATTTAGTCAATTCTTGTTTTGCTTGATATTTGTGAACATTTCAGTTCATGAGTCCTGTACGTTCTTTCTCTCTTCCAATGTTACAATCTTCAAAGCTGTTAAAAACCTGCATTTGAGGACACCTGTTGAAAGTCCTTAATATAGCTTGATTATAAACTGTCTTTTCAGAAGGAACAAAGCAAAACAACAATTGTCTGTGCATGACAAAATTTCCAGGTTACAGTTAAAAACATGACGGAAAAAGTTTAGTTAACCTTAATTATGATTGATAGTATATACTTAGACATTAGAATTTTAGAAATCCCATACAATTTTGGAACATATATTAGTATTATTCACCAAAATATAACTTAAAGAAGATTGGACATCGTTTTGGCAATTCTAATGTGACTAAACATGTCAGATAATCCTGTTTACCTCTTCTCTGGATGTTTCAGGGGCCTTCTGAACAATCCAGAAAGCCAGGCATCAGGAAGGACAATTTTGAAACTTGAAGCTTGATTTTGGGATGCCTTTTAAATGTTAGAGGTTTAAAACACTTGATGTTATGAAATAGAATTCCAAATTGCCATTATTTATTTTGCCAAAATGATGTCACAAAAGGAAAAAATCTTTCATCATCCTTTACTATTACATGAAAATCCTGTTTAAAGCCAAATTTTACCCTTGTATTAGTTTATTAAAGTTGTAAACAACCTTTTGATAAAACCTCATAGGAAAGTTCACCTAATCTTAACCAATGACCATGGGGTGAAGTCTTTACAAACCCTTTACAACCCCTTTTGTTAAACGGCAGATTAGTGTCTTAAGACAGCCTTGCCGTGTTTTTCTTTCAATGCTCAATTTAGGAAAAGACCATATAATACCCTTTTGAATTTAGTTAATGTTTATACATTTTTGCAAGATTAATTTTTGTCTTCCTGTAACTTGCTTAAACCTTTAGCTCTGTCTTATTAAATTTAAGATAATCTCTTATCCCTGGGCAAAATTTATATTTTCATGCTTTCTTATAATCTTTTACTAAAAAACACATTTCACTGTTTTTATAAGCCTTGCATATAAAACTTTAGAGATCTCAAATACATGTTGCACTGTTAACTCTCAGCAACTTTTACTTTAGGTAAAAAACCTGGTTAGTAAGTGATTTTAATTATATACCAGGTGTGGAGTCTAGGACCCAGACAAAGTCAGGCTTATGGGGTCCTGGGCCTGCATCCTAACCTAAGGTACCCTTTCTTTTGACAGAACGCTACAGAAAGACACACAAAGCACACCAGATTGGTTACAGCTTAAGACCAACCTCACAAATTCTTTTTTATTAATTAAAACTTTACAGAGAATAAACAATCATCCTTATTATCCTTGTTACTGGTTTGCACAGGAAGAGATAAGCCAAAATGTTGACTGGTAAAAAAACTTTTACCCTTTTGCCAGCATGTCAGGCTTCTGGGTTCCCTTCCCATTAGCTCAACTCTAAGTCAACCATTTTAAGGTTTGGGGAAATTAACTTTTCCTACTTTGGAGGAACATTATACAGGAAGAGATAGGAACCATTGTACACTGTGAAAGAAGGAAAAACACCATAGAAAAGTCTGGGGATTCCAGTTAGGGTTGTCAAGAGGTACCGCCTCTCTTCCTATTGGGAATTGTGTTTCTCTTATTTCTTTGCCTTCCCTATTTTCTCTTTTCGTTTTAGGCCTACTATAGGAAACGTTGCTTATCTTTCAATTTCTTTGCTGCCTGCTCTTCAGCTGTAATTAGGGTTTGGCTTAGAAGCAACATAAAATCTCTTCATGAGAGGTGAAACACCTGAGTTAAATTTTGGAAAGCTTCTATATACCTATCAGGGTCTTCAGAAAATTGGCCTCAGTCACCTTTATTTGCCTAAGGTCTTGCAAAGAGGAGGGAACTTGAACCCTAGTGACATCACCTCCATTGGGCATTTCCTGTAGAGGTAAGAGTGAAAGTGGGGAGTGGGAAATTTTGGAGATGGTGGAGGTGGAAGAACTGGTGGTATGGTTGGAGGTGGCCCTAAATAAGGGGGACTTGAAGGGCTGGGACACCCAATAGCTGCCTCAGATGATTTCCCCAGAAGTTGCTTCTCTCATTTTGGGGAATTATTCTCTTTGGGCCTGCTCAATATGATTGCTAAAAGGGCTGGGTTAATTCTGTAACGCTTGCAAAGGTCTAGTAAAAAGGCCATGCCCTGTGCAAAAGAAAATGAGCTGCTTTTTAAAGTTTCAGGGTCAAAGAAATCCTTGTGCTTCAGAATGCACTCCAGGGGAGTGCAGGATGAAGATGGTACCCACTTAGAGAAAAAGGTGGCCCTTTAGTCTCCTTCCTTTTGGTGTGACCCATGGTGGAGAGGAAGCAGTGGGGGCATCCCCCCTGCTTTTTTCCCCCTGTGTTTCCTGGGTCCCAGGCACCTTGTTGAACATGCTGCCCATGGTTGCAAGTGTGACCCCCAGTCATGGAACCAGAGGAACTAAGTCACTGGGGCTAGTCATGCTCACCCAAGTGGCTGTAGTCCTCTGCCTGTGATTTCCCTTTAACTTCCTAGACTTGTGTGACTTGCCTGGCTTCCTGAAAAATGGATTTCAAGAAAAACTACATAATAGTTGGGCAAGGCCCCTTTAATGCAGGGGATGTGCTAGATTGAACTCTGTATCCTGCTATTATGGCCTGTGCTGAAGCATTTACCCTTAGATAATGGTTCCAGTTAACTTCCAAACTTAAAATTCCCTTACTAATTAAGTACTACTCTAATTGAAGGCAGAATAGGTGGCTTAAAAAAACTTAGGGATTGAATGGCCATTTTCCTGCTGATGAGACAGTATTGAGACTAAATTTTGGCTTTGGAGGAATATTTTACCCCTAATTGTTGAAGGCAGAGTTTTCTCATTTACAGAACCAGCATAAAGCCTGGTTTCTAGTAGAGAGGCACAAAAAGGAAAGAGAATTGGGAGGCTAGGATGTTTCATTGGACTGACAGTGTGCTTCATGGAGAGGATTCCTATTTCACTAGGTGGCGCTGTTGACCTTGAAACACCACATACTCTCTAGACCAAGGGCAGAGAGAGACCTGGAAAATGCCATGTGCTCTCCAGACCAAGGGCAGAGAAAGAGAGATTCTCACTGTTGGGGGGTCAGGGAGCCCTGTTCTTAGAAAATCACAAAGACGCTTCCCCTTGAGCTATATGCCTTGTTACTACGACATTCCCTGATCTTACCAAACAAGACTACTTCCCTGAACCATAAAACTTCCCACACATTTCATACAGAGAGGATAAGAGATATGACGGTTGCGAACAGGAGAGGAGGAGATTACAATAGGAAAGTTGGAGATCCTGTTGCCGACACCGCATTGGGGCGGTTGGCGGCTGGGGTCCAGAAGCCTTTGGATAACACCAGGGGGTAGCGCCGGCCAGAAATCCTCAGTTGCCCCAGGACTTCTTCCAGCCCCACACGACAGCTAAGTCCTCCATGAAAGGTCTAAAATGGAAGCCGAGAACCTTGGAATGAAAGGACAGAGTTAGAGTTCGCTCTTCCCCTTACCGTTCTTATGAATGTTGTACCTTGGTATCCCGGACAAAGCTGCCATTATGAAGTGGCTACACTATCTGGGGTGTATACCCTAGGGTTTGTTGTTGCCTGCCGAGAAAGAATTAGGACACGGACATGTGGGTGGGTTAAGGAGTGGAAAGCTTAATAGACAGAAGAAAGGAGAGAGGAGAGCAGCTCCTTGAGAAAGAGACGTGTTCGAAAAAGGTACTTTCTGGTCTCTTATGCTTCTGCTTTGATTCCTTTTCTGTTCCAGCCATGTTAAACTTCTTTCAGGTCCTTGAACAGGCCCTACCTGTTATTTCTTAACCACAGGGCTTCACACGTGCTGTTCTCTGCTTTGGAAGTTTCTGAACTCCCACATCCACCCAGGCCAACCCTTCTTGTCCTTTAGGTCTTAACATTTTTTTTTTTTTTTTGTGATGGAGTCTTCCTCTGTCTTGCCCAGGCTGGAGTGCAGTGGCGTGATCTCAGCTCACTGCAGCCTCTACCTCCCGGTTTCAAGTGATTCTCCTGTCTCAGCCTCCCAAGTAGCTGGGATTACAGGCGCCTGCCACCACACCCAGCTAATTTTTGTATTTTTAGTAGAGACGGAATTTCACCGTGTTGGCCAGGTTGGTCTCGAACTCCTGACCTCAGGTGATCCACCCACTTTGGCCTGCCGAAGTGCTGGGATTACAGGCGTGAGCCACTGCACCCAGCTGGTCTTAACTTTTATGGTATGAACTCTTGGAAGCTTTCCCTTGGAAGCTTGAATAGTTGCCATCTTAACATTTCTTGTTGATGTATCCGTATCTCTGTATATCATTCCCTTCTTCACAACTTTAACCTTGGCACTTTGCATACTGCTGGCCACATAGTGGGCACTCAGGAAATATTTATTGACTGTTGATAGGCTTCTTGTGCTTAATGTAACCATAATGTGATGTAGCTTATATATGGCTTATTTGGTTTTTCAACCCTGTACTTGTTCTTTAGTATTTGCACATTGAATTGTTTATATGAATCATTGATTATGAAATAGTAAAGCTCATTCTCTCTTATTTATTTTGATATTTTTTCTACTTAAAGTAATACTTGTATATTGTTAGAAAAGGTAAATAATAATAAAGGCAGGTTATAAAAAATCAGCAGTATCCTTACCCATCCCCACTTTTTAATCTCATTTTCAGAGGCAGTTACTTTTAAGAACTCTGTCTCTCTCTCTCTCTTTTTCTTTTGGTAGAGATGGGGTCTCACTGTGTTGCCCAGGCCGTTCTTGAACTCCTAGCCTCAAATGGTCCTCCTGCCTGGGCCTCCCAAAGTGCTGGGATTACAGGCCTGAGCCACTGCACCTGGCCCTAAAAATTCTTTTAAGCTTTTTCTTTTGATTCTTACCTCTGCGTTTATAAATCTGCCTAAATTGCTATTTTGTGATTTATCAATTTTAGATAATACATATTAACTTCTTGTTATGGTAGGTGGGGTATTCTTCCCTTTCCTTCCCCTATTTCTAAAAGCACTTCCAGTATAGGTATATAAGAATTCTTGGTTAATATAGTGTTTAGCTTTTATATTATTATGACTACATAAATATTGTTCACTGCTGGTGAGTACTTCACCATGTTTCCCCTTCCCTCCCCCTAGTTTGCTTAGTTTTCCATGGATATATTA
This sequence comes from Homo sapiens, assembly GCF_000001405.40. Lineage (NCBI taxonomy): Eukaryota > Metazoa > Chordata > Mammalia > Primates > Hominidae > Homo > Homo sapiens. Next base: position 49,445,826 of record NC_000018.10, on the reverse strand, counting down.
TTAATTTTTACCAAATACTTTGAACGGCCTGTGGGATTTAGTGCCTAAGAAATTGATGCAAGGTGTTACTCTGGCTACTGCTATTGCAGTTGTTTTGTGTCCCTGTTCCAGAGGTTTCATGCCTTTTTCAGCTTTGTCAGTAAAGTAAAATCTCAGATCCCCACCATGCCTGACTTGACAGTGTAACATCCCCCATTTTGTTTGTGCTTTCTTTTTGGAACTGTTACTATTAATATATTAAAATCTTCTAAATTGTTCTTTAAATTTTCTATTTTTTCTCCTCCTGTTTTTCACTTATTTGTCCTCTTGTTCTTTATTATGGGAGTTCCCTTAACTTTTATCTTTTCTCCGTTCTTTTGTTTTAAATTTCAGGTGTCCTTTCTTGTTCTTTATTTCCTTTTTTATGACATCCTACTCTTGCTTCATGAAGCAATATGAAACGGTTAAAAGAGAATGGTTTCTGTACCTATCCTACCTGGGTTTAAAACCTGATGTGCCACTTTCTAGCTCTATAATCTTGGGCAAGTTACTTAACCTTTCTTTGCTTTAGTTTATTCATGTAGGTTAGGAGTTGGTAGACATTTCATCTAAAGGACCAAATCATAAATATTTCAGGCTTTATCAGCCAAGAGGCAAAATGAAGGATATTTTAAATTATTTAATTATTTCATTATGTAAGTACTTACATAACAAGAGAGAAAACATTTCTACAAGTTTTTTATTAATAAAGCTCAAAATGCGATACTAATAATGATTGAGAACAATTTTTGCAATAAAGGTTTGCTAATGAGAAGAATGAATGTTTTTTTGGAGGAGAGGGGATAACATTTGGCTTAATTGGAGTTTAAAGTTAGTGTTCTCTATCATCAAAATTGATTATAGATGCAGCATTAACCACCTATTAATGCTGATTTGTAATGAGATTTCATGTATTTCATCTTTGAAAATGTCTTCTTAGATACTGCCAAATACTGCTAATAGTCTGTGAACATATGGTTTTAATAGAGCATATTCATTGCTTGGACGACATTTACAGAATTCTTTTAGACTCTTTTCTTGATACTTAACGTTTAGCAAATCATTACACTGCAGACTAATCACTTCCAATTGAGGATTAGGTAGAAGCTCCTCATTGCACAGTTAAATGATTTTTGAAATGTGGAATGTTCGTTTCTACTTGCATTGAGGTATGAAAAAATACTGCTGGAAATATTTGATTTTGGAAAATATGTCTGCTGCATATTTGTGTGGCAGTAGAGATCTTCTTATTTTAATTTTTGACAGCATAGGAAGTACATGAAGCATCTTGACATGACTTGTGACTTAGGCAATGTTAGTTGTCCTTGAAATGACTGTCTCAATATAGGTTTTGCACGTAGACCCTGTTGTCCTTCTAACTTTAGGCTGAATTCATTAACAGATATATCAAGTCTGCAGCAACAATAGTAGTTGAGGGTCATTCTTTTCATTCAGAAAAATTTGTCTCAGCCTGGAGCTTGAAACATTTCAGTAAAACTCTGCCATTGTTAAGCCATTGTATTGTTTCGTGGCAGGACGCGTCAGGATATTTAGCTTCTATTTCTGACAAAAATGTCATGAGAACAAATGAAATTTACCTGTGACATTACGGTTCAATAACACATGATAGATTCAGATGTTTTCTGCAGAGTACCTGCTGATTGAGAATATGATTAATAGCCATAAGCTTTAAACACCTTACATTTCACAAGGCTTGTAAATTTTGTCCAGCTAAGCCTTTTTCTGCTTCATACATATTTTTACCACCATCAGTTGTTACACATCTTAGCAGATTCTACTTCAGATTGTGCTGAATTAGTATTTCCTTGATTTTTTGGAAAATATTCATAGCTGTAATTGTTTCATACATACTGTACTTCGAGCCACTGTTTTCATGGAAAGAGTAGGATGTTAAAGATATTTATTTTCTCTGGACACAATTCTTTGGCTGCTGTAATCAAACACAATTTAATTAACTCACCATTGGCAAATACTTTCCTTGCTTGCTTAACAAATGAGCCATTTGGAAATTTACTTCGGTTGCAGCCCTATTTCCATTTTTAATTTTTGGCAAGACATTCTGCTCTGAGGAGGTATATCTTGTTTTACATTTGCCCATTTTCCTGCTCATTGCTCTCATGAGTTGGGAGTGAATGCTGTGTGGCAGGGCATATCGGGATATTGTGATGAGTGCTTAGTCTAGTAATACTTCCTATATTGTATTTTGCTGGCACAGCTTCGTGATGCTTTTACATAATAAAGTACTTTGACATCTAACTAGATTTAAACAATCTACAGTCCACTGTGACTTACAAGTGTGACATCAGAGTACTTCTGTTTTTTTGACGTGATAGTCACTGGTAAAATAGTTATAGTATGGCAATACTCATGACACTTGAAATGCTGTTGAGTAAACCGTGTCATTGAGATTTGTGGTGCACTGAGAGTATAAAGGGATGAGGGCACCAAATATGATCTCTGTAGCAACTACCCAAGTCTGCTGTTGTATCAGGAAAACAGCTATAGACCATGTGTAAACAAATGAGCATGGCTGTATTCTAATAAGACTTTATTGACACTGAAATTTTCTTTTCATATAATTTACACATGTCACAAAATATTCTTTTGATTTTTTTCAACGATTTAAAAATGTAAAAATCAGGTTGGGCGCAGTGGCTTATGCCTATAATCCCGGCATTTTGGGAGGCTAATGTGGGCAGATCACCTGAGGTCAGGAGTTTGAGACCAGCCTGGCCAACATGGTGAAACCTGAAAATACAAAAATTAGCCAGGCATGGTGGTGCATGCCTGTAGTCCCAGCTACTAGGGAGGCTGAGATGAGAGGATTGCTTGAACCCGGGAGGCAAAGGTTGCAGTGAGCTGAGATTACTCCACTGCACTCCACCCTGGGTGACAGAGCAAGACCCTGTCTGAAAAAAAAAAAAAAAGTAGGAATCATTCTTCAGGCAGCACATAGGGTTTAGCCCTTGGGCTGTAATTTGCCAATTTATGATTTAGGCAATGAGAAAAAAAAGTACCACGCCATAGTTTGTGGTGAGTGTAAAATCAGTTAGTATATGTGAAACAGTTAAGATGGTGACTGGGGACATAGTAGGTGCTAAATACATGTTTGGTATTATTGTTACTGTTTTCATTATTATCTATCTAAAGATATTTTAGTTTTTAATTTTTTCTTAGAATCATCTGTTTTCTATGATTCCTTTCTTTAGTTTGTTTCAGTTTCTTTTTTTTATTTTTGAGACAGGATCTCCCTCTGTTGCCCAGGCTGGAGTGTGGTGGCACGATCACAGCTCATTGCAGCCTTGACCTCTCAGGCTCAGGCAATCCTCTCACCTCAGCCTCCCAAGTAGCAGGAACTATAGGCGTGCACCACCATGTCTGGGCTAATTTGTTTATTTTTTTGTAGAGGCATTAAAAATGTCTCTGTGTTGCCCAGGTTGATCTCCAAGTCCTGGGCTCAAGTGATTCTTTTGTCTTGGCTTCCCAAAGCGCTGGGATTCTAGGAGTCAGTCACCATGCCCGGGCTGCTTTGGTTTCTATATTTCATGCTGGAGGCTTTACTCACAAGTCTAATCATTTTTGACTGTCCATTCTTATTTAAAGTTGAGACTACCCAAAAACTGATTGGAAGCTCTTTGTGTAAGTAGATTTTGTTGAGTGGTGGGCATTGCTGTGAGGTGACGATCTATTTTTTAAATTGGCCTGGCAGTTCCTAAATTTCTGTATCTTTTCCCTAGGTTCCTATTCAGTTTCTCTTGAGAGGAATCCTTCAGTCTCCTGCCTTGGAGGCAGGGAAACTCACTGTGGAGCTGTAGCAAGTTGACTTTATCTTCATTCTCTTGTTTTCTTCATTTTCCACCTTATTACCCTCCCCAACCTTGGCATTGGTCTCTCTAGTTGTATTTCTCTGGGAAGCACGCATAATAGTCTTTTCCTGGGGAGAGAGACCCCCAGGCTTTAGTCCTGCACCTTGCCCCGTCTTCCCCAGTGCCCTGTCTCTCGCTCTTTAGCCTTCCCACGGCTCCATGGGGTGAATTGCCTTCCTTCTTGTTGGTGTCCCCCTTGGCAGGAACTCCTTTTGGGGCTTCCTCAGGTCGGCTGGTTCAGGTACACTCCTCTGTCACCTTCCCATCTTCCACACTTCCCTTGATCTGATCTTTGTGGGTTTATATCTTTCTTTCCATTGCTTTCGTTTCATTGGGCGGGGAATACCCAACTGTACTTAATATAGCACTTGGAGCCTAGTTGCCTTTCAGAGAATGTTCTATTACTTGTGGACTCATGGCACCTGTGGCATTTACTCTGTCCTTTGGCTGGTGATTATTGCCCATTATTTCTCTGATCTCCTGTTTCAGCTTTCTCCTTAAAGTCTCTGAGGTACAAGTGGGGCATATATGTGTGTTTGTACACACAATCCATATATATAATATAATTATATATTAATTATATATAATTATATTATATATAATTATATATTAATTATATATAATTATATTATATATAATTATATAATATATATTATATAATTATATATAACAATATTATGTATATTATATATAATATAATTATATATAATATATATAATATATAATATATTATATATAAATATATAATTATATAATATATAATATATATTATATTATATAATATATTTATATAAATATATAATATATTTATATTAATATATATTTATATATAATATATAATATAATATTTATATATAATATATATAAATATATTATATATTTATATATTATATATAAATATATATAATATATAATATATAAATATATTATATATTATATATAATATATTATATAAATATAATATATTTATATAATATATTATATATTATATAATATATTATATAAAATATAATATATTTATATAAATATATTATATATATAATATATATTATATATAATATAAATATATAAAATATAATGTATTTATATAAATATATTATATAAATATATAATATATAGTCATATATTATATAAATATATAATATATAGTCATATATTATATAAATATATAATATATAGTCATATATTATATAAATATATAATATATAGTCATATATTATATAAATATATAATATATAGTCATATATTATATAAATATATAATATATAGTCATATATTATATAAATATATAATATATAGTCATATATTATATAAATATATAATATATAGTCATATATTATATAAATATATAATATATAGTCATATATTATATAAATATATAATATATAGTCATATATTATATAAATATATAATATATAGTCATATATTATATAAATATATAATATATAGTCATATATTATATAAATATATAATATATAGTCACTTTACTCCTAAATATATATTATATAGCATATATAATATGCTATATTATATATCATATATAATATGCTATATTATATATCATATACTATATTATATATCATATATAATAGTATATGTATATTTAGGAGGAAAGCGATTCTGGAATAGAGTGTAGAATTTGTGGATTATCAGCCTGAGAAGGGACAAAGGGCATTAGGGCATCATTTACACATTTTGAGGGTGTTAGAACAGAATTTGGTTATCATGGATTTTCAGATCCACTAATGTTTACTTTCCATTTAAGGCACATCAAATCAAGAGATAGTCAGTACACATAAAAGAGGAGATTGACTTTATGTATTTATCAAATATTTCACAAATATAAAATATTGAGCATATCATGTTTTATTTATTTATTTATTTATTTATTTATTTATTTATTTATTTATTGGTGACAGAGTCTCCCTCTGTTGCCCAGGCTGAAGTACAGTGACATGATTGTATAATAGCTCACTGCAACTTCAAAATCCTGGATTTCAGGTGATCCTCCTGCCTCAGCCTTCTGAGTAGCTGGGACTACAGGCTTATTAGCTGTGTTGCCTGGCTAATTTGTAAATTTTTTGTAGAGACAGAGTTTTGCTTTGTTGTCAAGGCTGGTCTTGAACTCAGCTTCTGGAAATCCTTGTACCTTAGCCTCCCAAAGTGCTGGAATTACAGGCATGAGCCACAGTTCCTGGCCTGTTACCAAGTATTTTTTAATGTTTACTAGTTTGATGGGTAAAAATGATATATTATTGTTTTAATTAGCATATTGTACTCAGAATTTAGTCTGAAGATCTTTTCATATATTTATTAGCTGTGAGACCTTGGCTATTTCAGCAAGTATTTTTTGAGTAATTTCTCTTTAGCAGTATGCTGGAGATTGATTAGGGATAAGGAAGAAGTGTAAGGCCTGATTCATGCCTCTCAGGAATAATCTACCTGGGGAGATATGTTATATGTACTACAGCAAAATAACATTTCAAGGCAGCTTTTACGTAATTGCAGCTTTAGGGGAGTAGTGGAGAGTTTTAAGGGGTAACAGGGAGGAATGATAGAATCAGTTTTGCACATGTTAAGATTGAGTTCTTGACTACATTGCATTGAAGATAGGTCCTTTGAAAGGTTTACTACTAAAAGCATCAGCAATAGCCTACTTCTCATTTCTAGCATAGAGTTACATAAGGATCATTGTTACCAACAAACTTACTGATTATATTATATATATTACCCTTGAGTTAAAAAAAGTCTGAAATATTTTAGAGATATCAACAGAACTGGCTTCCTGGCCAGAGGTTGGGTCTAGAAGGAGAAATTTGAAAGTAGTATCATGGAAGCCACTAGAAAAGCCAGGAGATGGGATCAGTTACTGACAGATTTAGAGAAAGAAGAGCTGGAAGCCAAGGGAGTCTAATGATGCCCAGTGAGGGCAAAGGCAGTAGGACTCTTTGGAGATTATCCAATAGTGTTTTCTACTTTACTCTAGTTTTCATTGATAAGGGTCTTGAGAGTTCCAAATAAATTGGGAGCCGACGATTGTGCGTGTGTGTTTGGAATCCTTGGCAGGAATCATTGCAGAAGAGATGCCATTGGGGCTCAGTTTTCTACTTTGCTTTTTGTGGGGGAGCAGGTGGATCTTTCTGGCAAGAGTGCCTCAGTGGCTACTGGTCTTACTATGTCTGAACTTATTCCTCCTGTATACTCCAGGTGCCCAGGGTGTTGCCTTCACTCTGTTCCTAGCAGGTAGCACCCTGTTGTTGCTTCCTGTGGGAGTGAGGGCTTAGGCAGGGGTGTCTGCTCAGGTGCACTAGCCAAGCTTCTGTTAGTTGCTTGTGGGCCTTTTTCTGGCCTTTCTGCTTTTGTGCCGGAGTTCCTGTTCACACTCTTTGGGATGGTGCCCTTGAAGGCCCTTGAGCCTGCTCTGGGATGCTATTTCCCTTTTTAGCCCATCTCCAGCTGTTTTCTACTTTATGGGGATTCTTCACAGCTTCTGGCCGCCTGTTATTTTTTTAGCATGGCTGTGTAATCACTGGCTATTTAAAAAAATATGATTTATATTATTTCTAGGGTTTGGTGAGAAAAAACGGGGAAGGAGGCACTGTACTCTTTACTCAATTGGCTGTCTCGATTTTTTTTGTTAACATTCTGTTCAGTGTCTCTCCTGATATGCTTGTAGGCTTTATTCATACTGTTTTAGAAAGATTTCATAGTGTTCTTGGACTGAGCAGTTATTTTGATTTATTAATTTTATTTTTGATACAAAGTCTTGCTCTGTTGCACAGTGCAGTGGTGTAGACGTGGCTCACTGCAGCGTCGAACTCCTGGGCTCAAGCGATCCTTCTGAGTAGCTGGGACCACAGGCTTGTGCCACCACGCCCAGCTAGTTTTTAAATTTTTTGTATAGATGGGGTCTTGCCCAGGCTGGCCTCGTACTCCTGGGCTCAAGCAATCCTCCTGCTCTGTCTCCCAAAGTGCTGGGATTACAGGTGTACAGGTGTTTGATTTAAGACTTAATTTTGTGGTCTATCCTAGCCTCTTTGAAAATAAAGTTTATTTCCTATAAACCAATAGAAAACAGTCATAGGATATGAGCAGGTAATGGTCTTATTCACGGCAAGAGAGATGCAAAATAAAATTGTATTGAAAAACTGCTTTTTAAAAAAAATCTAAGTTGGCAAGGATCAGAAAGTTTGATTAAACAATGGTGGCTGTGGAGTAGAGAAATAGGCGTTGCTGGTGAGAATCCAAGTTGGTACAACCTCTGTAGAAGGCAGCCAGGCAGTATCTATCAAAATTACAGATGCATATACCCTTTGACCCAGCAATTCTATTTCTCTGGATTTATCATATCTGTCTACTCATACATGTGTGAAATATTTTATATGCTTATGTAAGTGATAGTATAAGATATAAGTAATGTATATATCTTATTGGAGAATGACATTTATTTTTTATTACTTGGAGAATGATTTGTAATAGCAAAAGATGTAGACTACCTAAAGTCCATCAATATGGTATTTGAGAAATTATAAAATGGAATGTTACACAATTGTAAAAAGGAATGAAGTGCTTCATATATGGATATATAATGACTTCCTATATATTGATGAGTGGGAATAGCAGAGTAGAGAGGAATATGTCATATGCTATGGTTTGTTTAAAAAGGGGTTGAACATATGTTTGTATATACACAGAATGTCTGTGGAATGATGCCCAAGAAACTGTGAATGTTTTCTCTGAGTTGAGAAGGTGGTTAGAAGATGGGATGGGAAGGAGATTTTCACTGTCTATCCTTTGAAGCTTTTGTATTTTGTACCATGAATATTACTGATACAAAAAGAACATAAAATAAACAGAAACATCTGACAAATTTTGTTAGTAGACTCTTTGATAGTATTGTTTCTCGTTGTTGCTTCACCTGGTGGGAGGAGGAGGTTGATTCCAAAATCAAATTTTGTTCTTTTGAAAATTCAGCATTCATGTACTTAAACTCCTAGAGTAAAATTGCTTGCTTTTAAGTTACCACACAAAAAAAGTAAGATACTGGTCTATTTAACTGAGAACAAATTGTTATGATTTTCATTTCTTTTGATCTGGTGTCATTTTTTTCCTGTTAATTTTAATGAAGCACAGAGAAGGAAAATTGAGTACATGGTAGAGCCAGGAGGACCCATATTTAAATTGCTGTCAGCAAACCAACACTCTTTGAACTAACCCACTTTCATCCATACAGTTAGAGGTACTTATTCAGTACACTAATATTAGACCTACAATCCTAACTGCTAATTAGCATGAGTCCCCTGATAAATAGCACACTGTAAACAAGTAGTCAAGGTCTTTTTTACTCGTTTGTTTAAACATATGGTTTATTGAGGCATATTCAGGGTCACAGGGATTATTGGACAAATAAAAATAATTTGAAAGCTTTGGCTAAAAAGGAACTAGCAATATCCTTAAGGAGGTGGTGGAAGACAAAATCTGTTGTATACTCCTCAGAGTTAATGAAATTAATGCAGAATCCCAGAGGACCCAAGAACATTACTTATTTTGCTTTTATTGAAAAAGTTCAATTTTGAATAAAATCTGAAAGAAATAATTTATTGGGTAGCTGGGAGAGGTGGCTCATACCTCTAATTCCAGTGCTTTGGGAAGCCTAGGCAAGAGGGTCTCTTGAGGCCAGGAGATTGAGATTAGCCTCAGCAACATAGCAAGACGCCCATCTCTATAAAAAATTTAAAAAAGTTAGCAGGGTGTGATGGCATGTATCTGTAATCCCACCTACTCAGAAGGCTAAGGCGGAAGGATTGCTTGAATTCAGGAGTTTGAAGCTACAGTGAATTATGTTCATGCCACTGCACTCTAGTGTGGGTGACAGAGTGAGACCCTATCTCTAAAATAAGTAAATAAATTTATTTTGGAAAACTAGTCTAAGTGAAAGAACATTCTGTAATAGGACACCGAGTAACTAGAATATGAGATCCTAATATCTCATCATGTTTAATATGGACGATGAAGTAACAATATGTAAAAACAATCCTAGTGGTTGTGAAAGAAAGTACCTATTAGTCTGATTTGTTGGCACCTCTCTGGGACATGTAGATTCTTTTTTGTTTGTTTGTTTTTGTTTTTTTTGAGATGGAGTGTTGTTCTTGTTGCCCAGGCTGGAGTGCAATGGCACGATCTCGGTTCACTGCAACCTCCACCTCCAGGGTTCAAGCGATTTTCCTGCGTCAATCTCCTGAGTAGCTGGGATTACAGACGCCTGACACTTCACCTGGCTAATTTTTTGTATTTTTAGTAGAGATGGGGTTTCACTATGTTGGCCAGGCTGGTCTCTAACTCCTGACCTCAGGTGATCCACCCACCTCAGCCTCCCAAAGTGGTGGGATTACAGGCATGAGCCACTGTGCCCGGCCTTGTGGTTTTAATTGAGCATTTTATGAGATTAGATTTCTCTTTTCTTAGCATTTCAATTATACTTTTTTTTTTTTTTTTTTTACTGTTTTAGTGTTTACCCTAGAGTTTGTAATCTACATTTACAAGCAATCCAAGATTGCTTTTAAATAATACAATAACAACATCACCACTTCACAGTTTGCACAATACCTTATAATAACAAAGCATTCCTAATTCTTTCTGCCTGTCTGTTGCATTTTCAGTTCACATATACATTGCTGTCCTTCATTTCACTTCTTTTTTTTTTTTTTTTTTTTTGAGATGGAGTCATGGTCTGTTCCCCAGACTGAAGTGCAGTGGCATGATCTTGGCTCACTGAAACCTCTGCCTCCTGGGTTCAAGTGATTCTCGTGCCTTAGTCTCCCTAGAAGCTGGGATTATAGGCGCACACCACCATGCTGTGCTAATTTTTGTATTTTTAGTAGAGATGAGGTTTTACCACGTTGGCCAGCCTGGTCTTGAACTCCTGACCTCAAGTGATCCGCCTGCCTTGGCTTCCTAAAGTGCTGGGATTATAGGCATGAGCTACCACACCTGGCCCAAAAGTTTTTAATTTGATGAAGCTCAGTTTATAAATTTTTTTCTTTTATGGGTTGTGCTTTTTTTGTTGTTGTTGTTGAAATCTCCATGCACCACCACACCTGGCTAATTAAAAAATTTTTTTTAGAGACAGGGTATTGCTATATTGCCCAGGCTGGTATCTAACCCCTGTCCTCAAGTGATCCTCCTGCCTCAGCCTCCCGAGTTGCTGTGATTACAGGCGTGATCCACTGTGCCTGGCCAGAAAATATTTTATTTTTAATCAAAGTAGTATATGGATGTGATTTTGAAAAGTCAACTAATATGACAAACTTAATATAAAAAACTGCTCTACCACCCTCCCCACTCCAGAGTCCTTTTCCACAGGGGTGGCCACTTTCTTTTTCTTTTTTGTTTTGTTTTTTTGAGATGGAGTTTAGCTCTTATTGCCCAGGCTGGAATGCAATGGTGCAGTCTTGGCTCACTGCAACCTCCGCCTCCCAGGTTCAAGTGATTCTCCTGTCTCAGCCTCCCAAGTAGCTGGGATTACAGGTACCTGCCACCATGCCCAGCTAATTTTTGTATTTTTTTTTTTTTTTTGAGATGGAGTCTTGCTCTGTTGCCCAGGCTGGAGTGTAGTGGCAAGATCTCAGCTCACTGCAACCTCCACCTCCCAGGTTCAAGTGATTCCCCTGCCTCAGTCTCCCTAGTAGCTGGGACTACAGGCGTGTGCCACCACACCTGGCTAATTTTTTTTTGTATTTTAGTAGAGACGGGGTTTCACCATGTTGGCCAGGATGGTCTCGATCTCCTGACCTCACGGTCTGCCCGTCTTGGCCTCCCAAAGTGTTGGGATTATAGGCGTGAGCCACCGCGCCCAGCCTAATTTTTGTATTTTTAATAGAGACAGGGTTTCATCCTATTGGTCAGGCTGGTCTCAAACTCCTGTCCTCAGGTGACCCATCCGCCTTGGCCTCTCAGGGTGCTGGAATTACAGGTGTGAGCGACCGCGCCTGGCCACCATTTAAAAATCTATAAGCTGTTGCTTTTTGCTATTTACCTCCTTATTTATTTAATTTGAGACAGAGTTTCACTCTGTCGCCCAGGCTGGATTGCAGTGGCACAATCTCGGCTCACTGCAATCTCCACTTCCCAGGTTCAGGTGATTCTCGTGCCTTAGCCTCCTGAGGAGCTGGGATTATGGGCATGCTCCAACATGCCTAGCTAATTTTTGTATTTTTAGTAGAGACGGGTTTTCACTATGTTGACCAGGTTAGTCTCGAACTTCTGGCCTTAAGTGATCCACCTGCCTCGGCCTCCCAAAATGTTGGGATAATACCACACCTGGCCCTACTTCCTTATTTATAACTAATAAATTTTTACTGTTTTTTGATTTACTAACTTTACATATTTTCTATTGAGCACTACCTATTATGGAAGATGAAGGTTTAGCACTCGTAGACCACCAATCCTGCTGCTGCTTCTGGAATCTTCTCAGTAGAGTTAACTCACAATTTTTGGTTAAATATTTAGTATTTATATCATAGTGATTATATAAATGTTGATTACTGTTGAATTTAGTCGTATACTATGATTACATGACCTTTCTTGAATAACTTGTTTTTCCCAAAGTTTGTAGTCTATACGAAATTATTTACTTTATTCTCCATATAACTATTATTCATTGCTTCCAAATTCTCCTACAGTATTGTAACATTCCACAGAATAAGGTTAGACGCATCAAGTGAACCGTCAGTTCTATGCTTTCTTCTCCTGGTTGATCCGGGAGCTGTTTTGACTCTTGTCCCAGCCTGCTCCATGGCTGTGATTCTCTATACCACTGCCCTGTGTTGGATCCCCTGTTTCTTGAATTTCTTCCTTTTTCTTGGCTTGTTCCCTCATGTGGAAGGAGTACATCTTGTAGCTTCCTTGTAGGTTCCTGGGAGGTCTTTTGAATCTTGGCAAATCAGAAAATGTTTTTATTCTACTTTCAAACTTAATTGGTAGCTTGAAAAGCTATAGATTTCTAGTTAAATTAATTCCTCTTGGCCAGGCTCAGTAGCTCATGCTTGTAATGTCAGCACTGTGGTTGAAGCCAAGGCAGAAAGAGTTCGAGACCAGCCTGGGCAACACAGTGAGACCCCATCTTTACCAAATAACAGAATATTAGCTGGGCTTTGGTGGCATGTACCTGTAGTTCCAGCTACTTAGGAGGCTGAGGCAATGAGGCTCCCTTGAGCCCAGGAGTTTGAGGTTACAATGAGCTATAATCACGCCACTGTACTCCAGCATTGTACTCAGCAACAGAGTGAGGCCCTGTTTCTTAAAAAAAAAAAAAAAAAAAAAATTTTAATGCTGGTACTAGCTATGAATAAATCCATAATATTTTTTGCCAGTTTTAAAATCTTATAAATGAAAGCATACCATATCTATTAGGTAGCTTGCTTTTTTTTTTAAACATTTTATATTTTTGAGATGTATCCATTTAGCTCTGTTTCATTCATTTTCACTAGTGTATTATGTCCCCATATAATTTTGATAGCTTAAAATACTATTGTAAGTTAGGAATTTATATATTTCAGAGAATTTCTTTCTTTCTTTTTTTTTTTTTTTTTTTGAGACAGTCTTGCTCTTGTCGCCCAGGCTGGAGTGCAATGGTGTGATCTTGGCTCACTGCAACCTCTGCCTCCTGGGTTCAAGTGATTCTCCTGTCTCAGCCTCCCTAGTAGCTGGGATTACAGGCATGCACCACCATGCCAGACTAATTTTGTATTTTGAGTAGATCGCCTCAGGTGATCTGCCCGCCTTGGCCTCCCAAAGTGCTGGGATTACAGGCGTGAGCCACAGCGCCCGGCCTTCAGGATATTTCTTTTATAGCATTTTCTAATTGGGCTTAACAAGCCCTACTTTAAGAAATTAAACCTTATGATTAGCTGTCTTAATATAGAGGCTTAATTGAAGCTGAATTATGATTCAGTTGAAGTTGAATTGAGTTATTGGGGCCCCTGTCCCCTTGCAGGAAGGATGAAAGTAGTGGCTAGCCTCAGCTTTAGGGGCAGGCGATGAGGAGCCAGATCAGTATTTCTATCTCAGATTCAGAAGACCCAGCTGTCCATGTGCATCATCGGGGAAGCATCTTGCTCTCAGAATAAGCAGCTCAATCCAGCTCCCAAATTCTGACCGTGGCTTCAGTGCCTTTGTGGAATGAGAAGGGACATGAGGAAGAAAGTGAGTCACTAATACACATTCTCACCTGACCTGAGCCGCCTTTGGTCCCTGAGGCCATGTAGTTTCCTTTCATTGTGATGGTAATTTTAAAATAGTATAATGTATTATTTATCTTATCACCATTTTATTATTCAATGGGAGAACTTTTCTGAACAAATCAAGATAAAACATGATCTAAATCTATGTTAAGTGTGATTTAAGGGAGACAGTGATTCATATTTGTAACTAGTTTTCTTCCCTTAGTGACTGAGAACAACCAATACTGACTTTTGAAGAGCCTCGTGGATACTAATTATTTATTCACTCCCTTGTTCCTTCAACATACTGTTTAGGGAATTTTTTACATGCTAGTCTAGACAGTGGGCATAGACAGATGAATGAGATAATTCCTGTCGTAAAAATGTGCATGGTTTAGGGGAAGAGGCATATCAACTAAAACTGCATATGTGCCCTACAGCAGAATGACAGAAACATTAAATGTGATTCCTTTGTAATTGGGATCTCTTTCACTTGAAGTTGGTAATTCAGGTTTGTCCCTATGACCCCCATAAGTAGAAGTAGCACATGGTAATTACTTGAGCTATGTTCCCTTCCTTGTACATTCAAGCCATCCAGATTTCTGTATTTCTTTGTCACCATTGTTTTGGTTGTAAAACAGCTTCATTTTCAGACTAATTATAAGTTACCATTATTATGATTTTGCTTTGAGACATTTTCTTGGGTAGAGCTATGCCCATCCTAAGATACATGGTACAAGTACAATATAGATTCGGATTTTTGTGTTTGTATTGGCTAAGACAGGTGTTAGCTCCATATTTCTTTTTTTTTTTTTTTTGAGATGGAGTCTTGCTCTGTCGCCAGGCTGGAGTGCAGTGGCGCGATCTTGGCCCACTGCAACTTCTGCCTCCTGGGTTCATGTGATTCTCTTGCCTCAGCCTCTTGAGTAGCTGGGACTACGGGTGCGTGCCACCACGCCCAGCTAAGTTTTGTATTTTTAGTAGAGACGGGGTTTCACCGTGTTGGCCAGGATGGTCTCAATCTCTTGACCTCATGATCTGCCCGCCTCAGCCTCCCAAAGTGTTGGGATTACAGGCGTGAGTCACCATGCCTGGCCTAGCCCCATATTTCTTGTAACTTTGTATCTGATGTCTAATATATTTATAAATACAGAAATGTGTGATTTTCTTTAGTAAGTTTATAGTTTTTTTATAGGTAGACAAAGCATGATGACTTTTGAACAAGTTTAAAGTTTTTATTTTTATTTTTTATAGGTTGTCTTTTGGAAATGCAGGTTTAAGGACAAATTATCTGCTTAAGCTAGAAGATGGGATCGAATAGCAGCAGAATCGGCGATCTTCCTAAAAATGAGTACTTGAAAAAGTTATCAGGCACGGAATCTATCTCTGAGAATGACCCGTTCTGGAATCAGCTTCTCTCATTTTCTTTCCCTGCACCAACTAGCAGGTAAGAGATTGCCTGGAGATTGAAAATTTGAATAGAGGGCCATATCAACTTGTGTGGTATGCTGATTAAAAAAAAATTTAGAAATGTTCTGTCTATCTATCTAGTCTATCTGTCATACATAGATCAGTAGAAAATCCAAAAGATTTGAAAGTAGAAAATAAGCTTTTCTTTTTACCCAACTCAGTAGCCACCTCCCTTCTCTAGAGGTTATCACTGGTAGCAGTTTATTTTGAATCGTTCTAGAGATAATATAGGTTACTTAAGCATATATCCCATATAGTTTCACAAAATTGTTTAAATACAAATGGTAGCATACTACACGTACTGTTCTGTCCCTTGCCTTTTTTTCCACAGTTAAGTAAAATATATCTTGTATATGTAGCACATTTGCAACTTCCTTATTCTTTTTAATGGCTGTGGAGTATCTGTAGAATATATTTAATTGGTTTTTCTGTTGATGAACATTTAGATTGTTTCCAGTCTTTGTTGTAACAGTTACTGCCGCATACATCATTTTTCATACACACAATATATCTTTAGTATAAATTCCTTGAAGTAGAATTGCTGGGTCAAAGTGTATGTGCATTTGCAATTTGGTAGCTATGCCAAATTGTGCACCATGGAAGTTGTAGCAATTTGCATACCTACCAGCAATGCATGAGAGGTGTGTTTCCCCATATCTTTGTCAGTTTGATGCATTTTAGACCTTTGACCTCTGCCAGTTTCAGAGGTGAAAAATAATATCTCATATTTAATTCTATTACAAAAACTGTCAGACAATAATAATGAAGAATGAATAGAATATTGAATTCCCATACACTCAATAACTAGATTTAAAAATTTTTTATTTACTTTTTAAGAGCTTTATTATGATAGGCAGAATAGTAGCCCCCCAAAGATGTCCATGTCCTTGTCTGCAGAATCTGAATATGTTACATTACATGGCAAAGGGGAATTAAAGTAGCAAAAGGCATTAAGGTTACTAATCAGCTGACCTTAAAACAGGGAGATTATCTTGGATTATCTGGGCAGGCCCAAAGTAATCACAAGGCTTCTTGAAAGTGGAAGAGGGAGGTAGAAGAGAAAGTCAGATGTGATGTGAGGAGGACTCAGCCTGCCCTTGCTGGCTTTGAAGATGGTAGGGAGGTCATGAGCAAGAAATATGAGCAGCTTCTAGAAGCTGGCAGAGGCAAGGATGCAGATTTCCCTCTAGAGCCTTTGGAAAGGGATGCAGCCTTATTGACATCCTGATCTTAGCTCATTGAGTGTCAGACTTCTGACCTACAGAACTGTAAGATAATAAATTTATGTTGTTCACACCACTAAATTTTGATAACTTTTGTAGTAGCAATAGAAAAATAATACACTTTTTGAGATATGTTTCATATATCATGTAATTCACCCATTTAAAGTGTATTATTCAGTGTTTTTATTCACAGAATTGTGTAACAATCACCAATTTTAGAACATTATCATCCCAGAAAGGAACCATCCCATGCCCTATCCCATGCCCATTAGCAGACACTCCCCCAAACTCTAGATTGCACTAGCAACCACTTATTTATTTATTTATTTTTTGAGAGGGAGTCTCAGTCTGCTAGAGTTCAGTGGCGCGATCTCTGCTCACTGCAAACTCTGCCTCCTGGATTCAAGCAATTCTTCGGCCTCAGCCTCCCGAGTAACTGGGCTTAACGGTTGCATGCCTTCATGCATGGCTAATTTTTGTATTTTTTGTGGAGATGAGATGTCACCATGTTGGCCAGGCTGGTCTCGAACCCCTGACCTCAAGTGATTCACCTTCCTCAGCCTCCCAAAGTGCTGGGATTACAGGCGTGAGACACTGCGTCCAGCCACTAATTTAATAACTACTACTAACTTTGCCTCTTCTAGACGTTTCATGTAAATGAAATTGTAACAATAGGTGGTCTTTTGTGACTGGCTTCTTTCTTTTTTTTTCTTCTACCTTTTTAGAGATGGGGTCTTGCTCTGTTACCCAGGCTGGTCTTGAACTCCTGGGCTCAAGAAATCCTCAGCACCCCAAAGTGCTGGGATTACAAGTGTGAGCCACTGCGCCCCGCCGTGACTGGCTTCTTTCACTGAATGTAATATTCATACATGTTGTAGCATGCACCAATACTTGCATTCCTTTTTTTCTTTTTTTTTTGAGACAAGGTCTCACTCTGTTGCCCAGGCTGGATTGCAGTGGTGCGATCGTAGCTCACTATAGCCTTGAACTCCTGGGCTCAAGTGATCCTTCCACTTCACCTTCCTGAGTAGCTGGGACCACAGGCATGCACCGCCATGCCTGGCTGCTTTTTAAAAAATCTTTTGTAGACATAAGGTCTTGCCATGTTGCCCAGGCTGGTCTTGAACGAACACCTGGCCTCAAGTGATCCTCCTGCCTCTGCCTCTGAAACTGTTGGGATTTATAAGCATGAGCCACTGGACCCAGCCTCCATTCCTTTTTATTGCTGAGTGATACTCCATTGTATGGATATACTGCATTTTGTTTGTCCATTCAGAAATTAATAGACATTTGGATATTGTTGAGTGATACTCCATTGTATGGATATAGTACATTTTGTTCATTCAGAAATTAATAGACACTGGGTTGTTTCTATATTTTGTTCATTATTGTTTTTTAAGTATCGTAAAGTCTTTTTTTTTACATAACCATAATACCATTATCACACCTCACAAAATTAACAATAATTTCTGCTACCCAGTTCATATTTAAATTTTTCCATATTTAAATTTTAATTAAATTTAAATTAAAGTTGTTTTAATAGTTTATTACAATTAGGAGCCAAATAAGGTGCATACGTTGCACTTGATGGTTCTTGTCCTTAAATGTCTTCTAATGTAGAATATAGGTGTCCACTTCCCACCCTTGCCACTATTTTTTCCCTTCATGTCATTTTTAAAACAAATTGTGTCAGTTTTTCTGTAGAATGTTCCATCTTCTGTATTTATCTGATTGCTTCTCACACCTTGTAACTTGTTCTTTTATTCCATATATTTCCCGTAAATTGGAAATGAGGTTTAAAAGCTTGATAAAATTTAGGTTAATCATTTTTGGTAAGGTATTCCATATGTAGAAAAAGTATGTTTTATACCAGTTATCATGCTAAGATTGATCAGAGTTTTGAGTGTATTTTAGCATGTATTGATTTTTGCCTGAATCACCTGTTTTATAAGAGGTTACAAAATGGTAATATTTCTAATTTGGTCATTTCTACATTTAATAACTGGAGTTCTTCTGTAAAGAGGACTTTATGTCATCAATTAGGTTATGTAAAATATAGTTCTTACTATATTTATTACTAATTAAAGGTAAGCACTTCAGTTTTTTTCTTTACCAATTTTCAGGAAGGGGTTGGTGTAATCATGACAAAGAAGTCTATACTTCCCGTTTCCCTTTACCTCAGAGGTAGAGGGCCTATTTCTGTCTTGAGGGTAAATTCACACACACACACACACACACACACACACACACACATGTTTTCCAGTGTGACTAATAGCAGTCGTTTTTCTTTTTGATACCCAGTTCAGCAAGTTTTGGATAGTGGTCCTTATGGTTTTATTTGCCTTTCTTTAATAATTAAGGTTGTGTTTATTTTCATATGTTTAAGGGGTATTGGTATTTCCTTTTCCGTGAACTGTTTATATCTTTTGGCAATAAATTTTAATTTTTTTATTATTATTTTTTATTATACTTTAAGTTCTAGGGTACACGTGCACAACATGCAGGTTTGTTACATATGTATACGTGTGCCATGTTGATGTGCTGCACCCATTAACTCGTCATTTACATTAGGTATATCTCCTAATGCTATCCCTCCCCCCTCCCCCCACCCCACAACAGGCCCCAGTGTGTGATGTTCCCCACCCTGTGTCCAAGTGTTTTCATTGTTCAATTCCCACCTATGAGTGAGAGCATGTGGTGTTTGGTTTTCTGTCCTTGCGATGGTTTGCTCAAAATGTTGGTTTCCAGCTTCATCCATGTTCCTACAGAGGACGTGAACTCATCCTCTTTTATGGCTACATAGTATTCCCTGCTGTATATGTGCCACATTTTCTTAATCCAGTCTATCATCGATGGACATTTAGGTTGGTTCCAAGTCTTTGCTATTGTGAATAGTGCCACAATAAACATATGTGTGCATGTGTCTTGATAGCAGCATGCTTTACGGTCCTGTGGGTATATACCCAGTAATGGGATTTCTGGGTCAAATGGTATTTCTAGTTCTAGATCCCTGAGGAATCGCCACACTGACTTCCACAATGGTTGAACTAGTTTACAGTCCCACCAACAGTGTAAAAGTGTTCCTATTTCTCCACATCCTCTCCAGCACCTGTTGTTTCCTGACTTTTTAATGATCGCCATTCTAACTGGTGTGAGATGGTATTTCATTGTGGTTTTGATTTGCATTTCTCTGATGGCCAGTGATGATGAGCATTTTTTCATGTGTCTTTTGGCTGCATAAATGTCTTCTTTTGAGAAGTATCTGTTCATACCCTTTGCCTACTTTTTGATGGGGGTTGTTTGATTTTTTCTTGTAAATTTGTTTAAGTTCTTTGTAGATTGTGGATATTAGCCCTTTGTCAGATGGGTAGATTGCAAAAATTTTCTCCCATTCTGTAGGTTGCCTGTTCACTCTGATGGTAGTTTCTTTTGCTGTGCAGAAGCTCTTTAGTTGAATTAGATCCCATTTGTCAATTTTGGCTTTTGTTGCCATTGCTTTTGGTGTTTTAGACATGAAGTCCTTGCCCATGCCTATGTCCTGAATGGTATTGCCTAGGTTTTCTTCTAGGGTTTTTATCGTTTTAGGTCTAACATGTCAGTCTTTAATCCATCTTGAATTAATTTTTGTATGAGGTGTGAGGAAGGGATCCAGTTTCAGCTTTCTACATATGGCTAGCCAGTTTTCCCAGCACCATTTATTAAATAGGGAATCCTTTCCCCATTGCTTGTTTTTGTCAGGTTTGTCAAAGATCAGATGGTTGCAGA